>NC_000007.14:143106779-143406779 GCF_000001405.40 Homo sapiens
CAACAAGCCTTAGACACTTTACCACCCTAGACACAGAGGGGCCTGAAGTCTGTCTTATTCTCAATATGCATTTTACTACCCAACCCACTCCCGACATTAGAAAAAGCTCCAAAAATTAGATTCTGGCCCTCAACCCCACAACAGCACTTAATTGATCTCACCTTCAAGGGGTACAATAATAGAGAAGAGTTGCAATTACTTGCCTCCACTGTGAGAGAAACCCAGCCACATCTCCAGCACACAAGAACTTCAAAATGCCTAAACCGCAGGGGCAAGGCATTCCTCCAGGACCACCTCCCCCAGGATCTTGCTTCAAGTGCCGGAAATCTGGCCACTGGGCCAAGGAATGCCTGCAGCCCAGGACTCCTCCTAAGCTGTGTCCCATCTGTGCAGGACCCCACTGGAAATCAGACTGTCCAACTCACCCAGCAGCCATTCCCAGAGCCCCTAGAACTCTGGCCCAAGGATCTCTGATTGACTCCTTCCCAGATCTCGGCTTAGTGGCTGAAGACTGATGCTGCCCAATCACCTTGGAAGCCTACAGGACCATCACAGATGCTTTGGGTAACTCTTACAGTGGAGGGTAAGTCTGTCCCCTTCTTAATCAATATGGAGGCTACCCACTCCACATTACCTTCTTTTCAAGGGCATGTTTCCCTTGCCTCCATAACTGTTGTGAGTATTGACAAGAGGCTTTAAACCTTTTAAAACTCCCCAACTCTGGTGCCAACTTGGACAATGTTCTTTTATACAATCCTTTTTAGTTATCCCTACCTGCCCAGCTCCCTTATTAGGTCGAAACATTTTAACTAAATTATCTGCTTCCCTGACTATTCCTAGGCTACAGCCACACCTCATTGCCACCTTTTTCCTCAGTTCAAAGCCTCCTTCACATCCTCCCCTTGTATCTCCCCACCTTAATCCACAAGTATAGGACACCTCTACTCCCTCCTTCGTGACTGATCATGCACACCTTACCATCCCATTAAAACGTAATCACCCTTACCCTGCTCAATGCCAATATCCCATCCCACAGCACACTTTAAAAAGATTAAAGCCTGTTATCACTCTCCTGCTACAGCATGGGCTTCTAAAGCCTATAAACTCTCCTTACAATTCCCCCATTTTACCTATCCAAAAACCAGACAAGTCTTACAGGTTAGTTCAGGATCTGCGCCTTATCAACCAAACTGTCTTGCCTATCCACCCTGTGGTGCCAAATACATATACTCTCCTATCCTCAATACCTCCCTCTACAACCCATTATTCTGTTCTAGATAAACCTAGCTGACCCCATAAATCCTAAATCCTTTCCCCACTCCCCTTTCCATTCCTTAAAAAACAGCCCTAAAAGCTGCTCCCACACTAGCTCTCCTTAATTCATCCCAACCCTTTTCATTACACACAGCCAAAGTACAGGGCTGCGCAGTCAGAATTCTTACACAAGAGCTGGGACTGTGCCCTGTAGCCTTTCTGTCCAAACAACTTGACTTTACTGTTTTAGCCTAGCCCTCATGTCTGCGTGAAGTGGCTGCCGCTGCTTTAATACTTTTAAAGCCCCTCAAAATCACAAGCTATACTCCACTTACTCTCTACAGTTCCCATAACTTTCAAAATCTATTTTCCTCCTCACACTTGACACATATACTTTCTGCCCCCCAGCTCCTTCAGCTATACTCACTCTTGTTGAGTCTCCTACAATTACCATTGTTCCTGGCCCAGAGTTCAATCTGGCCTCCCACATTATCCCAGATGCCACACCTGATCCCCATGACTGTATCTCTCTGATCCACCTGACATTCACTCCATTTCCCCATATTTCCTTCTTTCCTGTTCCTCACACTGATCACACTTGGTTTATTGATGGCAATTCCACCAGGCCTAATCGCCACTCACCAGCAAAGGCAGGGTGTGCTATAGTGTCTTCCACATCTATCACTGAGGTTACTGCTCTGCCCCTCTCCACTACCTCTCAGCAAGTTGAACTCATTGCCTTAACTCAGGCCTTCACTCTTGCAAAGGGACTACGCATCAATGTTTATACTGACTCTAAATATGCCTTCCATATCCTGCACCACCATGCTGTTATATGGGCAGAAGGAAATTTCCTCACTACACAAGTGTCCTCCATCATTAATGCCTCCTTAATAAAAACTCTTCTTAAAGCTGCTTTACTTCCAAGGAAGCTGGAGTCATTCACTGCAAGGGCCATCAAAAAGGCATCAGATCCCATCACTCAGGGCAATGCTTATGCTGATAAGGTAGCTAAAGAAGCAGCTAGTGTTCCAACTTCTGTCCCTCATAGCCAGTTTTTCTCCATCTCATTGGTCATGCCTATTTACTCTCTTACTGAAGTTTCCACCTATCAATCCCTCTCCACTCAAGGCAGATGGTTCTTAGACCAAAAAAAAATCTCCTTCCAGCCTCACAGGCCCATTCTATTCTGTCGTCATTTCATAACCTCTTCCATGTAGGTTACAAGCTGTTAGCCCACCTCTTAAAACCTCTCGTTTCCTTTCCATCATGAAAATTTATCCCCAACCCGCCACTCTTGACTGCCTCTTGGAGTGCACAGACAATCTTTGCTGACAGGACACACTCCAATACTTTCACCCTGATGAAGTCCTATTCTTTACTTTTATACTCACTCTTATTCTCGTTCCTGTTCTTATGCCACCCTCTACCTCTCCCCAGCTATCTCCACCACACTATCAATCTCACTCACTCTCTCCTACCCGTTTCTAATCCTTCTTTAACAAACAATTGCTGGCTTTGCATTTCTCTTTCCTCAAAACTCGCCAAGGCCCTGACTTACTCACTGCTAAAAAAAAAGGGGGACTCTGTATATTTTTAAATGAAGAGTGTTGTTTTTACCTAAATCAGTCTGGCCTGGTAAACAGTATCAAAAAACTCAAGGATAGAGCCCAAAAACTTGCCAACCAAGCAAATAATTAACACTGAACCCCTCTGGACACTCTCTAATTGGATGTCCTGGGTACTCCCAATTCTTAATCCTTTAATACCTACTTTTCTCCTTCTTTTATTCGTGCCTTGTGTCTTCTGTTTAGTTTCTCAATTCATACAAAACTGCATCCAGGCCATCACCAATAATTCTATAGGACAAACGCTCCTTCTAACAACCCCACAATATCACCCCTTACCCCAAAGCCTTTCTTCAGTTTAATCTCTCCTACTGTAGGTTCCCATGCCACCCCTAATCCCGCTGGAAGCAGCCCTGAGAAACATCACCCATTATCTCTCCATACTACCCCCCAAAATTTTCACCACCCCAACACTTCACCACTATTTTGTTTTGTTTTGTTTTTTATTAATATAAGACAGGAATGTCAGGCCTCTGATCCCAAGCTAAGCCGTCATATCCCCTGTGACCTGCACGTATACATCCAGATGGCCTGAAGCAACTGAAGATCCACAAAAGAAGGGAAAATAGCCTTAACTGATGACATTCCACCACTGTGATTTGTTCCTGCCCCACCCTAACTGATAAGATATAGTCTCCCCAACCCTTAAAAAGGTACTTCGTAATATTCTCCCCCACCCTTAAGAATGTACTTTGTACGCCTATCCCAAACCTATAGAACTAATGATAATCCCACCACCCTTTGCTGACTCCTTTTTTGGACTCAGGCCACCTGCACCCAGGTGAAATAAACAGCCTTGTTGCTCACACAAAGCCTGTTGGTGGTCTCTTCACACACATGACACATAGCTTCTTCTGTAACCTCTTAAATATATATGTTTAGCCAACCTGTCATCAAATCCCCAGGAACTCCATGTACAATTGACAGAGAGGAACAAACTAGTTGATTTTTTTTATTAATATGGGGGGTTGTATATTCTGTAGTCAACATCTGCTTATCCGTTGATTCAAAAAAGACTGCAATGTTTACAGGGGTGCCAGGAAAAACCAATGACATGGATAATTTAGAGTACTATTATTTTGTCTACCACACAGAGTATGTCCTCCAAAATCAATGCAAATAATCTAAAATAAATGATAAAAATTTTATGTTTGGAGAATAAAGCATACTCCTAAATAAACATAGATCATTGTAGTCCCACTTGTTTATTTTTGCTTTTGTTGTCTGAGCTTTTATTGTGGTATCTAAAAAATCATTACCAAGGCCAGTATCAAAGAGCTTTTACCCTAAGTTTTCTTCTACTAACTTTGGAATGCCATTGGCTGAGAGGGGGTGTCCATTCAGATGGTTGGGCCATGCTTAGAATTTTATTTTTGGTTTACAATTCCTTCTGAGACTCAAAGAAAGAATCAATTTTCTTGCCATTTCCAGCTAGAACCTATTCTGATTCCTTGACTTTTGGCCCCTTTCTCTATCTCCGAAGCCAGCAACATTGCATTCTCTCTGACTCTTCTGTTTTCAAATCTTTCCAGTTAATCAAAATAGAGAAAGACTCCGGTTTTAAAGATTCATGTGATATGATTGGGCCCACTTGTAAAATCCAAGATAATCTTCTCATCTCAAGATTTCCAACACTAGACACATCTGCAAAGTACCTTTTGCCAGGTAAGGTAACAGATTCACAGGCTCTGGAGGACTTGGACTTCTTTGGAGGAGCCACTATTCAGCCTACCACAGCTAGTAAAAAAAATAAAAATTCTTTAGTCTTACAAAGAATATCTTCAACCATATACACCAAGTACTAAGTTTAATATCGAATTATCAACAGCTTTCCCTTTACAGCCAGGAATACCATAGGATTTTCACTATCATTTTGTGTATTAAACATTGTCCTGGAGGGTGTAAATGATAAGATTGAAACTGCCTTTGCAAAAATTACAACAATTAGAAGATTATGGCAGTGAAGGGGATGTAATCTGGCCAAATTCCTTCTTGCCTTTGGTCTTCAAGTTGACCTTAATTATTCCTGAGCTTAGGCTAAGCTAACTTCGGAAGACATTTAGTTTATAGCTTAAATGATAATAGCCCTTCCCTAAAACTCAACCACTGTTGTAAAGCTAATGAGAGACCACCAGGCTAGGAGGATGGAGAGGCCTGAATTTTGCTAGGTGTAGACATAAATGATTGCCAGCCATTATTCCAGAAGTCACAAGATATGCAACTTCCCCAGTTACTTCTGCAGATAACATCACTATTGTAGAACCTAAGATTGGCCTTTTGAGATATATTTTCAGGTTTTTCGCATGTCCGATACCAATGGCTTCAGCTGGACCTCCCAAGCTCCTGTGGTCCCACCCAGAGGCGACTTAGCTTGTAGAAGGACCATCTTCCACACCCCTGTGATTGCAACCCCAATGAATCAACAACAAGCACTCACTGCCTAGCCACCCCACCCGTTCCCTCAAATTACCTTGGAAAAATCCTAGCCCCCAAATTCTCTGGTAGGCTGATTTGAGCAATAATAAAACTTGGTCTTCCCTTTCACTGGCTCTACATGTATAAAACTTTCTCTATTGCAATTCCTCTGCCTCGATAAACCAGCTATATGTGGACACCAGGCAAGAAGAGTCCATTGTATGGTTACACAGTAAATTAAGAAAAAATACAAAGTATAAGGGTAAGAATTTTTAAAAACTGTTATATTTGCAAGTAATATATTTGTGCATAGAGAAGATTCAAGAGCACTGTAAAGGAAAATTTAAAAATCTCAATGCATGCCTATATCAAAGTATCTCATGTACCCCATAAATATATATACTTATGATGTACCCACAAAAATTGAAAATAAAAAAAATCTCAGGAACCCCAAACTCCTTACATCAAAAGGAAAATTAAGCCTGGTGACTGAGTGGCACAACACAAACACATCATCCTTTTCCCAAATGAATAGCTTTTACTTCATAATCTTGTGTCAAAGCATTATCCATTAGCCACAACCCCTGCAGAAAGGCAAAAAGCCTCAGGTATCCCTGATGACTGTCTTCACAAATTGTTCTTTGCTGGCCTTAAGCTTTCAGGAGGTATATCCTGCCATAAAAAAAAGGGCATGTCAATTATAACTTTAGGTCTGCAATATAAGTCTAGCTCCTATAACTAAAGTCTGTTAAAATTCAGACTGATAATGTCAATTACAAGATAATCTTCCCAAGTACAGAACAAAGACAAGCTGAGATTGATCAATCCTCCACCTACCCTGAGAAATCTGCATAACTGATTTTCCTTTACTCCCTCTTTTTTTGGTAAAACATTCACCTTATCTTATGTAAAATGTAGATTTACAAGGCACTAACTAAAGTCTCACAAGGATGTAACCATTCACCTCACACCACCTACATGCCTTCCCCATTTCAAGGAAATGTATAAATGCTAAACCTCCTGAAAACCTCTTTGGAGAACACAAGAATTGGCAATCTGGCACTGGTGGTTTCATTTCTTGGTGTAAATTACATAGCACGCTTATAAAACTACAGCTGCTTTTTGTTGTTTGTAATTTGGACTTCAGAAAAACATTGTGGGCCAGGTATGGTGGTCCACATCTGTAATCCCAGCATTTTGGGAAGCCAAGGCAGGCAGATCCCTCGAGGCCAGGAGTTCAAGACCAGTAAAACTTCATCTCTACTAAAAATACAAAAAATAGCCCATTGATGCTAGGAAGAAACTGCATCAACAAACGAGCAAAATAACCAGCTAACATCATAATGAAAAGATCAAATTCACACATAACAATATTAACCTTAAATGTAAATGGGCTAAATGCCCCAATTAAGAGACACAGACTGGCAAACTGGATAAAGAGTCCAGACCCGTTAGTGGGCTGTATACGGGCGACCCATCTCATGTCCAAATGCACATATAGGCTCAAAATAAAGGGATGGAGGAAGATCTACCAAGCAAATGGAAAGCAAAAAAAAGCAGGGGTTACAATCCTAGTCTCTGATAAAACAGACTTTAAACCAACAAAGATCAAAAGAGACAAAGAAGGGAATTACAAAATGGTAAAAGGATCAATTCAACAAGAAGAGCTAACTATCCTAAATATATATGCACCCAATACAGGAGCACCCAGATTCATAAAGCAAGTCCTTAGAGACCTACAAAGACTTAGACTCCCACACAATAATAATGGGAGACTGTAACACCCCACTGTCAATATTAGACAGATCAACAAGACAGAAAGTTAACAAGGATATCCCGGACTTGAACTCAGCTCTGCACCAAGTGGACCTAATAGACATCTACAGAACTCTCCACCCCAAATCAACAGAAGATACATTCTTCTCAGAACCACATCACACTTATTCGAAAATTGACCACATAGTTGGAAGTAAAGCACTCCTCAGCAAATGTAAAAGAGCAGAAATCACAACAAATTGTCTCTCAGACCACAGTGCAATCAAATTAGAACTCAGGATTAAGAAACTCACTCAAAACCGCACAACTGCATGAAAACTGAACAACCTGCTCCTAAATGACTATTGGGTAAATAACAAAATGAAGGCAGAAACAAAGATGTTCTTTGAAACCAATGAGAACAAAGACACAAAGTATCAGAATCTCTGGGACACATTTACAGCAGTGTGTAGAGGGAAATTTATAGCACTGAATGCCACAAAAGAAAGCAGGAAAGATCTAAAATTGACACCCTAACATCACAGTTAAAAGAACTAGAGAAGCAAGAGCAAACAAATTCAAAAGCTAGCAGAAGACAAGAAATAACCAAGATCAGAGCAGAACTGAAGGAGATAGAGACTAAAAAATCCTTCAAAAAATCAATAAATCCAGGAGCTGGTTTTTTGAAAAGATCAACAAAATAGATAGACCACTAGCAAGACTAATAAAGAACAAAAGAGAGAAGAATCAAAATAGATGTAATAAAAAATGATAAAGGGGATATCACCACGGATCCCACAGAAATACAAACTACCATTAGAGAATACTATAAACACCTCTACACAAATAAACTAGAAAATCTAGAAGAAATGGATACATTCCTGGACACATACACCATCCCAAGACTAAACCAGAAAGAAATTGAATCTCTGAATAGACCAATAACAGGCTCTGAAATTGAGGCAATAATTAATAGCCTGCCAAACAAAAAAAGTCCAGGACCAGATGGATTTACAGCAGAATTTTACCTGAGGTACAAAGAGGAGCTGGTACCATTCCTTCTGAAACTATTCCAATCAATAGAAAAAGAGGGAATCCTCCCTAACTCATTTTATGAGGCCAGCATCATCCTGATACCAAAGCCTGGCAAAAACACAACAAAGAAAGAGAATTTTAGACAAATATCCGTGATGAACATCGATGTGAAAATCCTCAATAAAATACTGGCAAACCGAATCCAGCAGCACATCAGAAAGCTTATCGACACGGTCAAGTCAGCTTCATTCCTGGAATGCAAGGCTGGTTCAACATACACAAATCAATAAATGTAATCCATCACAGAAACAGAACCATTGACAAAAAGCACATGATTATCTCAATAGAGGCAGAAAAGGCCTTCAACAAAATACAACAACCCTTCATGCTAAAAACTCTCAATACACTAAGTATTGATGGACTGCATCTCAAAATAATAAGAGGTATTTGTGACAAATCCACAGCCAATATCATACTAAATGGGCAAAAACTGGAAGCATTCCCTTTGAAAACTGGCACAAGACAGAGATGCCCTCTCTCACGACTCCTATTCAACATAGTGTTGGAAGTTCTGGCCAGGGCAGTCAGGCAAGAGAAAGAAATAAAGGTATTTAATTAGGAAAAGAGGAAGTCAAATTGTCCCTGTTTGCAAATGACATGATTCTATATTTAGAAAACCCCATTGTCTCAGCCCAAAATCTCCTTAAGCTGATAAGCAACTTCAGCAAAGTCTCAGGATACAAAATCAATGTGCAAAAATCTCAAGTGTTCCTATACACCAATGATTGACAAACAGAGAGCCAATTCATGAGTGAACTCCCATTCACAATTGCTTCAAAGAGAATAAAATACCTAGGAATCCAACTTACAAGGGATGTGAAGGACCTCTTCAAGGAGAACTACAAACCACTGCTCAATGAAATAAAAAGGACACAAACAAATGGAAGAACATTCCATGCTCATGCAAAGGAAGAATCAATATCATCAAAATGGCCATACTGCCCAAGGTAATTTATAGATTCAATGCCATCCCCATCAAGCTACCAATGACTTTCTTCACAGAACTGGAAAAAAACTACTTTAAAGTTCATATGGAACCAAAAAAGAGCCCACATTGCCAAGACAATCCTAAGCAAAAAGAACAAAGCTGGAGGCATCATGCTACCTGACTTCAAAGTATACTACAAGGCTACAGTAACCAAAACAGCATGGTACTGGTACCAAAACAGAGATATAGACCAATGGAACAGAACAGAGGCCTCAGAAATAACACCACACATCATCTATAACCATCTGATCTTTGCCAAACCTGACAAAAACAAGCAATGAGGAAAGGATTCCCTATTTAATAAATGGTGCTCGGAAAACAGGCTAGTCATATGTAGAAAGCTGAAACTGGATCCCTTCCTTACACCTTATGCAAAAATTAATTCAAGATGGATTAAAGACTTAAATGTTAGACCTAAAACCATAAAAACCCTAGAAGAAAACCTAGGCAATACCATTCAGGACATAGGCACAGGCAAGGACTGCATGACTAAAACACCAAAACCAATGGCAACAAAAGCCAAAATAGGCAGATGGAATCTAAACTAAAGAGCTTCTGCACAGCAAAAGAAACTACCATCAGAGTGAATAGGAAACCCACAGAATGTGAGAAAATTTTTGCAGTCTACCCATCTGACAAAGGGCTAATATCCAGAATCTACAAAGAACTTAAACAAATTTACAAGAAAAAAACAACCACATCAAAAAGTGGGCAAAGGATACGAACAGACACTTCTCAAAAGAAGACATTTATGCAGCCAACAGACACATGAAAAAATGCTCATCATCACTGGTCACCAGAGAAATGCAAATCAAAACCACAATGGGATACCATCTCATGCCAGTTAGAACGGTGATCATTAAAAAGTCAGGAAACAACAGATGCTGGAGAGGATATGGAGAAATACGAAAGCTTTTACACTGTTGGTGGGAGTGTAAACTAGTTCAACCATTCTGGAAGACAGTGTGGCGATTCCTCAGGGATTTAGAGCTAGAAATACCATTTGACCCAGTGATCCCCTTACTGGGTATATACCCAAAGGATTGTAAATCATGCTACTATAAAGACACATGCACACGTAAGTTTATTGAGGCACTATTCACAATAGCAAAGACTTGGAACCAACCCAAATGTCCATCAATGATAGACTGGATTAAGAAAATGTGGCACATATACACTATGGAATACTATGCAGCCATAAAAAGGATGACTTCATGTCCTTTGCAGGGACATGGATGAAGCTGGAAACAATCATTCTGAGCAAACTATCACAAGGACAGAAAACCAAACACCGCATGTTCTCACTCTTAGGTGGGAATTGAACAATGAGAACACTTGGTCACAGGGTGGGGAACATCACACACCGGGGCCTGTCATGGGGTGGGTGGGGGAGGGATAGCACTGGGAGAAATACCTGATGTAAATGATGAGTTGATGGGTGCAGCAGGCCAGCATGGCACATGTATACCTATGTAACGAGTCTGCATGTTGTGCACATGTACCCTAGAACTTAAAGCATATTAAAAAAAATTTAAAAAGTAGCAGGCAACATGGTGTTGGCCAGGTAGAGAACCCACCTGCATAATAAAAGATTAGGGTTGGTGGGGGCAGCTTCTTCACATGCTATGCAAACAGCACACCTAGTCCTAGCCAGTTCTTTCTGTGCTATGCAAATGGCACACCTGGCCTGACCAATCTTTCACGCCCTATGTAAATCAGATACCGCCTCCTCAAGCTCATCTAAAAAATTTCCTACACTTCACTGCAGACTGGAAAACTTGCTCCGGACCCCCTCTCTCTTCAGGAGAGAGCTTTTCTCTTTCTTTTGCCTGTTAAGCCTCTGTTCTTAACCTCACTGCTTGTGTATCCACATCCTTGATTTCCTTGGTGTGAGGCAACAAATCTCAGGTATTACCCCAGATGAACGATGCTGCTTCACTGGGACTCAAATCATTTCATCCAAAGCTCATAGGTTAGGAGTTTTTCAAAGGCAGTTTGGGGGAAGGGGTCGGGGTGGCTAGGTTTGCTGCTAATTGGTTGGGCTGGAGATGAAATCATAGGCGTTAAAGCTGTACTCCTGCAGGCTGGATAGCTTGTAGGTGGGGCCACAGCAGTGGGATTGGTGGGTCCAGGTGGAGCCATGGGTGTTAGACATGCAAAAAAACCTGAAAGGATGTCTCAAAGGGTCAGTCTACAAAAGTGGTGTCATCTGCAGGAATAATTGGAGAAGTTGCCTATCTTATAACCTCAAGAATAGTGGCAAACAATCATTCATGTCTGAGTCTTAGCCAGACTCAGCCTCCTCTCCTTCCCCAAGCCTCATGGCCTCCCATTAGCTTTACAAAGCCTGTTAAGTTTTAGGCCTGCTATCATTTAAACTATAGTCTAAATGTCTTCCAAAAGTATTAGATTGGTTCAAAGCTAACTGCAGTTTTGCCATTAAAAGTAATGGCAAAAACTGCAATTACTTTTGCACCAAACTATAGCTTAGGGCGAGGCACAGTGGTTCATGCCTGTAATCCTAGCACTTTGGGAGGCTGAGGTGGGTGGATCACTTGAGGCCGGGAGTTTGAGATCAGCCTGGCCAACATGGGAAAACACCTAATCTACTAAAAATAAAAAAATTAGCCAGGCATTGTGGCGCACTCCTGTAATCCCAGCTACTTGGGTGACTGAGGCACGAAAACAACTTGAACCCTGGAGACAGAGGTTGCAATGAGCTGAGATAGTGCCACTGCACTCCAACCTGTGTGATGGAGCAAGACATTGTCTCAAAAAAAAAAAAAAGAAAAAGAAAAAGTTAGCTTAGCCCTATCGCCCAGGAATAAAGGAAACAGCAAGATGGGGCAGTGGGGTAGTTAGCTCAACTTACTGTTATATTACTCATTGATACAATTTTTGCAAAGGTGGTTTTAGTATGACTCTACACCTTTTGGGTCACCCATTTGTAATCCATTCTACTGAAGGAAGCCAAAATATTACCCTCTAAAACACTTAGGATTGTTGAGCTAAACACAGCTAAAAGGCAGGGAGATTCTCTGCCCTTCTTTTGTTTGCCTAAAGCGAGGACATAAATCCTCCCTTACTGGAGACAGCTGCTTATTAGCCCACTAATGGGCCAGGGGAATCTGTGAGCAGACTTTACCTCTATAAATTTGCCTTCCTATATTTGCCCACCTTTTGGCACTACCCCTATGGGCAGATTTTGTCTTCCTGCTTCATTAAATATCTCTTTAAATTTTTCATCTGAACTCTCTGTGTAGCCAGTCAACTGAGAAGCTGAGACCCTAGAGAATATGGCCAGAGTGATATGGGTTGTACACCCATTTGTAGCTAGCAAAACTTTTCTCTCTTTGAACTTTCTTTGGCATGAATCTGGAATCTTGTGAGAACTGTCCTGCATCTCTTTGGAGAAGGCTCGTTGATCAATGTATTGATTACATCATAACATTGGTTAAAGCTTATTGGTTTTGGTGAGTCACTTGCAAAGATACCTTTGGTTTAAAAGAGGGGGGAAATGGTACAAAAGCAGGAATATTGACTGTTCTGGCTGAAATATGATAAGAGACTTGAAGTTTTTTTTTTAAGATCTCTATAGTCAAAAGTCGATTTAATTAAAAGCTGATATTTAAGATACATATGCATATATACTTTTTAATTGGGCCTCTGTTCTCTATAAAAACTTGTCAGTTGACTAAATTTCTTTCTTCTTAACCCTTTTGTCAAGAAAAACAGTAAAATATTTGAAGAGATTTATTCTGAGCCCAATAAGAATGACCAATGACCCATGACACAGCTCTCAGGAGATCCTGAGAACATGTGCCCAAAGTGGTTGAACTACAACTTGGTTTTATATATTTTAGGGAGACATAAGACGTCAATCAATTAATGTAAGATGTATATTGGTTTAATCCAGAAAAATGGGACAATAGGAAGTGGGGGCCCCAGATCATAGGCAGATTCTAAGATTTTCTGATTGGCAATTGGTTGAAAGAGTTATTGTCTAAAGACCTGAAATCAATACAAAGAAATTTCTGTGTTAAGATAAGGGATTTTAGAGACCAAGGTTTTATCACACTGATGAAGCCTCCAGGTAGCGGGCCTCAGAGAGAATAGATTGTAAACGTTTCCTATCAGACTTAAAGATTCTATTAGTATTTTTTTTGACAGAGTCTCACTCTGTTGTCCAGGCTAGAGTGCAGTGGCGCAATCTCAGCTCACTGGAACCTCCACCTCCTGAGTTCAAGTGATTCTCCTGCCTCAGCTTCCTAAGTAGCTGGGACTACAGGCATGGGCCACCATACCCAGCTAATTTTTGTATTTTTAGTAGAGACAGGGTTTCACCATGTTGGCCATGCTCCTGACTTCATGTGATCCACCTGCCTCTGCCTTCCAAAGTGCTGGGATTACAGGAGCGAGCCACCACATCCAGCCTGCTCTATTAGTCTTAAGGTCTTTGTGTTGATGTTAACACTGGTCAGCTGCGAGGCATGTCCAGTGGCACCCCACTTCCCATCATGGCCTGAACTAATTTTTCAGATTAACTTTGGAATGTCCTTGGCAGAGGGGAGGGCCCATCAGTCAGTTAGGGGGCTTAGAATTTTATTTCTTTTTTATACCTTACTAACTGTATGCACTCCCTTAGTTTGCTTCTGTTTTGTTGACATGATTTGTGCCAAGAATGATGTAAAACTTCACTGGCCTTTTGAAAGCTTAAACTCTTTCTCTGTACTATGAAACATAAATTTCCTACCTTGTTTTGTAAATCAGTAAGGGCTTCAGCCTGTGAGACAGATAAACTTTAACTCGTTCCATTTACAAAGCCACAGTTTGATTCCAACTGTCTTTTTAAACTACTGAGTTTTGCCTGACTCATGGGTAAAATATTAAAATCTGTGAACCCTAAATAACTGAGACAGGTCTCAGTCAAATTAGAAAGTTTGTTTTGCCAAAGCTAAGAAAGCACCCATGACACAGCCTCAGGACATCCTGACAACATGTGCCCAAGGTGGTCAGGGTACAGCTTGCTTTATTTTAGGGAGATATGAGGCATCAATCAAATGTGTAAAATGTACATTGGTTCGTTCCAGTAAGGCAGGACAACTCAAAGTGGGGGTTTCCATGTTAGAAGTAGATAAAAGACAAAAGGCTGCATTATTTTAAGTACTTGATCAGTCTTCCACTGAATACACAATTTAATCTGTCTCAGTGAATCTGCATTTTTACATAAACAATAGGTCAGAGGAAGTAATTAGATATGCATCTGTCTCAGGCAAGCCTCAGAGGGACAATTTTGAGTTCTGTCTGTTCTTTGTCCACAAAGAATTTCCTTGTGGGAAAATTGTGAGGGAGGTATGTGGCTTCTTATCTCTGTAGCTATCTTATTTAGGGATAATAAAATGGGAGGCAGGTTTGCCCTAAGCAGTCCCCGGCTTGCCTTTTCCCTTTGGCTTAGTGATTTTGTGGTGCCAAGATTTATTTTCCTTTCACAAATCAAAACTATAAAATCTTTGTCTGTATTTTTATACTTGTGTAAATGTTTGTGTTTGTATATAGTATACAAGTGACAAAACTGACTTTTAAAAAGGCCCAAATGAACCTTTAAGTTTCTTGCCTTTAGGATACTTGCCTAACATATAGTAATATAAAAATAGTTAATAGAAAATTTAACTTGAGATGATGGCCAAATGTGTCCTATGTCTTATAAACTTTTCCAAACATAATTGTTAAGAGTGAATAAATTAAATAGATGTAAATGGGATGAGTTCATAAATGAACTATTAATACCTATTAAGTTTTATAATATGCTTACTTAAAAAGGTTGTGATGGTTAATTCTGAGTGTCAACTTGATAGGACTGAAAAATGCAAATTATTGATCCTGGGTGTGTCTTTGAGGGTGTTGCCAAAGGAGACTAACATTTGAGTCAGTGGGCTGGGAAAGGCAGACCCACCCTTAATCTGGGTGAGCACCATCAAAATCAGCTGCTAGAATATAAAGCAGACAGGAAAACGTAAAATGACAAGACTGGGACCAGGTGCAGTGGTTCACGCCTGTAACCCCAGCACTTTGGGAGGTCAAGGCAGGTGGAACACCTGAGGTCAGGAGTTCGAGACCAGCCTAGCCAACATGGTGAAACCTTGTCTCTACTAAAAATACCAAAATTAGCCAGATGTGGTGGCAGGCACCTGTAATCCCAGCTACTCAGGAGGCTGAGGCAGGAGAATCACTTGAACCCGGGAGGTGGAGATTGCTGTGAGCCGAGATCGCACCACTGCACTCCAGCCTGGGTGACAAGAGTGAGACTCCACCTCAAAAAAAAAGAAAACAAAACAAAACACTGCACTGGCCTAGCCTCCCAGCCTACATGTTTCTCCCAAGCTGGACCCTTCCTGCCCTCAAACATCAGACTCCATATTCTTCAGTTTTGGGACTCAGGCTGGCTTTCCTTGCTCCTCAGCTTCCAGACGGCCTATTGTGGGACCTTGTGATCCTGTGAGTTAATACTTAATAAACTCATGTATCCTATTAGTTCTGTCCCTCTAGAGAACCCTGACTAATACAAACATTTTTAAAGGTTTTTAAAATCTTTTTGTTAACTATACCCTCAAAATTTGCTATGCTAAATTAAAGGATGGATATTCATTGAATATCTAAATTATCTCTAAATAAGATACAATTCTAAGACATTAATGACTATGAGTTGAAGCTTAAATACTTTTGACTTCTTATTTCAGAGAAACAAAAGATATTTATATTTCTTAGTAAAAATGTCCTGTTTTACATTTTTATCGGGGGAACCAGCCCCCAATATTTCAACATAGGTCCTTTCTATTTTCCCTAACTGTCGGCCAGTCTGAGAAATAAAGAGAAAGAGTACAAAGGAGGAATTTTACAGCTGGGCCTCTGGGGGTGACCTCACATATCGGTAGGTCCATGATGTCCCCTGAGCCACAAAACCAGCAGGTTTTTATTAAGGACTTTAAAAGGGGAGGGGGTGTATGAACAGGGAGTAGGTCACAAAGATCACATGCTTTAAAGGGCAATAAAGATCACAAGGCAAAGGTCAAAGCAAAGATCACAAGGCAAAGGGCAAAATTAGAATTACTGGGCCGGGTGTGGTGGCACACGCCTGTAATCCTACCACTTTGGGAGGCCAAGGCAGGTGTATCACGAGGTCAGGAGATCAAGACCATCCTGGTTAACACAGTGAAACCCCGTCTCTACTAAAAATACAAAAAAAATTAGCCAGGCATGGTGGTGGGCGCCTGTAGTCCCAGCTACTCGGGAGGCTGAGGCAGGAGAATGGCGTGAACCCGGGAGGCGGAGCTTGCAGTGAGCCAAGATCACACCACTGCACTCCAGCCTGGGTGACAGAGCGAGACCATGTCTCAAAAAAAAAAAAAAAAAAAGAATTACTGAGGAGGGTCTACGTTCGGCTGTGCACGTATTGTCTTGATAAACATCTTAAACAACAAAAAACAGGGATCAAGAGCAGAGAAACAGTCTGACCTCAAATTTACCAGGGCAGGATCTTTTCCCCACCCTAATAAGCCTGAGGGTACTGCAGGAGACCAGGGCGTATTTCAGCCCTTATCCCAACCACATAAGACAGACACTCCCAGAGCAGCCGTTTATAGACCTCCCCCAGGAATGCATTCCTTCCCCATTGTATTAATTATTAATATTCCTTGCTGGGAAAAGAATTCAGCGATATCTCTCCTACTCGCACGTCCATTTATAGGCTCTCTGCAAGAAGAAAAATATGGCTCTATTCTGCCCGACCCTGCAGGCAGTCAGATCTTTGGTTGTCTTCCCTTGTTCCCTAAAATCACTGTTATCTGTTCGTTTTCAAGGTGCACTGATTTCATATTGTTCAAACACACATGTTTTACAATCAATTTGTACAACAGCGGTCCTGAGGTGACATACATTCTCAGCTTATGAAGATAACAGGATTAAGAGATTAAAGTAAAGACAGGCATAAGAAATTTTAAGAGTATTAATTTTGGGAACTGATAAATGTCCATGAAATCTTCACAGTTTATGTTCCTCTGCCGTGGCTCCAGCCAGTCCCTCTGTTTGGAGTCCCTGACTTCCCACAACATTTTTTTTTTTTTGAGATGGAGTCTAGCTCTGTCGCCCAGGCTGGAGTACAGTGGTGCAATCTCGACTCACTGCAAGCTCTGCCTCCTGGGTTCATGCCATTCTCCTGCCTCAGCATCCCGAGTAGCTGGGACTACAGGTGTCCGCCACAATGCCCGGCTAATTTTTTGTATTTTTAGTAGAGACGGGGTTTCACCATGTTAGCCAGGAGGGTCTTGATTTCCTGAACTCATGATCATCCTGCCTCAGCCTCCCAAAGTGCTGGGATTACAGGCACGAGCCACCGCGCCTGGCCCTGTTCTACATTTTTAAAGAATGTTCCATTAGAAAGCCTATGTTTCTAAATATTATAAAAATTCATATTCATAAACCGTTGGTATGTGACTGACACTTAAAAATTGCTTACTTCTTAGGTTTTCACTATGAATTAAGGTTACTAGGAGTTAAAATTCTAATTAATACATGGTAACTAGAATTAGGGATAAGAAGGATAACAATTCTATACACAGAATGTACAAAAAACACATAAGATTTTTTTTTGGTGAGGATGGTTATAAGATGGATATGAGGATATGTTTTTTGTTAAAGGAAAAGCGATTTTGCCTAGGTTAGAGGTTATTTAAAAGTTGTACTAAATTGAAGAAATAAAAGAAGAACAATGAGATAAAGTGAATGGATATAGGAATTCAGGAAAAGAAAGAGAATGGAAAAAATTATAAGAGGTTTAAAATGTTTATGAAAGTCATCTTCTGTGGTCAAAAGTGATTGAGATTACAGGCATAAGCCATCGTGCCTGGCCCAAGTGCTCTTGAATACAGGTTTCTGATAACTTTGGAGATCATACCATTGGACTAGGTAAAAAATACTTCCAGAACTCTCATAAAAACAACTGATGTATTTATGAAGATTGCTAGGCCAATATCGAGCAGAAAAAGAATTAATTCCATGGAACTGAACTAAGGAAGGACTGAAATAATTTTTACTTCTTTTTGCTTAAAACATTGTAAAATCTTTTTGTTTTGTTTTCCAAAGTCCTAAAAACTTTTTTTTCTTTTGAGCTCTTCATGGCTTATAGCAATAGGTAAAGTAAACTTTCGTGAGCAAATTGAGACATTTACCTTTCTCTCTACCTGATTTCTCCAGAATTTAGAAGCTATTCAAGAACATTATTATTTCATGGCAATATTGTTATTTTCATGAGTTCAATAAGAATCTGTTTTTCTTTGTAGCAGGACACAATTGGAGACACTGCCTATTCAAGGCTTTCACTGGAATGGCATATTTTCAGATACAACAAGGAGAATTTCTGAAACTAACTTTGGGAGAAACTTAGTTTATAGTTTAAAACACAGACAGCCCTTTCCCAAAGCAGACCTTCTTGCTGGGGGACAAGATTGCCTTTGTAGGACTAACATTAGCCACAAGATAAGAAATTATCTTGTGAGACTGATTTGAGTAATAATAAAACTCCAGTCTCCCATACAGCCTGCTCTGCATGAATTACTCTTTCTCTATTGCAAGTCCTGTCTTGATGAATTGGCACTTTGTCTAGGCAGCAGGCAAGGTGAACCCCTTGGGTGTTTACAAGGACAGCTTCAACCCATATGATTTCACCTCCAACCCAACCAATCATCAGCAAGCATCCATTACCTGGCCACTGCCACCCTTTCCCTAAACTGGCTTTGAAAAAATCCTCTTAACTATGAGCTTGGAGGAGATTGATTTGAGTACTACTTCCATGTCCCACGTGGTGTGGCCAGTCTCAGGTCTATTAAACTTTCTTTACTGCAATGCCATGGTCTTTCTTTGTGCAGCAGGCAGAAAGAACCTCTCAGGCAGTTACAATTGAAAAACAAGCAAAGGCTTGAATAGGCACCTCACAAAAGAGAATATATAATATCCAGATGACATATAAAAAGGCTAAATACCACTAATAATCACAAACATTCAAAGTAAATCACAACAAGCTCCACTACATATCCACCAGAAAAGCCAAGATTAAAAGTATTGACAATATTAAATATTGGGAAACTGTTGTGCAGTGTATAAAATGGCACCACAACTTTGGAAAACATTTTGATATTTTTGTGAAAATGAATAAAATTTAAAATCTGTTAGAACACTGCAAACTCCTTAAACTTTGAGAGAGCTGCTACTGTGATCTGAGTCATGTAGCATGTTTTGCAATTCTGCTTCTTAGATTACAGCTTAACCGTCTTCCTCATTGTTCTGGTTCTGTAAATGACTAAGAAAGACCAGAGAACAGACTTCCTCCTTCCAATCACTGATATTTATTCTAGATTAACTGCTTCCTCTATTGTTCTGTACCTAACTCAGACCAGATTGCATCCTCAAAACAGACCCCCTGAGGGTTACATCTTCAGTGTGGAATGTTAGAGATATCTTTCCAGAAAGAAAAAAAACACCTCAACTAATCAGATCATTGTAACTATGCATTAAGCCTTCCATAGAAAGGTGTTGAAATTCTGCTAAACTTCCCTGAACTTTATCTGTATAAATGATCTGAAACTTTTATACTTTGGAACACTGACTTCCATTCTTTGGAATCTGTGCTTGCTGGTGGGTACATCCTCAAGCACTGTGCTTGAATAAACTCTCTTTCAACTACACTCTGATGTTTTTGATTATTTTAGGATGACATTCTCTATAAAAAACACAGATACACATACCACATATGTAAAGGAACACAGCAACTTACCAAATCTGTTTCCCTTTCCTCCTAAGCATACAGGTATGCTAAATTTCCCAATCTCTCCTGCAGTTTGATTTGGCTACAGGACTAAGCTGTGGCAACGGGGACAAAGAATGAATGACATTCTATGATTTGGAAGCCACTTCCAAATCTTGCCCATTAAAAAAAAAATAAAACACTCCATAATTCTCCATTCTCTCTTTCACCTCTTAAAAGCTGAATACTAATACCTGAAGAAAACAAAACTATTTCACCCAAAAATATACTCCTTTGACATACTTTGAGATGGCTGTTAGAGGATCTGCAAACAGAAGCAGTGCTGCAAAGCTGTCTTTTGTGGGGAGATTTGTGTCTCTAGAGAATCTGCATTGATGCAACAGGCTTTTCCTGAGGTCCTCCCTTGCAGATCTAGGAAAGATTAACTGAGAGTCTGATACCTTTAAAGGTCTGAAAGAAACATTTACCTATTCTCTCTGAGGGCTACTATCTGTGAGATTTCACCTGCATAGTGAGGACTAAGCTCTGTTTTTGTGTGTGTGTATTTGTTTGTTTTAATCTTGGCCAAATTCCTATCTAAGGGGTCTGGAGACCATAAATGCTCATCAGATGGGTTTTATTTTAACCCTGTATATGGTGACTTACTTTCCAATCTGACTCTGGCATAACAAGGAAGAAAATCAAAATGTTTTACCCCCAAATACATTTCCTTGCCATGCCTTGAAATTGCCCTGCAAAGTCTCTTGTGGGAAAAATCCACATTCTATAGAGAATCCCCTTACTCCTTTCTTTTCCTTCCTTCCTTTCCAGATCCAGGAGATAATCACCTATGAGCCAGGCACCCTTTTAAGTCCGATAAGAAACATTTTACCACCTGCTATCTCTGAAGTCTGCTATCTGAGAGCTTCTTCTGCACAGTAAAACTTGATCTCCACAATCCTTTATCTTAACCTGAACATTTTCTTTCTATTGACCCCAGGTCTTCAGATAAACTCAACTAATTGTCAAACAGAAAATGTTTAAATTTACCTATAGCCTAGACCCCTCCCCCCGCCCCTGCCCTTTGAGTTGTCCCACCTTTCTGAACCAAACCAATGTCTTTCTTAAATGTATTTGATGGATGTCTCATGCCTCACTTAAAATATATAAACCAAGCTGTACCCCCACCTCCTTGGGCACATGTTCTCAGGACCTCCTGAGGGCTGTGTCACAGGCCATGATCACTCATATATGGCTTAGAATAAATCTCCTAAAATATTTTACAGAGTTTAACTCTTTTGGTCGACAATAGCAAGACCACCTTTGCTAGCCAGGCTTCCTCTTTTCCCCTCCCATAACCTGTAGCACCACTGTAACCTGATTTACTACCATAACCTGGTTTTGGCCATGCTCCAAGACCTCATTCTTTTGTAACCTCAAGATGGTACATGAGCTTCTGTACTCCCACTGAGGAGTTGGAGGTCATCATTCTCTCCCATGCACGTTAATAAACTTGTATGCCATTTCTCCTATTAATCTACTTTTTGTCAGTTTATTTCTCAGTGAAACTTCAGAAGGCAGAAAAAAAGTTTTCCCTTGGCCCCTACATCACCAGGGTGACCTTAGAAATGACACTAAAGGCCAGGCATTGTGGCTCACGCCTGTAATCCCAGCCCTTTGGGAGGCCAAGGGGGGGTGGATCACCTGAGGTCAGGAGTTTGAGACCAGCCTGGACAACATGGTGAAACCCCGTCTCTACTAAAAATAAAAATAATTAGCTGGGTGTGGTGGCAGGCACCTGTAATCCCAGTTACTCAGGAGGCTGAGACAGGAGAATCACTTGAACTTAAGAGGTGGAGGTTGCGGTGAGCCGAGATTGCGCCACTGCACTCCAGCCTGAGTGACAAGAGTGCAACTCCACCAAAAAAAAAAAAAAAAAAAAAGGAAGAAAGAAAGAAATGACACTAAAGATGACAGAGTTTCTAAGAAAAGAGTCACACTCCAGCTTCTCTCACCTCTGAGAGATTTTGCTTGGATATAACCTCCTCTAAGAAACAACTCATTACATCTTACATCTTCAGTATGCATTAGATGCCCTTCTACAAGTCTTGTGCCAATTATGCTTTTATTAAGTAAGAGGAAATATAGAGTAGTCACTCTAAGTGCCAACTCCGGATTCACTTCTATCTGGGTTCCAATGGTTTGGCTTAGTCATATGGCCAAGCCAAACTTCAATACCTTTGTTATTTGTTGGCTCTGTGACTTGAACAACTTATTAAAACCTCTGTGAGTTTCCTTTTCTCAACTTTAAACTGTTGCTACATCAATAAATAGACTAGACAAGTGTTTAAGGACATAAACTCTGGTATCAGACTACTTGATTTTGAACCCCTAACTCTGCCAGTTACTAACTTTGCAACTTGTTCTCGCCAGTAGGCAGTGCAGTGGTTAAAGGGTCATGTTCCAGGGCCAGACTGCCAGCGTGGAAATTCTGGCCCCACCCAAAGGTGTATTCGCCATTAAGTTAATGGCATGAAGCCTCAGGGCTTCCTACTTATGGGTGCCTCCTCCAAGATCCTGTACCTGTAGTTTACATTTGTAAGTTTGGATTCTATTTCAAAAAGAGGTTCTCAGATACTGTAAATCAAAACTCAGATTCCACAAAACCTGCTTGCAAAGTTGACTCTGCCATATACTGGCTATATGGTCTGGGTTAGATATTTATCTCCTGGGTCTCTGTTTCTCCTCTTGTAAAATGGAATAAAAATGGCAACCACCTTCACAGGGTTGTAATAAAGATTGAGCTAATATATGTTAAAATGTTTAGAGCAGTGTAATGCACACAGCATATGCTTCATGTGTGTTGGTGTCTATAACTCCCTCTCTGTCCACTCCTTATCTTCTTCTCATGAGCCCTGTCAGGACTAAGATTATCTTTCTCTTTGTAAACTTAGCCTGTGGCAAGCCTCACCTATATTCTAACTCTTTCCCTATGGGACTATACACATTCTCTTCTGTAAGCTTCCTGAGTTGTTTACAATCTGATTTTATCAACCTTTATCTGATTTCTTAAACCTAGACTTGTTCATTCTTTATGGCATAATAATTATGGTTTCTTTTTCTCCCTAATCTTCTTCCTCAAGGGACCTCAAGCTTTTCTCTTAAGACTTTCAACTGATCCAATGAGTCTGACCCATATTATGGAGGTAATCTGTTTTACTCAAATTTTACTGATTTAAATGTTAATCACATTTAAAACAAACAAACAAACAACAACTTCACAGCAACTTCTAAACTGTTGTTTTTCCAAAAAGTGGGCACCATGCCTAGCTAAGCTAACAAATAAAAGTAACCATCACAGCAGTCATGGCCTGAATAAGACTTGTCCTAGGCCAGGCACAGTGGCTCACACCTGTAATCCCAGCAATTTGGGAGGCCGAGGCAGGTGGATCACTTGAGGTCAGGAATGTAAGATCAGCTTGGCCAACATGGTGAAACCCCATCTCTACCAAAAATACAAAAATTAGCCGGGTATGGTGGCACCTGCCTATAATCCCCACTACTCGGGTGGCTGAGGCATGAGAATTTCCTGAACCCGGGAGGTGGAGGCTGCAGTGAGCTGAGATCATGCCACTGCACTCCAGCCTGGATGAGTGAGATTCTGTCTCAAAAAAAAAAGATTGTCCTGTACATTGTAGGTATTGCAGTTTCCTGCTAGCTCACAGAAGAACAGCCTCATTACCTTCAATAGATGCTCTTAACCCATCGTCATCTGCCTTCCTCTGGACACTGCCTTTTGGGAGTGCTGGAGTTGCATCCTCAAGGACAGGGCTATGCCTTCAAAGAGCCAAGCAAAGAACTTTTCCTGCATTTTCCCACACAGACACTTCCTAGATTCTTCTGCCTTATGCCTGCCTTGGTCAGTGTAGCTAGGATGTGCTTCAAATGGAAATTATGCAAGTGAGAAGGACCAGGTGTAAAGACAATTTAATTGTGGGAAAAGGCTTACAAAGGAAGGTCATTGTGACCCTCACAAGCAGTGTTCTTGAGTGGATAGGACATAAACAGGGAAGAAAGCATGTGATCATGAGAACAGCTGAAGTTCTGAGTGAGCAATGACATGAATGGTGTCCAATTCAAAGAAAAGAGAAGGTAGATCCAGGAGCTGAATAAACAGACAGAGCAATTTTGAGAGATACATCCAGAAAGCAGAAGCACACACTTACACTTTAGCTCTGAATCCTGGCTAAAGCAACATACAGAGGCGGTAACTCCTAGAACTCTGATTTTCACTCTGTTGCCAGAGAGGCTCTTCCTGGGCAGCTGTGTGCCATGCAAATGATAGAAACAAATCCCATAGTATTGTAAGTCATAGGTTAAGGAGCAGATTTAATTTCATAAGGAGAAATAACACAATGCCAGTGTCAGCAAGAGCAAGTCTCCCCATCATCCCAAGGAGAGGAATTCTACAACCTGGGTATCTACTGGACATAATGTGGGCTCCATTCTCACAGAAGGAATCCTTTCCACTGTGGTTCTTCCTGTGTGGCTTACGCATGAGACAAGTGTAAGAAAGTGGCCATGTCAATAAGAAAATAAGCCAGCTCTTTGGTGCCAAGAAGTCTGATTTGGGGGTGCCAGCTATTTATAGGAATTGTCTAGAATTAAAATATCACCCTGCCTTGGGGATTGTGGGGCAGCTGGGGATCTTGGACATCTGCAGTATATTGCAACCACACCTGAAATTAAGAAGGACTCAATGACAATAAACATCTTTACATCACCCAGTGTCTTGAACTCACTTCCCCATCATGTAGAGCAGCTCAGGTCTTCTCTAGCTCTTCCACCTCATGATGGGTAGTGACTGCTAGGGAAGTCCTGATCATCCTAGCCCTCCAAGAAATGTTTTGAATAGCATTGCATCTTGAACTCACTATAATTTGATCAAGCAAAGATGTTCTATGTCTCTGGTCTGAAACCTGCCACCACAGCTGTGTTCTCTGCTTTCAGAGACCAGGGGAGCAGTGACTGAAGCTAAGACTACACATAGCACTTCAGACAGGCAAATTAGGAGGGAAAAGAAAACTGAATCTGTAAACTCGGGAAAAACTGGTGTATCTTTTGAGGTCCCAGCCATTTTGAGAAACTCTGATGCTGAAAAAATAAGGAAGAACAATCTGACTCCTCTCTCAAACGCTGACATTCTAGCTGAGTGTTGATTTTTTCTTAGAAAAACAAACTTTGGGTCAACAAGGAAAGATCACGAGTGGGGAGGGTGAATGGGTGATTCACCTCATGGATCTCCCTGGCAGCTCTTGCACTTCCTTGATCAATCTGTATATAAGAAATGTGCTGGGCACCTGGGACACCACTTCTCTGGGACACATTGCCTTCTGTTTTCTCCAGCATGCGCTTGCTCCAGCTCCTGTTCAGGGCCAGCCCTGCCACCCTGCTCCTGGTTCTCTGCCTGCAGTTGGGGGCCAACAAAGCTCAGGACAACACGTGAGCCATGCCCTTCTCCTCCCCACAAAAAAAATTGCAGGGAGGGCTCCTCTCCCAGTCTGGAAATTACATATCTCTTTCTGAGAATTTCTTTCAACTTCCCAGAACTCTAGTCCCAGGAGCTCCCATGGATCTCCTGCCAGGTTCCACTTCTTGTCCTCTTAGGAAGCCCCACCAACTCCTCTCACATTTTTGCTGGGTGTTTCTGCATTGCCAGTGGAAATAAAGCTCCAAATGTACCTACAGGCTGTAATTAGTAGTTAGTCTTCATCTAACATGCTGATCCACATCTTGTTCATAATTTATACCTTTGTTCAGATTTCTGCTCAGTAAACTTTACCTTCTCACACCTTGCCTCCTAGAAGAGAAGCATAACAGGTCTGTGAATTCCAATGGCAGCTTAGGGCAGCTTTGGCAGGACTGGCTAAAGGACCAGAGGCCCTGGCCACTGCCCTGTGGTCTGAGATTGAGCTAGACTGGCAGCTTAGACATTCTTCCTAACCTGAAGTCTGAAGATGAATATGATGACCTCTTGCTCTCACGTATACTGGGACCTGAGAGCACAGGTTCAGAAGTCAACTTATTGAGAACACATGTGTGAAGGAAGCAGAAAAATTGGAGCAAGTAAAATAAAGTAGAAAATGGAGCCAAGGGTCTGGGAGAAAGCAGCGATACCCAATCTAGGGAGTTTTCTCTATAGCAGTAGGGTTTATAATGCTGGGTTTCTGGGTTGTGATCTTGGAGGTACTCTCTATGGCATGGTCAGATATCCTGTCCTGGAGGAAACTGTTCAGGGTTTTGACAAGCTAATGTAATGGAGGCAAGTGTCCCAAGAAACCCTGCATGGGGACAGGTTCAGATCCCACCCCATTCCCGCCAGATGACAGTCCACTTAGCCCTGAAGGGCAGCAAGGTATTCAAATAAGCTATGCTAATTAGGTTATCAACCATCCATCCTGATTTGCCCAGAACTTTCCTGGTTGTAGCACTGCAACTCTGCCCTCCCCCGCCACCTCCACAACCCATTCTGGAAAAGACCTCAGTCCTGGGTAAACTGAGATGGTTAGTCACTCGAACTAAGCTGGTCATCCTATCAATCTGAAACTCATATACAAATGGGAGAGATTTTGAAGTTGCTTAGGTATTTATACCCTTTTCCTGTGCACTGGGCACTACAGCAGTTGGCACCAAAAAATAGAATCTCTCTAAGATGCTTTGCCCCAAGAAAATGGGGCTGTGAGACACTGTGGGCTAAGAATCTCAATTCCCTTCTGTCCCACACAATAACAAAGGTCCGTAGCCGGGAGTTTCTAGGGACGAGAAAATAACTCTCCTGGCCCCGAACCCAGTCCTCATTGACTGAAGAAGAACATTTGACCATTTTATTTGTCTCCATTTCCTTTCCTTTTCAGATTGCAGTGTATGGTCTAAATGTAGAGTAGTATCTAAAGTTCCCAAACATGGCCATATGTCCAAATTTCCTAAGGAGCTAAATAAATACAAATTCCTAAACCCTACCTGGGGACCACAGAAGGAGGATCTTCAAAGATGCTCCTACAAATACCTCCAGTGCATTGAGATGTTTGCTGGGTTTTTAAAATTTTTTATTATTTTATTTTATTTTTCCATAAGTTACTGGGGTACAAGTGGTATTTGGTTACATGAGTAAGTTCTTTAGTGGTGATGAGATTTTGGTGCACCCATCACCCGAGCAGTATACACTGCACCATATTTGTAGTCTTTTAGCCCTCACCCCTCTCCCACTCTTCCCCGCAAGTCCCCAAAGTCCATTGTATCATTCTTATGCTTTTGAGTCCTCAAAGCTTAGCTCCCACATATCAGTGAGAACATACGATGTTTGGTTTTCCATTACTGAGTTACTTCACTTAGAATAATAGTCTCCAATCTCATACAGGTCACTGCAAATGCTGTTAATTCATTCCTTATTATGGCTGAGTAGTAGTATTCCATCATATATATATATATATATATATATATATATATATATATATATATATATATACCACAGTTTCTTTATCCACTCGTTGATTGATGGGCATTTGGGTTGGTTCCACAGTTTTATAATTGTGAATTGTGCTGCTATAAACATGTGTGTGCAAGTATCTTTTTTGAATAATGACTTCTTTTCCTCTGGGTAGATACCCAGTAGTGGGATTGCTGGATCAAATGGTGGTTCTATTTTTAGTTCTTTAAGGAATCTCCACACTGTTTTACATAGTGGTTGTAGCAGTTTACATTCCCGTCAGCAGTATAGAAGTGTCCCCTGATCACTGCATCCACGCCAACATCTACTGTTTTATGATTTTTTGATTACGGCCATTCTTGCAGGAGTAAGGTGGTATCGCATTGTGGTTTTGATTTGCATTTCCCTGATCAAGAGGTTTGCTGGTTTAATGTGATTCTGTTGCTAGAAAATTTTCTCCTAATAATGACTTGAGCCCTCCTACTCAGTAGACAACCACCAGAGCCTGTAGGATGTTATCAGGAAGTGGCATGTGGTATTGTACATTTTTTCTTTTTAAAAACTTGTTTTTGGTCAATGGAAGGGAAGAAGATGCTCGTTCATTGATGGGCATTTGGGTTGGTTCCATGATTTTGCAATTGTGAATTGTGCTACTATAAACATGCATGTGCAAGTATCTTTTCTAAATAATGACTTCTTTTCCTCTGGGTAGATACCCAGTAGTGGGATTGCTGGATCAAATGGTAGTTCTACTTTTAGTTCTTTAAGGAATCTTAAAGTGTCCTAGTTGTTTTATTAAACAAAATTAAATCTGTGTGAAGTTACCAATCCAATCAACACATGAAAATTCCAGGGGATTCCAATGCTGAACAATTGATCCAAGCCCCATAATTTCCCTCCCTTGCCCATCCTGTGCCCCTTGCCCTGTTCATGGCTCCCCCCTCACTCAAAGATTGGTCTCTGATCCTGGTGTTCTGATTCTCTCTTCCCACAATCAGTCGGAAGATCATAATAAAGAATTTTGACATTCCCAAGTCAGTACGTCCAAATGACGAAGTCACTGCAGTGCTTGCAGTTCAAACAGAATTGAAAGAATGCATGGTGGTAAGTAGAGGACTGGGGGCGTGACTTCAAAAGATAATTCAACTCCTTGATTATAAACATAATTTAATCTCTCACTTTAATAATGTACAGTGTACTTAATGAAACATTCTCACTTATGTTATGCTACTTGAGACTCAGAACAACTGTGGGAGCTTGGGACAGATGACTTCTCATTTTCCAGATGAAGAAGTTCGAATCCAGAGAAGTCTAGGATAAATAAGAAGGAAAGGAAGAAGGAATAGGAAGTGAGAAAGAGGGAAAAAGAAAAAAGTGTAAGAGCTAGTAGAGAAGCAGTTAGAGTCCTTCCAAGGTCCTGAGCATGTTTAGTTTAGGATGGAGGGAGGGGAGTTCTCAGAAGAGAAAGCAGCAACTCCACACCATAGGTTGAGGTGGGTGGGCAGAAGAGGACATGCAGGATATGACTCCTCCTCTCCAGTAAGCACTGAGCGACTCTACTGTCCTCTTGCCTTCTTCTGCTCCTTTGCTCTGGGTCACCAGAAGTGGACTCTTGTTCCAGCCTCCCCACCCTGACAAGGAGCTCGTAATCATCTCCTCCTTTTCCCCACGTTCAGAAGTCCAATCTCTGAACAAGGTCAGAGGTTTTCAAATGGTAATGTGTCTAAAACTCACTCGGGGATCTTGTTAAAATTCAGAGTTTCATTCAGCAGGTCTGGGGAGAGATTAGAACTTCTGGATTTTAACAGACGCCCAAGGTACACCAAGGCTGTGCCCAAAGGATCACATTTTTGAGCAGCTTGGGATTAGAGCATTATCCCTCCTGTCTAGCTGCCAAGGGCCAGAAGTCAAATAGACTTATGCAGTTATTAATCCACAGTGACTCTTCCCTGGGACACTGGTTGTGTGTCCTTTTCCTAGTCATTGATCTCAGATGTCACAAGCATGCAAACTGCCCCCACTACCTTTGTTCTAGGGCCAAGACCCATGCATCTCCCATCTCCCCTACTCCCTCCCCAGACCCTTCATGAAGGACACCTTCTATCAGGCAGCACAAGTATTTCCTTACAACATAAGTTTCCTAATTCAAATGAGACTTAAGGACAATGATTACATGTAAAACAACATTGAGAACATGAAGATTGCTATTCAGTCAACTGCATTCTAGAAATATCCCCACACCTGTAAAGAAAAATTCCTGGTCAATGAGCAAAGAATATCACAGCTGCTTTGTCAAATTTTTCTATTTTCAGTCCAAGAATCTGAGACATGTACACTAATTTGGGGTAGGAGCAAGGCTGAATCATAATTTTTCAACTCTGTATTTTGTTTATCACAAACACAGGTGAGAATGAGAATAAGAACATGTACATAATGTGTACATAAAATTTTTGTGAAAATGGTGGTTTCTGGTGGTAATAGTTAATGGTAGTGGTAGGTATAATAAGATATGTTTGAATCAATAAAATTACATGTGACATAATTTTGTGCTTTTGTGATTAATAAAAGTATGCTTTTAAGAATCATGCTAGTACTCTAAAATAAAGCAATCTTTTCAAAACCCACCTAAGCACAACTAAAAGAATAAGAAATCTTTAGACTAACTGACTTTGCAAACTAGAAATAATTTACAGGAAAGGAAATTTTGTTAATTCTAGTCAACAAATTTTTATTTGTGGCTTCATTTTTCAAAGTATAACTATTTTTAAATTTTTATTAAAATATATTTATATAACTATAAAATTCTTACCATCTAATCCTCATTTTTTATCATTTATAATGTTTTCTGTAACTGAATTTTTGAAAAAGTGAGGTTTAGACTCATATTTATTTATTTTAGAATTAGAATAGAATATACCTACAATCGTATATTTGAATATAAAGATTGCATAATCCTTTAAAGCTGAAGGAAACTTGTGGCAAAAACAATGCTTAAACATTTTTGTGCTACAGGCCATTTCGTTGGTTTCATGAAGTTTATGAAACATTTATCAGAAAATTGCTTCTAAATGTATAAAGTGCATTGGATTACAGAGAGAAACTACCACATTGAGTAACAGTGACTAACTTGTAAAAAATAAATTTGTGATGCAGTAAGGTATGTGTTTCTTTATGCACACATTAGCTGGGAAAGCAATACATTTAAAATATAGAAGAGTTGAATTTTATTCTATGAACACATTATCTGTGTGATGGATGTTGTTACTTAGCTTGAAGAAGTACATTAAACTGCACTGGTCTTTGGCAACACGTCCCACGTGCCATGCTAGGCATGCAACGGATTCTGATCTTTTATTGTACAAGTGGTGTAAATTCTGATTCATGACGATATGTTGTTGCTAATGTAACAGAAAGGTAAACAAGGCCGGGCACAGTGGCTTGTGCCTGTAATCCCAGCACTTTGGGAGGCCAAAGTGGGCAGATCACCTGAGGTCAGGAGTTCGAGACCAGCTTGGCCAACATGGTGAAACCCTGTCTCTACTAAAAATACAAAAATTAGCCAGGGCTGGTAGCACGCACCTGTAATCCCAGCTACTCAGGAGGCTGAGGCAGAAGAATCACTTGAACCTGGGAGGCGGAGGTTGCAGTGAGCCACGTTCGCACCATTGCACTCCAGCCTGGGCAACAGAGTGAGACTCTGTCTCTTAGAAAAAAAAAAAAAAGGGAAACAAGGCACAGGTAGTCTTCTCCAAAGAAACGCCAGGATTCTCCAAGGCATTCTGAGTAAAACTCCAAGGGTGAGAACACCTGAATTTACTGTTTAGGTCTGAACGGCTACTTGATGCTGAGTTGCCAGGTAGCTGAGCAAGCTGCAGGAGGTGGGCAGAATGGCACTGGGCCTCAGTCGTGACCATGAGCCAGTCTGATAACTGCCATACATTCAAGGTAGTACATTCAGGCTGTATTTCGGACCTCTGGATCCGTGCAATGATATGTACATATCTACTTTTCTCCTTGTGATAAAATCACACATACTGCTAATGGCACTGTGGTTCCTTGATGACATTCATAACAGAAGGAATGCTGAATTTCAATTAGAGGTTAGTAATAAAGATGCATATTTTTCCCCTGCCTGAGTCCACAGACTCACTGAATGCTATCCACAGATCCCTCTGGGTCTATGGACCCCAGGATAAAACTGCTGTGTTAAACGTTAACTGGACAAAATCCTCTGACTCCACTGAAATTTATATATACAATAATCTGGGATCTTGAATTGCAAAGCACTCAAGTTAAAAAGAAATTTACATTCAAGATGTTATTTGCTTATCTAACAGCCAGGTTTGGTAGTTAATTGTTTCCACCTCATACCTGAGGAAAGTGAGAGTGAGAGGCCTCTCATCACCAAAGGTCACCAAGTCAGAGAGGAGCACAGATGGGGCTTGGTCACAGCTCTGACAACAAGGCCTGACATTGGCTCCTACACGCAAGTGGCCAGGCTGCTGTCTCACCAGGTCTCAGAGTAAACGTGATTGCAGGTCGATTCCTGAAACCTCTGGCTGGTGACTAAGGCAAGCCTGCTCCTCAGCTGGACAGCTGCCCTGGATGAGCTCTCCTTGCCCTGTGGATTCACTTGCATCCCTATCTCCTCCTGAGCTTCTCCACACTGCTAAGGCAGGAGTTTGAGGGCATTGGAAGGGAAAACCTTCTGACCTAGACTTTGGCTCCTGAAATGATACTACAACAGTAGACTCCCCCTTGCCCTAGGCCCACCTCCACCCCCACTCTTCTCCTCCGGCTTTTCCCTCTCCTATTTTTCCCTCCCTTACCCATTCCCCAAAATAACAATGAATTCCCCCTCCCACCTTCTCCTCACCAGGTTAAAACTTACCTCATTAGCAGCATCCCTCTACAAGGTGCATTTAACTATAAGTATACTGCCTGCCTATGTGACGACAATCCAAAAACCTTCTACTGGGACTTTTACACCAACAGTAAGTACAGAAGTTGTCCAAGGAGGGAACTACCCACCAGCCACCAGGGAGGAGAAACTATAAACAGAAACATGGCTGCGAACCGAGCAGGACCAGGACCTCAGGGCAGAAGGACAGAAGGGAGGGAGGGAAGAGCATGGGGAGAGCAGATGGGGAAAGCACCCAGGTTCTAAGACAGAGGCATTGAGTGCAAAAAGTTGATACAGGAGACAAATTTGCAAAGGATTTGGGGAAACTGAACCCCAGGGGGCAGATGCCTGATATGAGTAGAAAAGACAGGACATGGCCGGGGTGTCTGAGAGATGATCTCCGTCCCTGTCTTTTTCAGGAACTGTGCAAATTGCAGCCGTCGTTGATGTTATTCGGGAATTAGGCATCTGCCCTGATGATGCTGCTGTAATCCCCATCAAAAACAACCGGTTTTATACTATTGAAATCCTAAAGGTAGAATAATGGAAGCCCTGTCTGTTTGCCACACCCAGGTGATTTCCTCTAAAGAAACTTGGCTGGAATTTCTGCTGTGGTCTATAAAATAAACTTCTTAACATGCTTCTCCATGTTCTGTTGTATCTCCAAAATCTGCTCCTGAAGAACCCCAGATTACCTGAAATTTCTAGAACATTTGTCTTTCAAAGAACCTTTACTGAGGAGATTGTACGGGTTCTCACTGCCCATTGGTATGAAGAGGGAGAGAAGAAGAAACTGGGAAGAGGAGCTATGCTCACAGAGAGGAAAAGCAGTGGCCCTAAAGTTCACGGCACAGGAGTGGCAGAGCCAGGGCAGGCACCAAGCCTCCCTGTTGCTTGACCTCTCTCCATCCCACTGCCCTCCAGCAACAGCTCAGATCCCAGAAGACAGGAGTCCTGTTGCATGCAGCAGAGTCAGGGATGGAGTCCATGGCCCCCTAAATGAGCAGTAGCATTCTATGCTATTCTGTTGCTTGTTTTCAATGGATTGTGACACTCAGGGATATCAGGGTCCTGTGCAGCTCTGCCTGAGGAGCTCAGGCATAATAGAGGAGTAAAGGGGCAGAGGGAGCCCTGAGGGGCTTCATCCCAGAGGGCCAGCCCATAGAAGTGGAATATGAGCAAGGATCAGGTGCACGAAGTGGGCAGAGGGCATTCTAGTAGATAGGACGCAGGCACCAAGAGCCCAAAGCATGAAATAGTGGCTTGCTCAGGGCAGGTAAACACTTTCATATTGGGCAGGATTAAGTATACATGGAAGAGTTAGAAGCAGATCTGGCAAGAGGACAGGAGCAAAATCAGGAGAGGCCGAGTGAATCTGGGCAAGAAAGTGGGACCATATCCCCTAGGCCAGTGATCCTAAATGAGAATCAAAATCCAGGGCGGAAAATACAGTCATTGGAAAAGATCATTTTTTATATTAATTAGGATTGTAACATTGTGAAACAGGAGAGTTACCTGACCTCCCTCGCAGAACATGCAACAGGGGTGTCACTCATCTGTTCAGCTGCTCAAACCCCTTAGAGGAGGAGGAGCACGCAGACGGACAGGTGCAGGAGGGCAAGTGGGAGTGTGTTAAAATGCGCTCTTTTAGCCTTGCTGTCTACGGACAGTTTAAGTGTTAACCAGCTCAGTGGACCCTCTGCCTTTTTGCAAAGGCAGAGGGCTACTGTGACAGCTTTCTGCATCCCAAGTTCTTGTCCAGCATCCCGGAAGAATTGGGTCACACATGAACTGGAAGGATGGTGAATGCAGGGTTTTATTGGGTGGTGGAGGTGGCTCTCAGTGGGATGGATGGGGAGCCGGCCAGGGAATGGAGTAGGAAGATGATCTTCCCCTGGAGTTTGGCTGTCCAGTGGCTGATTCTCCGTCCATCCCCAGCCGAACTCCTCCTTACATTCAGACACTCCTTCCCTTCTCTCCTTCTCTGCTGCGCTATTCTGCCATTTGTCTCCTCATCTGCTCATCTCCTTCTGGAGCCTGGGGTTCAGGGTTTATATGGATACCAGATGGGGGCATGGCGGGCCAAAAGGCAATTTTTTAGGCGCAAAAACAGGAATGCCTGTTCTCATTTAGGGCCGCAGGTTTCCAGGTTTGAGGGTGGGGCCTTTGCCAGGGAACAGCCCTCTTCTACCCAGTATTTCTCTGTCTCCTGTCCATATCAATTGATTATATGCTTAACAGGTACCAAAAATGTGAATAATTTTATTTACATGCTTTATCACATGCCCTATTTAAAACAATAACAGACATTAAATATTTATTCACTCAATAAATATTTATCAAGTACCTACATGTGCCATTACCTGCTTTCAGCACTTGGTTTTACATAAGTAAATCAGGAATTTTTTATCCTGTTCTTAAAATGCTTATATTGTTCCCAGGCAATAGAAAATAAACATGTACATGTTATTCTTACCTTTATTTATGGGAAAACTGAGATAAGAGAAGGTAATTAATTTGCACATAGCCAGCAAGTGACAGAGCCAAGATTCGAACCACACAGGTAGCCTGGAGAGACATGCTCCTAACTTCTTTTTATTTTTGTTTTTTTTTTTTTTTTTGAGACGGAGTCTTGCACTGTCACCCAGACTGGAGTGCAGTGGCGCGATCTCGGCTCACTGCAAGCTCCGCCTCCCAGGTTCACGCCATTCTCCTGCCTCAGCCTCCCGAGTAGCTGGGACTACAGGCGCCTGCCACTACACCTGGCTAATTTTTTGTATTTTTAGTAGAGACGGGGTTTCACCGTGTTAGCCAGGTTGGTCTCGATCTCCTGACCTCGTGATCCATCCACCTCGGCCTCCCAAAGAGCTGGGATTACAGGCGTGAGCCACCACACCCAGCCCATGCTCCTAACTTCTATACTACTTGCACATACTTCCCAACAGTCTCCTTTAGGCCCCTGCAAAGTGTCTACCAAAAAGCATTTCAAAATTGCAAATTTTATTTCCTCTATGAATTATGTGAACACCTATATCCACCTAGATTTTGTTTTGTTTTGTTTTGTTTTTTGAGACAGTGTCTCACTCTTTGACCCAGGCTGCAGTGCAGTGGTGTGATAACTGCTCACTGCAGCCACAACCTCCTGGGCTCAAGTGATCCTCACACCTCAGCCTCCAGAGTAGCTGAGACTACAGGCAAGCACCACCTCACCTGGCTAATTTTTTTAAAAACTTTTTGTAGAGATTGGGCAGGGGGAGCCTCACTATGTTGCCTAGGGTGGTCTCAAACTCCTGTCCTCAAGTGATCCTCCTGCTTCTACCTCCCAAAGTGCTGGGATTACAAGCGTGAGCCACCCATGCCCAGCCTAGAATTTTTGATTACCTAGAGTAGACTGTTCAGTAGAAATATTCATTGAAGGCCGGGCCCGGTGGCTCACGCCTGTAATCCCAGCACTTTGGGAGGCCGAGGCGGGCGGATCACGAGGTCAGGAGATCGAGACCATCCTAGCTAACACGGTGAAACCCCGTCTCTACTAGAAATACAAAAAATTAGCCGGGCGTGGTGGCGGGCGCCTGTAGTCCCAGCTACTCGGGAGGCTGAGGCAGGAGAATGGCGTGAACCCGGGAGGCGGAGCTTGCAGTGAGCCGAGATCGCGCCACTGCACTCCAGCCTGGGCGACAGAGCAAGACTCCGTCTCAAAAAAAAAAAAAAAAAAAAGAAATATTCATTGAAATATATTTTAAGCTACATGTGTAATTTTGATAGCCACATTTAAATAAAAAGAAAAGGGAAACAGGTGAAATTAAGTTAATAACATATTTTATTTAGCTGAATATATCCTAAATTCATTTATAAGATCTAATTAATATTTTTTAAATTGTTAATGAAATAGTTTACATTCGTTTATTCTTAGTAAGTCTTTGAAATCTGTTGGGTGCTTTATACTTACAAAACACCTAAGTCAGGCTAGCCTCATTTCTGAAACTCAATGGCTACATGTAGCCAGTGGCTACCATATTAGATGGGGAACTTATGGGATGGGTCAATAGGTTCAGTGAGGGGAGAGAACTTAGAGGACACGTCAATAGGTGCAGCAAAGCACCATGGCACACGCATACCTATGTAGCAAACCTGCACGTTCTGCACATGCATTCTGGGTTTTTTTTTTTAGAAGAAATAAAGAAAAATAAAAATTAAAGAAAAAACTAGTAAAAAAATAACAAATTCAGCCAGGTATAGTGGCACACACTTGAAGTTCTAGCTACTCAGGAGGTTGTGGAAAAACAACAACAACAACTTTGGGCACTTTGACTCTTCCTTGTTCCAAATAAGAGACTATGCCTGCCATGATTGCCTGGTCGATATGTTTTCATCCTTTTAGAATAACATGTAAAGCCTTCAAATGCTCCGCAAATATAACAGTTGCCCAATAAATGCTTTGTTTAATTATGTGAATTAATTAAGGCTGAGAAATACATCATAATGAGTTAAATTTTATAAGGTTGATAGTCCTGCTACAGAATTGGTAACAGCTAGTTTCACCCTGTATTATCATTTGCTTCCTATAGCTCTCAGCCAGACATTTTCCATTTCAGGGGAAAGTTTACTGAGTGCGTGTGACAGGGAATATTTATGAAAGAAATCAAGTTTTTCCAAAGTAACTCCTATAATAAAATGTGTTTACATTTGTTGGGAGCAACATTAAATAGCATCTGTATGTGGAGAGGCCTGGAAAGAAGAAGACTGAGGAGTTTCGGATAAACAAAAAACAATGTCAGTGCCGGGCACGGTGGCTCACACCTGTAGTCCCAGCTACTTGGGAGGCTGAGGCAGGAGAATCGCTTGAACCCAGGAGGCGGAGGTTGCAGGGAGCCAAGCTCATGCCACTGCACTCCAGCCTGGGCTACAGAGTGATCCTCTGTCAAAAAAAAAACAAAAACAAACAAACAAAAAAAACCCACCAAAATACAGGAAAAAGGAAAACAAATAAAAAACCTCAAATATAAAACAGTTACTAGGAGAGAGAAAACCTTAATTTTTATTCATCCAAGACATAAAAGTGATAGAGATGAAGCAAAGAATATTGAATGAATCAATGACTACTGTAGAATCATAAGGAGAGATAACTAGTGATGACTTGCATTTCTGGGTGAATGGTCAATGACTCGAGAAATAGATATATGGGAAACTTCTGGAAGGATTTGTAAGAAATTAATTACTGTGATCATCTGATAGAATTAAGACATAGATGGCTTCTATTTTTCAAGTAGTAGTCCTCTATACATTATTTCATTATTTTATTTTATAAAAAATAAAGTTAACCCAAAAATTAATGAGAAATGCTAAAACTGAAAAACACAATAACTGCAATTAAGAACCCAATAAACGGTTTTTAATAGCAACTCAGACAAAGCCAAGGAGTGAACTACACAGTTAATTACAAAGAAAAGAAAGATGAATAACACAGAAAATAGAGTTAGAGACATACGGGATAATTGGAAGGGAGATAAAAGACTTGCAATAAGCTTCTCAAAAGGAGAGGCGACAATGATTGGAAAAGAAGTAATATTGGAAGATATAATGACTTAGAATTTTCCTAAACTGACAAAAGACATCAAACCACAAATATAGAAAGAACTTGAACTTGAACCAGGATAAATGCAAAGAAAATTACGTTTAACACATCATATCACGTGCACCATTTTATTTTCAAATGGTAGCAATACGAGTGATAGCTGACCTGAAAAACAGAAACAATGTGAGCCAGGAAAAAATACGATGATATCCTCAAAGGGCTGAAAAAAAACCCTGCTGATCTGGAGTTTATGTCAGTGAAAATACAGATAAAAATGTCTTTAAATATTAAGAACCTTCAAGAAAATTCTGTACTTAAATTATTTACTTTAACTCATACAATATGTGAACTCAGTAGTTTTCACATTTTTTTCTTCATTCCTTGCATAATTTATAAGAATGTAATTTATGAGTATTTAAGACTCTTAAATCTTACAGATGTTGTGAACATATTAAAACAGGCCAAATAATTAATAATCTTATTTGAAACAATTAAAATTGATCACTTCCATATTAGTAAGCTTTATTTAAAGAATATTGAAATATTGCTTTGAATCAGTTATTTCTGTCTTGGAACAAATTTCTAAAACCAACTTGAGAGGACACAGCCAAAAGTCTAACTGAAAGAAAAAAAAAATCACCTGAGCAAATGAGAAGATACTTGACTTCGCTCTTAATCAGAACTGTGAAAATCTAAACTATACTGAAATGTTTTTCACCTAATTGAAAAAAGACACATAAAAATAATAATGCTTTCTGTTGCTGAGACTGTGGGAAAATAGGTCTTTCAAACATTTCTCATAGGTGTGAAAAACTAGTATAACACTGCAAAGACCAATCTGGTAAAACCCATCAAATTTGCAAGTATATTTCTCCTTAGTCCAGCAATTCTAATTCTGGGAATTTATCCTACAGATAAACCTACGAGCATGCAAAATTATGTATGAAAAATGTTATTCATTACAGCTTATTTGCAATTGTAAACGTTTAGAAAGAGTCAGTGTCTACCAATAAAAAAAACTGCTTAAATTAATTCTGGTTCATATACACAACCGAATAAATACACATGGCTTTAAAAAGATTGAAGGCACTCTGATGTACTAAATTGAAATTTCTTCAATCACAGTGTCAAATGAAACTAGTGAGTCATAGAACATTATATGATAAATTTTGTGATGGAAATTAAAGAACATAATAGTATTTATTGTATAACTGTACACTGATGTAAAGAAATACTAGGTCAGGCGTGGTGGCTCACGCCTGTAATCCCAGCACTTTGGGAGGCTGGGGCGAGTGGATCACCAGGTCCAGAGTTTGAGACCAGCCTGGCCAAGATGGTGAAACCCCGTCTCTACTAAAAAAACAAATATTAGCCAGGCATGGTGGCAGGCACAGCAGTGCACTCTAGCCCAGGTGACAGAGCATGACTTTGTCTCAAAAATAATAATAATAATATTTTTGAATAAGTAATAAATGAATGGAAGGAAGGGAGGGAGGAAAGGAGAAGAGAAATTAGTTTAATGAGTTTGAAAAACATAGGGATAAATAGCAGAGTAATCCAAGTAAGAGAAGACCTGCTGCATAGCACCTGGTATTTGGGAGCTGGCCCTCTCAATGCATGGTGAATCTTGTAGAAAATTCAAAATGAATGGATGGAAGCAGCCCTCCCTGGTCTTGCTGTCACCTTAAGGCATCTCAAGGACCTTGTTAGTTTCAGCACTCTAGTTCTCTGGAAAGACTCTACAGGGGTAAGAGCACAGCTGTCCCAACTCATCCACCCTTGGACTTCACCTCGCCATCTGATATGGTTCTCCCACTTGGATGTTAGGTGGGCAATTCCATGGGTTCTCTAGTCGTCTTAGCTTTCTAAGACGTTCTTAAGACCACATGTTCTCCTGCAGATGACTAGAGATGATCACAGGGTCCTTCAAAGATGGATTCTGACAACTGCCCCAACATCTGAATTTCCAGCAAGAGGAAGCAGGCTGAGCAGTAACCAAAGCTAGAAAAATGGAGACCTGGGACAACAGGACCTTTCCTAAGAAGCTTCAGGATTGCAGCTCCCACACATATAATTTAAACCCAAGCCCCCTTAGAGGGGCCAATACACAGAAAGGTCTTGCTTACTGACAGTATCTTAAGAAATAGATACCAAAAATATCTGGTCTACCCTCTTCTCATCTGATTTTTTCCTATTTCTGAGGCTTGAATTCTCATGAAACATACTCTATACTCTATAGAGGGCTATCATTTCTTACAGAAGACTCATTGTACCTGAAGATGCAAACCAGGAGGGCTGAGTAGGAACATTAGTGTCAAGTCATTCACTCAACTAGAGTAAAATTTAGAGTTGAAGTAACTGGCATTGGTAGAAAGATAAGACACCATGTCATCTAGAGGACAAAAAGATAAGAATATACATTTCATAGATCCTACAGACCCAGAGCAAGTATTGGGAAATAGAAGTGAAAAAGATGCTGTTTAGAAAAGTTAAGGCAGAATCCATCCTGCTGTTCCAGGAACATTCTAATCTGATATTGGCAAACAAGGGAAAACAACTGAACTAATTCTTTCCTCATTCCATTCCAATGTAAAATTCCAGCTGAATGTTGACATTTCTCCAAGAAAAAAATTCATGGTGGTAATTAGGGAAGTTTCAAGGTCTGATGATTTTGGTTGAGTGGCCTGCCCAAATGTCACAATGTTCTCTTGCTGTAGTTATGAAGAATAATTTGGGTGCCTGGGTGCACAGTTCTCTGGGCATCAAATTTCTCCAGCATGCATGCTCTTCAGATTCTGTTCAAGCCCTGTCTTGTTGCCCTGCTCCTGGTTCTCTGCCTGAGGCTGGGGACCAGCATAGCTCAGGAAGAATTGTAAGCCACCACTTTCTCCTTGTTGCAGAAAATCTTCCAACGGGGACACATCTCCCAACCCAGAAATCAATATGGTGCCCCTAGGGATTATTTTACCACTCCAAAGGGGACACATTCTGGGTATTCTCACTAAAGATGTCTCTTAGTCTCACTCTTTTCCTATTCAGATCCTATTGTGGGGGTTACTGCATTCATGTCTTATTACTACTTGTATTTTAATTCATTTTTCTATCCTAAGTTTATCATTGGCATCATTTTCTCCTAAATGAAAAGCATGGGCAGAGATGTGGGCTTAATCAATACCTGTGGGATGAGCTTTGGATAAGATGCCTGAGCTGCAAGAGAGGGGCCATGGCCCTGGTCTTTACTGGGGTTACAAGGTTGTGCTGACCACTAACTCATACAATTGGTCTCATTGGAAACAGTGCTCTCTATCTCATTAAGATCTGTGTCATACACTGGGGCTGGGACCTACAAGACCTGAGCAGGTTTCTCTAAGTAAGGAAAAAGTAGAAACATGCTCCTGGACTCCACCTTTTCCTGGATTTGTTCCTAAATGCAACATGTCCTTGCATAAATGCGACACAGCTGGTCTCCAGGTCTATACTGATTTGCCAAAACGGAGGAAAAGAAATGACAGATTCCAGTTCCTTAAGTGGAAAGGAGAACATTGAAACGGGACTCTGTCCCTTGGCAAGAGCAAAGTACTAAGATCCAGAATGAAGCCAGCAGGTCCTTAGGAGACATGGACGTGTAGCAGACAGAATGTGGAGAAAGGAGTATCTAGCAGATGGAAATGGAGCCATGGAGATTTTGGTGAAGAAGGGGTTCTTGCCAAGCCTGGATGTTTCTCTAAGGAGAAGAGAAGCAAAGAGGATGTGGGGGTGGATATATGGAGTAACACAAAATGTGTGTGTGCTGGGTTTTGGTTGACTAAACTTCTACTTAGTTTCCCCTCTACTTAGTGAGTTGGACAAAGTTGAACTATGTTGATCATTATGTTAAACTTTAATTCATTGGTGTGATATGTTTATCAGACTCATAGAATTTCTTATCCTTCTACTAGTTATACCAGTATAAGAAAATGAACTTTCATGGATTTGGGGATGATTCCATAAGAAAAATCAAAAGGAGAATCTCAGGCTAAAGTAGACCATGCAACCAAATCACTTCCTGCTTCAAACAACATGGTGGAGATTCAACTGAGTATCCATGATGAAGGAAAAGCAGTCCCTCAGTCTGGCTCCCTGCCCTCATCAGTCCACCAGGAATATGACCTCTTTTCCTCTGGCCTCCATTTCCCCTTCCTATCAGATAGGGGCATCTTGGCTGGACACACAGAGCCCACAGGCACAAGTCATGCACAGAGGATCCTTATGAGTGACAGCATTGACTTATGTGCTTCCTCACTCCCTGCACCCCTCTGTTCACTCTGTCCTCCTGCTTCCATTCTCCCTCCTGGGACACCCCTGTCCTACACTTTCCCTGACTTTGGGTTTCTCCTTCTTTTGGCATATACAGACAGAACATAATTTTTCTGAGCATGACAATCCCTGAATCTGTAAAGCCAGAGGAAATATTTTTGCTAACACTCATGGTTACAAATAACAATAGGTATAAATATGTGGAGGTAACTGAAGAATTGGAGGGAAGGTTGGTGGGAAAGAGAAGAGAAATATCACAATAAAGAACATTGGTCGTCATTACTGATTGTATGTGAAACAGTTTAACATCTTGCCAAATGCTTCACCTACACATGATTTTGTGTACATTAGCCTTGAACCTCAGAACAACTCTGTTAGGAATGTACATGTTATCAATTCCATTTTGAAGTTGAAGAAATTGTGTTATGAAAAAGATGAATGAGTGGAGGCTTTTAACCATAGGGTCAGGACTCTAATTCATGAGGGGAGGGTAGCAGTGGGGAGATTAGGAAGAGGAAAAAAAAGAAATGAGAGGAAAGCAATCCAAATGCAGATGAAAAGAAAGATGGACAGAGAAACACAAATCAAAACCACAATGAGATACCATCTTACACCAGTAAGAATGGCTACTACTAAAAAGTCAAAAAATAACAGAAGCTAGTGAAGCTGCAGAGAAAAGGGAATGTTTACACACTTTTCATGGGAATGTAAATTGGTTCAGCCACTTTGAAAAGCAGTTTGAAGATTTCTCAAAGAACTTAAAATTGAGCCACCATTCAACCCAGCAATCCCATTACTGGGTACATACCGAAAGGAAAATAGACCATTACACCAAATGGCCACTTGATATGTTCACCACCATGCTATTCACAATATTAAAGACATGGAATCAACTAAGCGCCCATTGATGGTGGATTGGATAAAGAAAATGTGGCACATAGACACCATGGAATACTATGCAGCCATAAAAAATAAAATCATTTTCTTTGCTGCAGTGTGGATGGAACTGGAGACCATAATTCTAAGCAAATTAATGAAAGAACAGAAAACCAAATATTGCCTGTTCTCACTTATAAGTAGTAGCTAAACATTGAGCACCCATGGACATAAACAAGAAAACAGACAATGCAGACTGCTAGAGGGAGGGAGGGCAAAAGGGAGGAATGGGTCAAAAAACTACCTATTGGGTACTATGCTCACTACCTGGATGCAAAATACCCATGTAACAAATCTGCTCATATACCCCTGTATCTAAAATGAAAGCTAAAAAAAAAAAAAAAAAAAAAAAAAAAAAAAAAAAGATGGATTAGACTGAGTGACAATGCTCAGAGACTTCTATTGGAACCATGTTCCCACCCACCCCTACTCGCCCCAACCAGCCCATGCAGCGATGAGGATGAACCTAGGAGACCCAGCTCAACAGGCTGTGGCAGATGTAACAGAAGCTTCAGGGATGTGGTCATTGTGATCTCTCTCAAAATTGAGAGACTTACCATCACACAAGAACTGGCTATATATATACATACACATACACACACACACACACACACACACATACACATATATATATATATACTTTATGTTCTGGGGTACATATGCAGAATGTGCAGTTTTGTTACATAGTTACACACATGCCATGGTGGTTTGCTGCACCCATCAACCTGTCACCTACATTAGGTATTTCTCCTCATGCTATCTGTCCCTTAGCCCCCCTCCCCCTGACAGGGCCTGGTGTGTGATGTTCCCCTCCCTGTGTCCATGTGTTCTCATTGTTGAACTCCCACTTATGAGTGAGAACATGCGGTGTTTGGTTTTCTGTTCTTCTGTTAGTTTGCTGAGAATGATGGTTTCCAGCTTCATCGATGTTCCTGCAAAGGACATGAACTCATCCTTTTTTATGGCTGCATAGTATTCCATGGTGTATGTGTGCCACATTTTCTTTAACCAGTCTATCATTGATTTGCGTTGGCTCCAAGTCTATTGTGAATATCATTCATTTGCATTGGCTCCAAGTCTATTGTGAATAGACATACGTGTACATGTGTCTTTATAGTAGAACGATTTATACTTCTTTGGGCATATACCGAGTAATGGGATTGCTGGGCCAAATGGTATTTCTAGTTTTAGATCCTTGAGGAATTACCACACTGCCTTCCACAATGGTTGAACTAATTTACACTCCCACCAACACTGTACAACCATTCCTATTTTTCCACATCCCCTCCAGCATCTGTTGTTTCCTGACCTTTTAATGATCACCATTCTAACTGGTGAGAGATGGTATCTCATTGCGGTTTTGATTTGCATTTCCTTAATGACCAGTGATGATGAGCTTTTTTTCATGTTTGTTGGCTGCATAATTGTCTTCTTTTGAGAAGTGTCTGTTCATCTCCTTTGCCCACTTTTTTATGGGGTTTCTTGTTTTTTTCTTGTAAAGTTGTTTAAGTTCTTTGTAGATTCTGGATATCAGTCCTTTGTCAGACGGATAGATGGCAAAACTTTTCTCCCATTCTGTAGGTTGCCTAAGAACTGGCTTTTTTGAAGTCATGTCCTCCATTTCCTTTCCCTGCTCTCTTCACTGAGCATTCAGAACCCCTAAACCCTTCTGCTTTGCCATCTTTGATACCAGTCCCCAGTTCCTTCAAGGTTTCTTTAGGCTTTTTGGAAAGCAGATGCAAACAGATGGGAAAATTGCAGAGTTACTAAGAACCCTAAGAGAAATACAAATAGTACTTAACACTTATGACATTTATCGAAATATGGTGACAGTAGAAATGCCTCTGAGAAGCCCCTTCTCCAGAGGTCTTCTTTGGTACTGTCTCAGGAAGACATCGGATATTTTTTCTTCCCTAGTCTGGCCTCAGCAGATTTCTTCTTCCGTCTTCAGAAACTCAGTCAGTGTTTAACTAAAAGTTTTATAATTTGATTGGCAGAAGAAAAATAAGTGCTAAATACTACTCAGTCAAATGCTTTCAGAATCCAAGTGTGTTTATTTGCACAATAAACATGGTACTTTACATTCTGAAAGCTCTAACATTCGCAAAGCACTCATGAGCTCATACGAAGGAGACAGGTGAGTATCCATGCTTCCATCTCGCAAATGTCATGTTACAAAGCAGGAAAGCAGGACAGGTGAGATGATAAACTCTGTTTTTGTTTGTTTGGTGGGTTGTTTTTGTTTCTGTTTATTCACCACACCAGAGTAGACAAACTAATGTCTCCAATCTCCATATAACTTCCTCTTGGTTCAGTGAGCAGTTAATTAAAATAATTTCCTACTAACTCCAATTTGGAGAACCTCAGCTCTAGGCTGGATGAAAGGCAACTGATGCCTAAATGCAGTCCAACACTGGTGCCCTTTTACTCCTTCAAGTACTGAAATAAAGAGTCCATTTCACTAATAAGCTGATGAGTTAAATGCTAGCTGGACCCAGACAGGTGTGTTTACCCCTGCTTCTTGAAACAGAAACAAATGTGACATGTGACTTCCCTAAACCAAACGTTTAAATTTGAGTTGTTTGCCATGCCAAAGAAAACATTGTTGGCTGGGTGTGGTGGCTCACACCTATAATCCCAGCACTTTGGAAGGCCGAGGCAGGAGGATTGCTTGAGCCCAGGAATTCAAGACCAGCCTGGGCAACATGACAAAACTCTATCTCTACAAAAGAAAATTTAAAAATGGCTGGGTGTAATGGCGTGCGCCTATAGTCCCAACTACAGTGGGGGCCGAGGTGGGAGGATTGCTTGAGCCCTGGAGGTCAAGGCTGCAGTAAGGAGTAATCATGCCACTGTACTCTAGCCTAGGTGACAGAGGGAGACCCAGGCTCAAAAAAAAAAAAAAAGGAAAAGATTGTTTTTAACAATGCAGTTAGGCCAGGCGTGGTATCTTATGCCTGTAATCCCAGCACTTTGGGAGGCCAAGGCAGGAGGACCCGCCTGGCCAACTTGGAGAAACCCTATCTTTACTAAAAAAAAAATACAAAAATTAACTGGACGTGGTGGTGGGCACCTGTAATCCCAGCTACTTGGGAGGCTGAGGCAGGAGAATCGCTTGAACCAGGAAGTGGAGCTTGCAGTGAGCCGAGATCGTGACATTGCACTCCAGCCTGGGCAACAAGAGTGAAACCCATCTCAAAAAAAAGGAAAAACAAACAAACAAACAAAATAAAAAAACAACAATGCAGATAAAGTTGAGCGTGGTATATAATGACAATTTTTTTTAAGTTGCCTATGATCAAGTGTAGCAGTGAATGTATAAAGAGTATAACAGCTGGAGAATAGTCCCTGAGTGTCCCCTTCACCTGGGCCTAATGCTTAACCCAGGGCTGCCTCAGCCAGATCTACACTCTCTCTAACCCTTCTCCCCATTCCTCTCCTCAGATTAAAACCAGTATTGAGGCCAATCCAAGCATTAGCTGCTCTTACAGTCGTTTTATTTACACTGTGTGTGTGGTAGACAAAAGTTCTACTGGGAACTAACAACTCCGTCCAGTAAGTGAGGACACTTCCTGCCTGAACATAAGTATCCAGATTAGGGGGAGTGCTAGGAGAGGTCACAGTAAAAAGGGAAAAGCAGGAGGTGGCAGAAAGCAAAGGAGCAGAGTATTGCAATAAGAGCGAGACACAAGACAGGCAGGCAGTGTGGGCAGGGGCTCAACGTGAGAGCAGGGAGATTGGGCAACAACTGCTGTGCCTTGTGTATAAGACTAAGCAGTGGGAGCTGAGTTCCAGAGGCAGTGAAAGGGGGGATAAGGTGTGCGGTGGGTGGAGCTTAAGTGAGAAGACCAGAAGTGAAGTGGTGTGGAGCCCAGTGGTCTATCACTCTTCTGATTCCTCTCCCCGGAAGATATAAACAATAGAAGAGATGCTGAAGTTATGTCAGATGAAGATATGGGCCATCCTAATGAGGAACTGGACAAGACAACCGGTTACTACACATTCGTGGAGAGCACTGTCATCCTAACCCTGCACTGGAAAGTCGGCTCTGACTTCCCACCCCTAGAAGGTCTCCTTTTTAGGAGAACCATCCCTGAGTTTGAGGGTATCTGGGTGGATGGTAACATAAACTTCCTGCAACTTCTCAGCATCCCCTCTATGTCTTTTCCCCAAAAACTTACTTCCGTAACTGCCCAGATATCCCAAGAATTCTTAAAGCACTGGTCTTACAAGAAACTTTCACAGATATGATATAAGACACATGTATTCCATAGTGAACAGGAGAGAGAGAAGGCAGCAATTATTCTTACCATTTGACATAGAAGGGAAAATGGCCAGAGAAAGTATAATCAACTGTCTCCAGGGGTACACAGAAAATTAAGGGTGGAAGTGAGAAAGATTCCAAGTTTCCCTATCCTGTTAGTCCAACTATATCCAGCTGCCCCTTCCAGTGACCTGAAAGGTCAACTACTCAGAAGTCCTAAAATGATTATACCTGCTTCTTTTTAACTGGTGGCAAAAAAAATAGACTCACTGAACTTCAGTTGTACTGGGTTCCTAATCATGACACACTCCTCCCTGTGTTCACGTCCTTGTCTTTCCTCATAGTAAAGCAAAACTCAGAAAGGTAGATAATGCCAAGTGTCAGCAGAGAATGAGGAGATAGGGGAACCATTAAGCACTGCTACTGGGAACATATAAATAGGTGTAGCCATTTGGAGAACAATCTGGCATTTCTTAGTCAAATTAATTATATACAGACCCTTTGACCCAGCACCTCCACAATTGAAAATGATGGTAAGAGAGACCATTTCCATCCATGGATTTCTAGGCCAGTACAGTTTAGCTATCAAGAACACAGAAACATTTAATAACCATTATTTCAAAATATGTGTCACATCTTGAAAGACATCACCATAACCCTAAAGGGTGTGACCCCCAAGTGGTCTCCTCAGCCGCTTATTTATGAGATTTTTCCAGCATGCTATAAGGCCAGTGGTTTCCTGGTGATAGAGTTATAAAAAAAGAAAAACAGTAGATTCCTTGATTATGTGTCCATTATGGCAACTGTATCATTTAAGAAAAAGGTTCTCTTGGTCCATAAAGATGTTACATGGGATCCCATGTCTAGAAACCAGATATTCTGTGGGCCTTCAGATAGCAGAGCTGTCCAAAATACTGTAGGCAGGAAAGATACATCTATAGCTAGAATATATATCATTCTCAGTAAAGATAAACTGCTGCCCCTTCTAAGGTCAAAGAGATTCAATATAATCATTGTTTTGTAAAATGGTTGGTTCATCTCCTTGAGACATAGTACCCTATTGAAGTCCCAGCCTTAATCTCTGTTGCTGAAGGGTCGGCAGCAGTAATACCTAAATCACTTTTGGTGAGAGGGAATCCTTACTATTGGGTATATGCATAATATCAATCACTGCCTCATTAGCCATTAAACAAGCATTGGAGAAGCTAAGGACATCCATTGAACCAGTCCTCCTGTGTTCCTAATTGTTTGCTCTCTCCTCTGTGTCAGATACTTTCTTATGAGCACCAACATGAGACACAAAGATCCACTTTGTGTTCACATCCAGAGGTTCATTCAGATGGCCTTCTTAACTGGTGGCAAAAAAATAGACTTAAAAAAAATAGAATTTCAGGCAGACATCCCTGTGCAAAATATTAATATTCTTGTTCCTACCAGATTCCTGACCGGGCAGAGCCAAGAGATCTCCCACCGCTCAAGCATCCAGGTATCCTGTTTATGACCAGTTGTGCTGCTTGTAGCACTGCCTACCAAGAGTATTTTCACCAAGCCATGCTCCTCTAGGACACTCCTGAGTAAAATTTTAGTGTGGTAATAGTCCACCATTGGCTCATAACAACAAATTGAGCCTATCTGTGAATCACATTTTTGTTTTGCCCCTCTAAAACCTGGTCATAGGAACACCCCATGAGGCTGTAAGTACAGTCTAAAGGAGCAGTGTTAGTTCTGCAGATGTAGTTCATATGGAGTTTGAACCACTGTCTTCTGTTACTGAGGGCCTCTGGATCAGGTTGAGTCCAACCTCAACTGCACCATTTCCATTGTGTGATGGATTTGTGCTGTACCCACTAAATTTATAATTTGTGGGTCTGCCAGTACAGGTCATGATGAGCAGTTCTGGCCCCATAGCCACTTGATGTTTCATGGTCAGCTATTGGGTCTCTACAGAATCCATGGCCATGCCATGTGCTCCTTTTCTAAAAAATAGTTCTCTCACTTTTACACTGCTGGTGGGAATGTAAACTAGTACAACCACTGTAGAAAACAGTGTGGAGATTCCTTAAGGAACTAAAAGTAGATCTACCATTTGATCCAGCAATCCCACTACCAGGTATCTACCCAGAGGAAAAGAAGTCATTATACGAAAAAGATACTTGCACACGCATGTTTACAGCAGCACAATTCATAATTGCAAAATCATGGAACCAACCCAAATGCCCATCAGTCAACTAGTGGATAAAGAAAATGTGGTATATATACATATATATATGTGTGTGTGTGTGTGTGTATATATATGTATATATATGTGTGTATATATGTATATATATGTGTGTGTGTGTATATATATACACCATGGAATACTACTCAGCCATAACAAGGAATGAAATAACAGCATTTTCAGCAACCTGGATGGAATTGGAGACCATTATTCTAAGTGAAGTAACTCAGGAATGGAAAACCAAACAATATGTGTTCTCACTCATAAGCAGGAGCTAAGCTATGAGGACGCAAAGGCGTAAGAATGATACAATGGACTTTGGGGACTCGAGAGAAAGTGTGGGAAATGGGGTGAGGGATAAAAGACTATGCATTGGGTACGGGTACACTGCTCGGGTGATGGAAGCATTAAAATCTCAGAAATCACCAATAAATAACTTATTAACATCACCAAACACCACCTGTTCCCCAAAAACCTGTTGAATAAAAATGTAATCACAATTCTATGATCACATCTTTAATAATCATTCCTAAGGCTGTCAAATATCCAGTCAATGTTCAGATTTCTCAGATTGTTTTGTAGGGGTGTGTGTGTGTGTGTGTTTGTGTGTGTGTGTGTGTGTGTGTGTTTGACATATGATTCAAATAAAGTTGATGGTCTTCTAGATCTTTAAAGAGCCATAAATAAATAAATAAATAATAAAGTTCTCTGCTATAGAGGGCATGGCTTTGTTTCAGAAGCCTACTGGTCTACCCAGCATCTCTCTCCCTGGGACTTACTAGAGACGATGCTCAGCATAATTAACCTACCATGACCTCTGTAATTCCATAGGACCTGCCAGGTGATATGGCCAAAATAAAGGACAGCTTAAATCAAAGTTTAAACTTGCTGCAGAGCATATTTATTTATTATTTATTTTTGCTCTAGATACCACTCTAAACTGGTATCTGTGAGTCAGCCTATAAAGCAACTGAATATATCGTTGTCAAGTGAAGTAAATGCTGCCTCCAAAATTTAAGCTTCTGGGGTCATGAATTTTGGGCACAGTTTTGCACCTCTTTTTTAATGATAGGTTGTTCAAGGTACAACACTGAGCCTTAAAATCTTCACTGATGTGGTAGGCCCTTAAATATTTTCACTGTGCGTGTGTCTTGCTAGGATATCTAGAGTACTTGCCACTTTCTGCTCATCGGATCCAACTAACACAATATCATCAATGTATGAACCAGTATTCTATCCTGTGGATGTCAGGAGGATCAAGGGAGCCATATTATAATAAAGTTAATATAGTCTCAAGGTAGAACTGTGAATGTATGTGACTGTCCATCTAGGTGAGTGTAAACTACTCTTATTTTTTTTCTGATGGGAATTGAAAAAAACAGCATTCCTCAGATTAATAGCTGCATGCCAAACACCAGAGACTGTGTTGACTGTTTTTGTAAAGATATCACATCGGACACAGCAGCTGTCAGTGGAGCTTTTTTAATAGTTTACAGTAGCCCCCCATGGTCTGTTTTCATCTATTTAATTTTGTGTGAGACAGACTGCTGAAATAATGGAGCTATAAAGCAGACCACCGCATGTGCATCCTTTAATTGTTTAAGAGTAGCACTTATCTCTATCATTCCAGTAGGAGGAATTGTGACTTACTCTCTTGGCTGCAGGATGCAATTTCACAGGGTTCCATTTGGCCTTTTGAATCATAATAGTGATTGCTCCATAAGTCAGGGAATAGATATGAAAGTTCTGCATCTGTAGATTATATTCTTCTCAGTTATGCATTCAGGTGTCAGAGAAATGACCACAGGATGAGAAAAAAAAATGTACTCGCTGTGAAATGGACTTAGACTGCTACCCTATTTATTTATCAACTGGCTTCCATTAACTCTACCCTACCATTGAGGCCATAATGGAATTTTGGTGTCAGTCTCAGCTGAGAGCCATATCTAATATCACGAAAAAAGATTTGGGCATTTCTCATTCCCAGATACTGTTATTCTAGTAAATGGCCATAAGTCTCTTTGGAGAAAGATCAAAGGGATCTTTTCATACACTAGAAACATGCTGTGTTATTGCATGGTCCTTCTTCAAGGGGACCTAGTCTCCCCTTTAATAAATAGGTCATGTGGCAGGGCACGGTGGCTCACGCCTGTAATCCCAGCACTTTGGGAGGCTGAAGTGGGTGCATCACCTAAGGTCAGGAGTTCGAGACCAGGCTGGCCAACATGGTGAAACCCCATCTCTACTAAAAAGACAAAAGTTAGACGGGTGTGGTGGCACATGTCTGTAATCCCAGCTACTTGGAAGGCTGAGGCAGGAGAATCGCTTGAACCCGGGAGGTGGGGGTTACAGTGAGCCAAGATCATGCCACTGTACTCTAGTCTGGGCAACAGAGTGAGACTCTGTCAAATAAATAAATAAATAAATAAATAAATAAATAAATAAATAAAATAGGTCATGCTTCTGAAAACTAACTCTGGTCTGCAAAGTAGGTGAAAAATTGTGACTTTCCTTTATATTTACCAGTATTAGCTTTCTGCTTATTCAATATTGAACTTTTTGTATATTTAAGTCATACAATTCAATATTACCTCTCCATTTATATTTCTCCTAAGAACATCATGGTCTATTAGCCATTACCAAATATCCCTGTGGGCCAAAACCTCCAGGTTGTAATTTTTGCTTGTTTTTGCTGCTTTGTAGTTTTTGTCTATTTTGCGATTGCAGCCTATTTTTGCTCTTTCGGAATTGTGGTCACGGTAACTATGTCCCCTTTTGCCTCCAACACTGTAGTGGCAATAGTAGGCCTCTACTGGCCCAGTATCCTATAATCCCCCTTTGCTGCATAGGAACCCTACTTCATAGAGGCATTGCCTACCCAACTCCAACCTAGAGAGGACAGTTACCACCAAAACTGTCAGCAATTCCAGGGGCTCTCTCACCAGTACATTCCTTACTTAACTACTGAAGTGTACATATTCTGAGATTTCTCAGGTAATAAAGCCACCTGATTGGTTTTCTGGCCTTATATAGTACAGCCATTCTGACTTGCACATCTAATTATCTTGAATCTTTCCTTAGTACTATGCCAGAATAGTTTGAGCCTCTCCACATAATTTTCCTTAGCACACAATATTCCCAAACTTCATAAAGCCAATCCAGAGGAAGGAGCTCCAGGCATCCTTTGTCAAGAACTTAAATCCTGGGCAAAGGGAGAGTGCCTCTGTGGTAGGCAGCTTCTAAGATTCCCAATGATCCCTGCCTCCTGGTGTTCATGCCACTCTGTAATCTCCTTCTTGAGATTAGGCTGAAACTATTAATACGACTTGCTTCCAACTGATAGAATTCAGCAAAGATGATGAAATGTGCTTATGTATAAGATTACATAAGGTGGCGACTTTCACCTTCTAATAGACTCTCTCCCTTGCTAGGTTGGATGAAGCAAACTACCATTCTGGAAAGACCCAGATGGCAAGAAATTGAAGGTGGCCTCTAACCAACAGCTAGCAAGGAACTGAGGCCCTCAGTCCAAAACCCACAGGGAACTGAATGCTGCCAACAACCATGTGGGCTTGGAAACATGCCCTTCCATCATTAAGCCTTCAGAAAGAACGTATCCCTGGCAAACACCTGGATTGTAGCCTGTGAAAAATGCTGAAGCAGAGGACCCAGTTAATCTGTGCCCAAAATTCTTGACCCCAGAAACTGAAAGATAATAAATGTGTGTGCATGTTTTTTAAGGCACTGCATTTGTGGTAATTCATTATGCACCAATAGATAACTAATACAGCCTCTGTGTCAATAAATTCTAATTCATCTTTTTTTAATGTATTTTTTAATTATACTTTAAGTTCTAGGGTACATGTGCACAACGTGCAGGCTTGTTACATATGTATACATGTGCCATGTTGGTGTGCTGCACCCATTAACTGGTCATTTAGCATTAGGTATATCTCCTAATGCTATCCCTCCCCCTTCTCCCCACCCCACAACAGGCCCCAGTGTGTGATGTTCCCCTTCCTGTGTCCAAGTGTTCTCATTGTTTAATTCCCACCTATAAGTGAGAACATGTGGTGTTTGATTTTTTGTCCTTGCGATAGTTTGCTGAGAATGATGGTTTCCAGCTTCATCCATGTCCCTACAAAGGACATGAACTCATCATTTTTTATAGCTGCATAGTATTCCATGGTGTATATGTGCCACATTTTCTTAATCCAGTCTATGATTGTTGGACACTTGGGTTGGTTCCAAGTCTTTGCTATTGTGAGTAGTGCCACAATAAACATACGTATGCACATGTCTTTATAGCAGAATGATTTATATTCCTTTGGGTATATACCCAGTAATGGGATGGCTGGGTCAAATGGTATTTCTAGTTCTAGATCCCTGAGGAATCGCCACACTGTCTTCCACAATGGTTGAACTAGTTTACAGTCCCACCAACAGTGTAAAAATGTTCCTATATCTCCACATCCTCTCCAGCACCTGTTGTTTCTGGACTTTTTAATGATCACCATTCTAACTCGTGTGAGATGGTATCTCATTGTGGTTTTGATTTGCATTTCTCTGATGGTCAGTGATGATGAGCATTTTTTCATGTGTCTGTTGGCTGCATAAATGTCTTCTTTTGAGAAATGTCTGTTCATATCCTTTGCCCACTTTTTGATGGGGTTGTTTGTTTTTTTCTTGTAAATTTGTTTGAGTTCTTTGTAGATTCTGGATATTAGCCCTTTGTCAGATGAGTAGATTGCAAAAATTTCCTCCCATTCTGTAGGTTGCCTGTTCACTCTGATGGTAGTTTCTTTTGCTGTGCAGAAGCTCTTCAGTTTAATTAGATCCCATTTGTCAGTTTTGGCTTTTGTTTCCATTGCTTTTGGTGTTTTAGGCATGAAGTCCTTGCCCATGCCTATGTCCTGAATGGTATTGCCTAGGTTTTCTTCTAGGGATTTTATGGTTTTAGGTCTAACATTTAAGTCTTTAATCCATCTTGAATTAATTTTTGTATAAGGTGTAAGGAAGGGATCCAGTTTCAGCTTTCTCCATATGGCTAGCCAGTTTTCCCAGCACCATTTGTTAAATAGGGAATCCTTTCCCCATTTCTTGTTTTTGTCAAGTTTGTCAAAGATCAGATAGTTGTAGATGTGTGGTATTATCTCTGAGGGCTCTGTTCTGTTCCATTGGTCTGTATCTCTGTTTTGATACCAGTACCATGCTGTTTTGGTTACTGTAGCCTTGTAGTATAGTTTGAAGTCAGGTAGTGTGATGCCTCCAGCTTTGTTCTTTTGGCTTAGGATTGACTTGGCGATGCGGGCTCTTTTTTGGTTCCATATGAACTTTAAAGTAGTTTTTTCCAATTCTGTGAAGAAAGTCATTGGTAGCTTGATGGGGATGGCATTGAATCTATAAATTACCTTGGGCAGTATGGCCATTTTCACGATATTGATTCTTCCTATCCATGAGCATGGAATGTTCTTCCATTTGTTTGTGTCCTCTTTTATTTCAGTGAGCAGTGGTTTGTAGTTCTCCTTGAAGAGGTCCTTCACATCCCTTGTAAGTTGGATTCCTGGGTATTTTATTCTCTTTGAAGCAACTGTGAATGGCAGTTCACTCATGATTTTGTTCTCTCTTTTTCTGTTATTGGTGTATAAGAATGCTTGTGATTTTTGTACATTCATTTTGTATCCTGAGACTTTTGCTGAAGTTGCTTATCAGCTTAAGGAGATTTTGGGCTGAGACGATGGGGTTTTCTAGATATACAATCATGTCATCTGCAAACAGGGACAATTTGACTTCCTCTCTTCCTAAATGAATACCATTTATTTCTTTCTCCTGACTGATTGCCCTGGCCAGAACTTCCAACAGTATGTTGAATAGGAGTGGCGAGAGAGGGCATCCCTGTCTTGTGCCAGTTTTCAAAGGGAATGCTTCCAGTTTTTGCCCATTCAGTATGATATTGGCTGTGGGTTTGTCATAAATAGCTCTTATTATTTTGAGATATGTCCCATCAATACCTAATTTGTTGAGAGTTTTTAGCATGAAGGGCTATTGAATTTTGTCAAAGGCCTTTTCCGCATATATTGAGATAATCATGTGGTTTTTGTCTTGGGTTCTGTTTATATGCTGGATTATGTTTATTGATTTGCATATGTTGAACCAGCCTTGCATCCCAGGGATGAAGCCCACTTGATCATGGTGGATAAGCTTTTTGACGTGCTGCTGGATTCGGTTTGCCAGTATTTTATTGAGGATTTTTGCATCGATGTTCATCAGGGAGATTGGTCTAAAATTCTTTTTTTGTTTGTCTCTGCCAGGCTTTGGTATCAGGATGATGCTGGCCTCATAAAATGAGTTAGGGAGGATTCCCTCGTTTTCTATTGATTGGAATAGTTTCAAAAGGAATGGTACCAGCTCCTCCTTGTACCTCTGGTAGAATTCGGCTGTAAATCCATCTGGTCCTGGACTATTTTTGGTTGGTAAGCTCTTAATTACTGCCTCAATTTCAGAGCCTGTTATTGATCTATTCATAGATTCAACTTCTTCCTGGTTTAGTCTTGGGAGGGTGTATGTGTCCAGGAATTTATCCATTTCTTCTAGATTTTCTAGTTTATTTGTGTAGAGGTGTTTATAGTATTCTCTGATGGTAGTTTGTATTTCTGTGGGATCAGTGGTTATATCCCATTTATCATTTTTTATTGTGTCTACTTGATTCTTCTCTCTTTTCTTCTTTATTAGTCCTGCTAGCGGTCTATCAATTTTGTTGATCTTCTCAAAAAACCAGCTCCTGGATTCATTGATTTTTTGAAGGGTTTTTTGTGTCTCTATCTCCTTCAGTTCTGCTCTGATCTTAGTTATTTCTTGCCTTCTGCTAGCTTTTGAATGTGTTTGCTCTTGCTTCTCTAGTTCTTTTAATTGTGATGTTAGGGTGTCAATTTTAGATCTTTCCTGCTTTCTCTTGTGGGTATTTAGTGCTATAAATTTCCCTCTACACACTGCTTTAAATGTGTCCCAGAGATTCTGGTATGTTGTGTCTTTGTTCTCGTTGGTTTCAAAGAACATCTTTATTTCTGCCATCATTTCGTTATGTACCCAGTAGTCATTCAGGAGCAGGTTGTTCAGTTTCCATGTAGTTGAGCGGTTTTGAGTGAGTTTCTTAATCCTGAGTTCTAGTTTGATTGCACTGTGGTCTGAGAGACAGTTTGTTATAATTTCTGTTCTTTTACATTTGCTGAGGAGTGCTTTACTTCCAACTATGTGGTCAATTTTGGAATAGGTGCAGTGTGGTGCTGAGAAGAATGTATATTCTGTTGATTTGGGGTGGAGAGTTCTGTAGATGTCTACTAGGTCCGCTTGGTGCAGAGGTGAATTCAATTCCTGGATATCCTTGTTAACTTTCTGTCTCGTTGATCTGTCTAATGTTGACAGTGGGGTTTTAAAGTCTCCCATTATTATTGTGTGGGAGTCTAAGTCTCTTTGTAGGTCTCTAAGGACTTGCTTTATGAATCTGGGTGCTCCTGTATTGGGTGCATATATATTTAGAATAGTTAGCTCTTCTTCTTGAACTGATCCCTTTACCATTATGTAATGGCCTTCTTTGTCTCTTTTGATCTTTGTTGGTTTAAAGTCTGTTTTGTCAGAGACTAGGATTGCAACCCTGCCTTTTTTTGTTTTCCATTTGCTTGGTAGATTTTCCTCCATCCCTTTATTTTGAGCCCATGTGTGTCTCTGCACATGAGACGGGTTTCCTGAATACAGCACACTGATGGGTCTTGAGTCTTTATCCAATTTGCCAGTCTGTGTCTTTTAATTGGGGCATTTAGCCCATTTACATTTAAGGTTAATATTGTTATGTGTGAATTTGATCCTGTCATTATGATGTTAGCTGGTTATTTTGCCTGTTAGTTGATGCAGTTTCTTCCTAGCCTTGATGGTCTTTACAATTTGGCATGTTTTTGCAGTGGCTGGTACCAGTTGTTCCTTTCCATGTTTAGTGCTTCCTTCAGGAGCTCTTTTAGGGCAGGCCTGGTGGTGACAGAATCTCTCAGCATTTGCTTGTCTGTAAAGGATTTTATTTCTACTTCACTTATGAAGCTTAGTTTGGCTGGATATGAAATTCTGGGTTGAAAATTCTTTTCTTTAAGAACGTTGAATACTGGCCCCCGCTGTCTTCTGGCTTGTAGAGTTTCTGCCAAGAGATCAGCTGTTAGTCTGATGGGCTTCCCTTTGTGGGTAACCTGACCTTTCTCTCTGGCTGCTCTTAACATTCTTCCTTCATTTCAACTTTGATGAATCTGACAATTATGTGTCTCGGAGTTGCTCTTCTCAGGGAGTATCTTTGTAGTGTTCTCTGTATTTCCTGAATTTGAATGTTGGCCTGCCTTGCTAGGAAGTTCTCCTGGATAATATCCTGCACAGTGTTTTCCAACTTGGTTCCATTCTCCCCATCACTTTCAGGTACACCAATCAGACATAGATTTGGTCTTTTCACATAGTCCCATATTTCTTGGAGGCTTTGTTCATTTCTTTTTATTCTTTTTTTCTCTAAACTTCTCTTCTTGCTTCATTTCCTTAATTTGATCTTCAATCAGTGATACCTTTTTTCCAGTTGATCGAATCAGGACTGAAGGTTGTGCATTTGTCAGGTAGTTCTCGTGCCATGGTTTTCAGCTCCATCAGGTCCTTTAAGGACTTCTCTGCATTGGTTATTCTAGTTAGCCATTCATCTAATCTTTTTTCAAAGTTTTTAACTCCTTTGCAATGGTTTTGAACTTCTTCCTTTAGCTCAGAGAAGTTTGATCATCTGATGCCTTCTTCTCTCCACTCGTCAAAGTCATTCTCCATCCAGCTTTGTTCCATTGCTAGTGATGAGCTGTGTTCCTTTGGAGGAGGAGAGGTGCTCTGATTTTTAGAATTTTCAATTTTTCTGTTCTGTGTCTTCCCCATCTTTGTGGTTTTATCTACCTTTGGTCTTTGATGATGGTGACGTACAGATGGGGTTTTGGTGTGGATGTCCTTTCTGTTTGTTAGTTTTCCTTCTAACAGTCAGGACCCTCAGCTGCAGGTCTGTTGGAGTTTGCTGGAGGTCCACTCCAGACCCTGTTTGCCTGGGTATCAGCAGGGGAGGCTGCAGAACAGTGAATATTGCTGAACAGCAAATGTTGCTGTCTGATCGTTCCTCTGGAGTTTTCGTCTCAGAGGAGTACTTGGCCATGTGAGGTGTCGGTCTGCCCCTACTGGGGGGTGCCTCCCAGAAAGGCTACTCAGGGGTCAGGGACCCACTTGAGGAGGCAGTCTGTCCGTTCTCAGATCTCAAACTCCATGCTGGGAGAACCACTACTCTCTTCAAAGCTGTCAGACAGGGACATTTAAGTATGCAGAGGTTTCTGCTGCCTTTTGTTCGGTTGTGCCCTGCACCCAGAGGTGGAGTCTATAGAGGCAGGCAGGCCTCCTTGAGCTGCGGTGGGCTCCACCCAGTTCGAGCTTCCCAGCTGCTTTGTTTACCTACTCAAGACTCAGCAATGGCGGGCACCCCTCCCCCAGCCTTGCTGCCACCTTGCAGCTCAATCTCAGACTGCTGTGCTAGCAATGAGCGAGGTTCTGTGGGCGTGGGACCCTCCAAGCCAGGTGCGGGATATAATCTCCTGGTGTGCCATTTGCTAAGACCATAGGAAAAGTGTAGTATTAGGGTGAGAGTGACCCGATTTTCCAGGTGCCATCTGTCACAGCTTTGCTAGGCTATGAAAGGGAATTCCCTGACCCCTTGCACTTCCCAGGTGAGGCAATGCCTCGCCCTGCTTCACCTCACACTCAGTGTGCTGCACCCACTGTCCTGCACCCACTGTCTGAAAAGCCCCAGTGAGATGAACTCGGTACCTCAGTTGGAAATGCAGAAATCACCTGTCTTCTGCGTTGCTCATGCTGGGAGCTGTAGACTGGAGCTGTTCCTATTCAGTCATCTTGGAACCGCCCCCCTCTAATTAATCTTTTATTGTGTTTTCTATGATTCAAAATAGTCAAAATCCATTCCCAGGCATCTTCACCTCATTCCTGTTAATAAAATTTAGCCAGCACTTTGGTGAGTCATCTTTTCCTTTCCATTACAGGGATAGTCCTTCCTTTCTTTGGTCACACTGATACTTGGCCCTAGCGATTGTCTAAAATCAATGGGTTGAAAGACATGGGCAAATTTCAAGAACAAGGTAAAACATTATCTCAGATGAGGTCTATGCATGTTCTCCATGCAAAGAAAGTTTGCTCTTTTCTAGCAAACTTTAAAGATTCAGGGAACCTGGAGATTCAACGTTCTTATGTGCGTCTATCCAAATCTCCTAATCCCAATCCCTAGAATACATTTAGTTCTCACAAAGGTCCTAACTTTATCACAGGAATCTTTGCTAAGGCTGTGAATTCAATCCTTTTTAAATATGCCACCATTACTATGAAATCTTAGGCCTTAGTATCACTGATTTTCTGTAGGTGTACTGAAAATTGCAAGAGGTGAGAATTTTTTAAACTGCCTTGAAGACCTTCTGACTTTGAAACTATATTTTGAGTTGATCATTGACATATCTGACTCTGTCATTTCTTCTGGGTTTCTTTTTTTCTTTCTTTCATTTTTTTTTTTTTTTTTGAGACAGAGTCTCACTCTGTTGCCAGGCTGGAGTGCAGTGGCATGATCTTGGCTCACCGTAACCTCCGCCTCCCAGGTTTAAGCGATTCTCCTGCCTCAGCCTCCTGAGTAGCTGGGACTACAGGCATGTGCCACCACACCCCGCTGATTTTTGTATTTTTAGTAGAGATGGGGTTTTGCCATGTTGGCCAGGATGGTCTCAATCTCTTGATCTTGTGATCCGCCTGCCTCAGCCTCCCAAACTGCTGGGATTGCAGGTGTGAGCCACCGCACCTGGCCTTCTTCTGGGTTTCTATAACCAATCACAGCAGTCATCCAGTGCCCCAACCCTTATAATTATTCTTACTTATAATTATCCATGTTTTAATAAAACACTACAGATACCTCATTCCAACCTATCCAAAGTTAAGGTTTTTTTAGTTCAATATATCCCTGCTTGTCTATTTTTGTTTTTGTTGCTGTGCTTTTCTTGTCTTATCTAAGAAATTGTTGTTAATGCCTATATCAAGAAGTTTCTTCTCTGTGTTTTCTTCTAGGAGTTCTATAGTTTCATGTCTTATGTTTAAATCTTTAATGTATTTTAACCTACTTTGAGTTGATTTTTGTGTATGGTGTAAAATAATATTTCAGTTTTATTCTTTTGCCTATGAACATTCAATTTTCTCAACACAATGTGTTGAAGAGACTATCCTTTATCCATTATGTATTCTTGGTGCCCATGTCACAGATCAGTTGACCATACCTGAGTAGGTTTATGTCTGGGTTCTCTATCCTGTTACATTGGTCTATGTGTATATCTTTATGCCAATATCATGTAGTTTTAATTACTGAAGCTTTGTAATATATTTTGAAATCACGAAGTATGATACCTTCAGCTTTGTTCTTTCTCAAGATCACTTTGGCTGTTTGGGATCTTTTGTGTTTCCATATAAATTTTTAGATCATTTTCTCTATTTTTATTAAAAATGCCATTGGGGTTGAATGGGGATAGCTTGAATCCATATATTGCTTTGGATAGTATGGATATTTTAACAACACTAAGTCTTCCAATCCATGAACACAGGATGTTTTTCCATTTATTTGTGTCTTCTTTAGTTTTATTCATCAATGTTTTGGTGTGTGTGTATGTCCTTTACCTTCTTGGTTTGGTTTATTTCTATTTTATTGTCTTTGATGCTTTTGTAAACGGAATTGTTTTCTTAATTTCCTTTTCAGGTGGTTCATTGTTAGTATATAGAAACTCAACAAATTTTCATAGGTGAATTTTGTATCCTGTAACTTTAATGAATTTGTTTATTCATTCTAAGTTTTTTGGAAGTGTCTTTGGGATTTTCTACACACAGTATCATGTCATCTATGAGCAAAGATACTTTTACTTCTTCTTTTCTGATTTCATTTGAATGCCTTGTGATTTGATTTACATGCTTTGTATTTCTTTTTCTTGCCTAATTGACCTTGTTAGAACTTCCAGTACTGTATTAATCCATTTTCACATTGCTATAAAGACCTATCTGAGACTGGGTAATTTATGAAGAAAATAGGTTTAATTGACTCACTGTTCTGCAGACTTTACAGGAAGCATGACTTGGGGGATCTCAGGAAACTTACAATCATGGCAGAAGGTGAAGGGGAAGCAAGGACCTTCTTCACATGGTGGCAGGAGAGAGCTAGGAGAGAGCTACACACTTTTAAGCCATCAGATCTCGTGAGAACTCACTCACTATCAGGAGAACAGCAAGGGGGAAATCCCTACCCATGGTCCATTCACCTCGCACCAGGTCCCTCCTCTAATTCAACATTAGATTCAGGTGGGGACACAAATCCAAACCATATCAAGCACTATGTTGAATGGAAGTGATGAGAGGGGGCATCTTTATCTTGTTCCCGATCTTAGAGGAAAAGCTTTCTGTTTTTCACTGCTGCGTATAATACTAGCTGCAGGTTTGTCATACATGACCTTTATTATGTTGAGAAAAAATCCTCCTATACCCAGTTTGTTGAGAGTTTTTATCAAACTATAAATTTCTCGATAGCAAAGGAAATAGTCAACAGAACTGAAAGGCGACCTGTGGGATAGGAGAAAATAGTTGCAAATCATATGTCTGATAAGGGTTTAATATCCGAAAAATATAAGAAACCCCTACAACTCAATAGCAATAAGTAAGTAAATAAATAAATAAAAATTACAAAATGGGCCAGGTGCGGTGGCTCACTCCTGTAATCCCAGCACTTTGGGAGGCCGAGGAGGGTGGATCATGAGGTCAAGAGATTGAGACCATCCTGGCCAATATGGTGAAACCCTGTCTCTACTGAAGAAAAAAAAAAAGCAAAAAATTAGCTGGGAGTGGTGGCGGGCGCCTGTAGTACCACCTACTCAGGAGGCTGAGGCAGAAGAATCACTTGAACCCGGGAGGCAGAGGTTGCAGTGAGCCGAGATTGCGCCACTTCACTCCAGCCTGGCAACAGAGCAAGACTCCATCTAAAAATAAATAAATAAATAAATAAAAAATAGAGAAAAGAGTTGAATTGCTATTTCTCCAGAGAAGACATACAAATGCCTAACAGGCATATGAAAAGGTGTTTAACATAACTAATCATCAGGGAAATGCAAATCAAAACCACAATGAAATGTCATTTCACACCTGTTATAGTGGTTATGATTTTAAAAAAGGAAGATAAGTGCTGGGGAGGAGGAGGTGATATTGGAATGCTGTACACTGTTGTTGAGAAGGTAAAATGGTAAAGCTGCTATGAAAAACAGCACGATGCTTCCTTAAAATAAAAATAGAACCACTATATGATCCAGCAATCTCATTTCTGCATATGTATCCAAAAAAGTGAAATCAAAATCTTGAAGAGATACCAGCACTGCACTTCCATGTTCACTGCAGCATTATTCACAATAATTAGTTAGGATATAGAAACAACCAATGGACAAATGGGTAAAGAAATTATAATAAAACTCTCAACAATTTCTTTATATGTCATAAAGAAATTTATATATATATATATGGAATATTATGGAATGTTCATATATATTCGTATATATGTAATATCATAATGGGATATTATTCAGCCTTGAAAAAAAAAAAGGAAATACTGGCCAGGCATGTTGTTCATGCCTGTAATCCCAGCATTTTGGAAAGCCAAGACAGGCGGATCAACTGAGGTTGGGAATTCAAGTCCAGGCTGGCCAATATGGTGAGACCTTGTCTCTACTAAAAATACAAAAAATTAGCCAGGCGTGGTAGTGCACACCTGTAATCCCAGCTACTCGGGAGGCTGAAGCAGGAGAATTACTTGAGCTGGGAGGCGGAGGTTGCAGTGAGCCACGATTGCACCACTGCACTCCAGCCTGGGCGACAAAGTGAGACTCCATCTCCAGAAAAAAGGAAAAAAAAAAAAAACCCACGAGTGAACCTGTAACCAGGAGAATATTTTGCTAAATGAAATAAGCCAGGCATAGAAGTACAAATACTGCAAGATTCCACTTACAGGAGGTAACTAAAATAGTCAATCTCACAGAAACAAAGAGTAGAAGTATGGTCTTGCACTCCAAGAGATTCCCCAAGGTTGGAGTTGCAGGTGTGTACAGTAAGAAGCCTTGGAGCAATCATTAGTGCCTTGTCCATCCCTCGAACCCTAACCTACCATCCCTGTGCCCTCTGAGCAATTTCAACCTGCCATATCTGCCTCTCTGTGCTAGTGGACTCCTACCAGAGATAGGAAAGGTCATTTTGCCCACACACTGCAGACTAAAGGGGTAGGTGGGGATAAGGCCACTAAAAACCCTGAGGAGCAAGCCTCAACCAGTGACGGGAAAATTGGCATGGAGAACCCATGCTTTTCTGCCTGAGAGGTGTGGGAACTCTGAGTCACATGTTTCACAGCACTTGCCAGAGATTCCTCTCAGGATGAAGCCTCAGTGTTCCACTGTGGTAACTGGCCTAATAATGTACCTTTATTTTTTAAAAAATTATATTGCCCTGAGCATTAAAAAAATTAAAAACTAAAAAATATTTCTATTCAAATCTTGGTCTTAAAGTCTGTCCCTGGAGGAACACAAGCTAAAATAAGTTTCACCATGTTCAAGAATGATAGTTACTAAGGAAAGACAGTGGAGCCCCAACAGCAACTCCTACAGGAAGGAAAGAAAGAAAAAAGAAAACTATTGCATCAAATCAGATATCAGTGGCAATAAATGGTTACACGACATTTGATATGTTTCTTTTGGTTGTAGGCATTTCAGCTAAGTATACATTTTTATGGTCCTTAGCAAGAAAATCAAAATTCTGTAAAACTCATTAAAATTTTAGTCTTGTGTTAGGGTCAGAAATGTAGTGAGAGGTGGGCCGGGCGCGGTGGCTCACACCCGTAATCCCAGCACTTTGGGAAGCCGAGGTGGGCTGCTCAAGAGGTCAGGAGATCGAGACCATCCTGGCTAACATTGTGAAACCCCGTCTCTGCTAAAAATACAAAAAAATTAGCCAGGTGTGGTGGCGGGCACCTGTAGTCCAAGCTACTCAGGAGGCTGAGGCAGGAGAATGGTGTGAACCCAGGAGGTGGAGCTTGCAGTGAGCCGTGATCATGCCACCGCACCCCAGCCTGGGCGACAGAGCGAGACTCCGTCTCAAAAAAAAAAAAGAAATGTAGTGAGAGGTAAGAGGAAAAGACATCATTTTGAAGGAAAACTACATATAACCAGGAGTCAAATATTTACCAAAAATGTACACACCTGTCTGAAAGAGCTGTAACTCATAGAAACAAAGTATCTGCAATAACAACAATATCAGCTCCAGGCAAGAATCTTGGCTCTTCACTGGGAAACCACAGCACCAGGAAGAAGGGACTGAAACACAGTGAAACTGCCAGACAGGGAGGGTGACTATGGAGAAAGGAGAGACTCCCTGGTTCAAGATGAAACACCAGACCCAAACTGTAAGACACAACATAGAAACCTAATGTCAGGCTAATGTTTAACTAATGGTATAATCTTAAAAGGGCAGAAATTTTTTTAAAGGGGCAGAAATAAAAGAAAAAGAAGTAAACAGGAAAAGTAAGCAATTAGAAATTTTGCAAAGGAAAAATATATTCACTGAAGTTTTTAAAGACACAAATAAAAGGAATAAACTGTGAAATGAACCCAATAATGAAAATAGTTGTAAATTAGAATATGATGTTAAAGAATTTTGCTAGAGCTACAGAAATTTCCCACAAGCATATTAGTCTATGCCTTTTGCTCCAGCGCCCTCTCTAGATTTAGCATTTGTCCCCTATTTTTAATTTTTAGTCTTCTATGTTAAAATATGACAGGATGAACTTGGCACTTTCATTTTGTACTCCAATTTCTACGAAGGTCTTCTCTAGTAATATATTAGCTACTCCCCTAAAAACCCTATAGTTTCTGTAAATAGAAGGACGCTAATACCTCTTTTTCAAAGGTGCTATCCAGGGAACTTGCTGCAAAAATAAAGTGCACTCCTAAGCAAGTGGCTCAGGACAGCCCTCTCTCTCTCCAGCCATAGATGGTAATGCGAAAGTAAACAATGTTGCTGCCAGGGCCGGCCCCACTCACCAGCTGTGCCAAGGCTCTTGCTGTAACCTGAGAATTTTATGAAACCTTCAGATCACTAGTTGATGAGAACAGTGGAAAAAGGTGAGAAATTATAGCTTAACTGTACAGGAAAAGTGAGTAGGAAATAGAGGCTGAGCAGTCCTGTCATAGAACATATAAAGAGAGGTCTGAATGTTCCTGCGATGATAATTTGTCATTTTTTGTAAGGCGTAAATCTACAACTACTTATTTTATTATTTGACATTTTTTTTTCAACCAAGCTTTTGGCATAGTGAGCTCAAGAAAACAAAATGTATGATAATGAAAATTAATTACTGAATTTTCATTTTTCAAGGAAGTTGATGATGAACATGTAACTTGCACAATATGTTTGTTGCCATTTACCATCTACCGTAATGGCTATAATAACATCACTGACTACTTGAAAGCCCTAGACCAAATTTGCTGTGGGAGCCTCAGCATTGACTTGAAATATTAGTTGCTACTTTAAAAAGAGTATGCCTAAAATGACATCAATGTATATCTGCAGAAGATGCATTTGATTTATATCTTTCAGTAGAGTGTGACCTTTCATTTTGGTCCAATACTGCTATCTAAACTAAGTAAGAAATAAAGAGGGAAGAATCAAATAAATAAAACTGGAAATGAAAGATGAAACATTACAACTGATGCTACAGAAATGAAAAGGACATTTAGGAGATTCTTATGAACATTAAACACCAACAAATTAGATAAATGAGGAGAAATAAATTCCTAGAGACATGCAACCTATCAAGAATGAATCATAAAAAACAGAAAATCTGAACAGACCAATAATAAGTAAGGAGATTGAATTAGTAATCAGAAACCTCCCAACCTGGCCAGGCGTGGTGGCTCATACCTGTAATCCCAGCACTTTGGGAGGCCAAGATGTGAGAATGGCTCAAGGTCAGGAGTTCCAAACCAGCCTAGACAACATGGTGAGATCCTGTCTCTAAAAAATCAAAGTTAAAAGATTAGCTCACTGTAACCTTGAACTCCTGGGCTCAAGGGATCCTCCTGCCTCAGCTTCCCAAGTAGCAGAAACTACAGATGTGTGCCACAACTCCAAACAAAGAAATCTCCAAACAAAAAAAATTCCAGGACCAGATGGCTTCACTAGTAAATTCTGCCAAACACTTAAAGAATTAATGCCAATCTTTTACAAACTCTTCCAAAACAATGGAAAAAGGAAAACTTCCAAATTATTTTATGAGCCCAGCATCACCTTTATATCAAAGCCAGACAAAGACACTACAAGGAAAGAAAATGACAGGCCAATATCCCTGTGAAAATAAATTTAAAATTCTGAACAAAATATTATAAACAGAATTAAACAGCACATTAGAATAACCAAGTCAGGTTTATCCCTGAGATGCAAGGATGATTTTGCATATGCAAATCAGTAAATATGATATACCACTTAACAGGATAAAGGACAAAAATCACATGAGCCTCGCAATAGATGCAGTAAAAAACATTCGACAAATTTCAACACCTTTTCATGAAAAAAGGCTCAACAAACTAGATATAGAAGGAATGTCCCACAACATAATAAAGTCCATATATGGCAAGCCCAAAGCTAACATCATCCTCAAGATGAAAAACTAAAAGCTTTCTCTCTAAGATCAGGAACAAGACAAAGATGAACGCTTTCACCACTTCTATTAAGCATAGTATTGAAAGTCCTAGCCAGAGCAATTAGGCAAGAAATAAAAGACTTCTAAATGGGAAAGAAAGAAGTATAATTCCCAAGTATACATTTTCAATTCCAAAGTTTTTCTGTGCGTGTACAAAAAAGGAATTGGAAGCTATTAATATGTTGAATCCATCTATAGAAGAAAAAATTCCCAATTACATGACATCAGTTTTATATCAATTTTACCAGAGTCTTTCAAATAGAAAAATCAGTTAATTCAAATAATGGTTAGATTGTGTTCATCCAATTCATGAAATGAGAGTAAAGCTTTTAAAAGTTATTTCTGACTGGGAGGTGGCTCACGCCTGTAATCCCAGCACTTTGGGAGGCCAAGGTTGGTGGATCACCTGAGGTCAAGAGTTCAAGACCAGCCTCACCAACATGGTGAAATCCCACCTTTACTAAAAATACAAAAATTAGCTGGGCATGGTGGTGCATGCCTGTAATCCCAGCTACTCAGGAGGCTGAGGCAGGAGAATTGCTTGAACCTGGGAGGCGGAGGTTGCATTGAGCAAAGATTGTGCCACTGCACTCCAGCCTGGGTGACAGAGTGAGACTCTGTCTCAAAAAAAAAAAAAGTTATTTCTGTTGAAGATGAAATATCTGACCTTTTAATATGTGCTATTGAAACTCATTTAGAAAGGTAAAATTTTATTTGTTTTGCAGTTAATAACATAAACAAAAATTTTAGTGGAGCACAGCGTCACAGTAAAAGCTTAGGGTCTTACTAAATTAAAACATCTGTGAAATATGAAGACAACTGAAATTTTCTGTGGTACAAACATAATTAAAAATATTCAAGCAATCAGAGATACTTTATCAATCAAAACAGAAGCTACGATTGATAAACTTTGCAAAATTTTTTATGTGGGCAGAATAACTGACCTACTAAACTTGTATGATGAATCTCATCTTGAACACTAAAAATACTTCAGCATAGTTCTCTCTTTTTGTTCCCTCTCATCAATCATTCTTTACATACGTTTGAGTCTTTGAAGAAGTACTTTGTATATGAACCAAAATTTCTTACAATTATATTGAATGTTTTGGTAAACAATTTCTCTAAATTTTGATTGCTTTTGTGGAAAATTAGAGGGAAATATATAATCAAAGTATTAAACAAATGGAGCAAAAAAATGCTTCAGCTTCTAAAGCTTTGAGAAATCACAGTGATTGAAACACAACTTACAAATAGGAAGGCACTGAGTATCGACATTTATCCCTGCAAAAGTAAGAAAGAAACTAAACAAATTAAGCCATGCATGCTTAATGATGGAGAAGATATAATTTCAAAATTTAAAAATTATGCTAGAATATCTCATTTTCTAGAAAGGAATATTTTGGTGTAGTTATTATTTTTTGATTAGATAAATAGATATCCTGTATTATAATAAAGTAAAACTGAAGACTAGAATTTTGCATGATTTAGATTTAGTAAAACCTTTAAAAGAATCATAAATAGAGAAAATTTACTTGATTATTTTTGTCATAAAATATTTTAAAGAAAGGTTTTCCAAATGGAAGCTAAAATATTTACATAATTCAGTTTAAAAAAGTTACAGTTGAGAATAGACTCCATGTAGCAGAACTTACTTAGCACACATTAGTTATCTCAACTTATAAAGAACTATTTTCTCAATCGTCAGAGAAGAGTCCATTAAAGTGTCAATAATTTCAAATGTGTTAACCATAAAATGCAACTTAAAAGAATACTGTAGGCAATTTCATAAAAATAAGAGCAATCAAAACAGGTATTTTTAAAAAATATACATTATTCAGAAAAAATATCAATGACATGGTATCAGAAATAAATATAACTAAAAAGCTCATTAAAGTACATTAATAAAGGCCAGGCATAGTGGCTTATTCCTGTAATCCCAGCACTTTGGGAGGCCAAGGCAGGAAGATCGCTCGAGCCCAGGAGTTTGAGACCAGCCTGGGTAACATAGTGAGACCTCATTCCTACAAAAAATACAAAAATTAGCCCGGCATGATGGTGCATGCCTGTAGTGCCAGCTACTGGGCTGAGGTGGGAGGGCCGCTTGAGCCCAAGAGGTGGTGGTTGTAGTGAGCCGAGATCACACCACTGCACTCCAGCTTGGGCACAGAGCAAAACCCTGTCTAAAAAATAAAATTAAATTTAAATTTAAATTTAAAAATACATTAATATATAACAAAAAATTATCTGCTTATATTATTTTTAATGTTCAGTTAATACAAAGAAGTACTTTTTATTTTGCTTTAGAGAGCAGGATATGTGGTTTTTAGAACGATTTCATAGAATACTTTTAGAATAGATCTATTTTATCAGACTACCAACAAATAATAAAAGTAATTTTAGCCAATAAATTTGTATTGTAAGTAATTATATACTTTTAATTATTGTTGTACCCTTTCCACACATGGTAAATTACATAGTTGTCTTCAGAATATAAAATACAGAAACAAAAATATTAAAAACTTGCAAAAACAGTTAAGAAAAACTGAGTCTAATTGTAATTCCAGGTAAAGAGAATGGAAGAAAAGTCTGAGAAGCAGTTTGTAAAGATACAATTGCTGGGCCAGACACTGTGGCTCGTGCCTGTAATCCCAACACTTTGGGAGGCCAAGGCGGGTGGATGGCCTGAGGTCCGGAGTTTGAGACCAGCCTGGCCAACATGGTGAAACCCCATCTCTACTAAAAAAATACAAAAATTAGCCAGGCATGGTGGCACGCACCTGTAATCCCAGCCACTCAGGAGGCTGAGGCAGGAGAATCATTTGAACCCGGAAGGCAGAGGTTGCAGTGAGTCAAGATCCTGCCACTGCACTCCAGCCTGGGTGATAGAGCAAGACTCTGTCTCAAAAAAAAAAAAAAAAAAAAGATATAGTTGTTGAAAGTTTTTCAATTAAAAAAATATATAAAAATATATAAAATGTTACATCTAGAGCCCCTTCTGAATACCAAGCAAGACATATTAAGTAATAGTAATAATAAAGTCCAAACTGCATTCATGGTAGAAAAACTGCAGAAAATTAAAGAAAAACAATCTTAAAATTAACCAAAGTTACTGCTGAAAAGAATTTGCTCAAACATTTTTCCAGAGACTCCACTCACAGCAAAACAACTCTGAAAAGCATGAATAAAGTTGGAGGATTCACACTGTCCGATTCCAAGTCTTGTTATACAGTTACAATAATTAAACAATGTGTTTTTTACAAAAGAGTAGATAGAAGATAGATAGATAGATAGATAGATAGATAGATAGATAGATAGATGATAGATAGATAGATAGATAGATAGATAGATAGATAGATGACAGATAGATAAAATAGAAGAGACAGGGAAGAAATAGACCCACACAAATATAGTCCACTGATTTTTGATAAGAGTTGCAAGTAATTTCAATGGAGAAAGGATGCTTTTGACAACAAATGGTGTGGAACAATTGGATATTCATATACCAAAAACTAAAAACACCCAATCTGGACACACTCCTCATACCTTACACAAAAATTAATTCTAAGTATGTTATAAGTAAAATGTTTATTTAGAAACAGAACACTTATTCCTCGGTACTATAAGGAAAAATTAGTATTCAGATAAAACTTTTTCTCAGCAAGGCAATTTTACTTTCTGCAGAAGAGGTGCTCCTTGCAGATGAAACAATGGCAAGAGCACACCTGAACAAAGGAGGGAAGCAATTATTATCCCTTATGCAGCTTGTCCCTGCTACTGTGTCCTGTCTCCATTAGCTGGAGCCAGACCTCACAATCTAAACTGAACCCAACTGGCTAATAATTTAAAACTTTCCTAAATAGGTAAAGGCAATAGAGAACAAAGGAAAAGAGGAAGTTGCTTATGAAAAGACTTAGAAAACTAATAACATTCCCAAATAAAAAAGGGGCATAAGTTGCAAGCTGGGACATGCCTGTGAGCACGTCTAGCACAGACATCTTGGTTAAAGTACAAGGACATAGAATGTACTACATGCCTGTAAGCATGTCTAACAGCTACAGAGAATAGGGCTTAACAAAGAGGTATTAGCACAAAGTAAGGAGGGCTGAAGGAAGTTAGTCTTTAAAAGAAACTATTAACACTTATGATTTATTCTTTAACAAGAAGGGAAACTTTGAAGAGGAAACTTTTTACTTTCTACAAAGTACATCATCAGCATAAATATGAAAGCTAAAATTATAAAACTTCTCAAAGAAAACACAAGAGAAAATATGTATAGCTTTGGGTCTGGCGCAGTTTTATGACCAAACACCAAAAGTGTAATCCACAAAAGAAAAATTGATCAATTGAATTTTACCAAAATTTAAAACTTGTATTCTGTAAAAACCATTAAGAGATTGAAAGGATAAGTCATGCACTGGGGGAAAATATTTGCAAAGCACATAGCTGATAAGGGACTTATAATTAGACTATATAAGGAATATAACAACTCATTTTTTAATAGGCAAAATTCTGAATAAACAAAGACATATTGATGGTCAGTAAGTGTATTAGTCAGGGTTCTCTAGAGGGACAGAACTGACGGAATATATATATAAAGGGGAGTTTATTAAGTATTAGCTTACACCATCACAAGGTCCCACAATAGGCCATCTGCAGGCTGACAAGCAAGGACAGCCAGTCCGAATTCCAAAACTGAAGAACTTGGAGTCCGATGTTTGAGGGCAGGAAGCATCCAGCACAGGAGAAAGTTGGAGGCTAGGCCAGTCTCTGCTTTTCACATTTTTCTGCCTGCTTTATATTTGCTGGCAGCTGATTAGATGGTGCCCACCAGATTAAGGGTGGGTCTGCCTTACCCAGCCCACTGACTCAAATATTAATCTCCTTTGGCAACACCCTCACAGACACACCCAGAATCAGTATTTCGTATCCTTCAATCCAAGCAAATTGACACTCAGTACTAACCATCACGATAAGAATATGAACAGATCCTCAACATCACTCGTTATTAGGGAAATGCAACTTAAAATCACAAAGAAATAGTGCCACATATTTTTAAATGACTAAAATTTTTTAAAAACACTTGACAATACCAAGTGCTGGCAAAGATATGAAGCAACTGGAAAACTCTCATACATTGCTGGTAATAGTATAACTACTCTAGAAAATAGTTTGGCAGTTTCTTACAAAGTTAAATACCTAGATATTGGTGTGTAAATGCCATTCTCCAATAAAAGAATTAAGACTCTTTGAATAAATGATTTATTTCAGTGTTGGGGTGGGAAAAATATGAGTTTGGAACATCCCATGATGCCACAAAGTTAGGAAGTTCTTAAGAAAAAAAAAATGGAGCCATATTTAAAAGACATAAGAACCAATCTGAAAGAGTTCCCAATTGCCAAAGCTTGAGCAGGTTGAGCAAAAAATAACAATAGTATTGAAGTGTGACCGAAATGCAAAATATAAAATAAAAATCCATGAGTGCATAAGAATACAAATAAATGTTTGATTAAGTAACTAAATGGGAGAGGAGGAATAATTTTTTCTTAGAGAAGAATTCTAATTAATAAAGGTGAAAGGAAAGAGGAAAACAAAAAATTATAACACCACAGTAATGTTAATTGCTGCAGGCAGCATGCCGTCATGAATACTCAAATCAGTGGACAAGAGTTTTAGGAAAAACAAGATATTTGCATAGCTTCAAAATATCTCCTACAGAATATTTCTGTGTTGGTTTTTAAAATAATGTCCACAAATTCTTTAAGAGTTCTCCTCTGGGAGGTAAAGTCTAATTCATCTCCCTTGAGTGCGGGCCAGACTTAGTGACTTACTTCTAATTGATAGAGCACAAAAGGAAAAAAAAGAGTAACTTTATGGCCGAGAGACCAGTCAGATACCACCTTAACTAAGTGATCAAGTTAACATCGCCAGTAAAAGTCATTGACATCATGGGTCCCTGCAGTCAGAGGGGCACATCATCTCTGTGGTACTCTTCCCAAAAATCCATTAACCCAGGCTAATAATGAGAAAACTAAGACAAACCCAAATCAAAGAATACACTGCAAAATACCTGACCAGGACTCTTCAAAACTGTCAAGGTCATAAAAGAAAAGGAAAGACCAAGAATTTGTTTTGAATTGGAAGAGATGAAGGAAACAATGATGAATTACAATGTGGTATTCTGGACTGGGTCTCGAAACAGAAAAAGAGGACGTTAGTGGAAAAACTGGAAAAGTCCAAATGAAGCCAAAAATTGAGCTGATAGTATTGTAACAACGCCAATTTCCTTCGTTAGATCATTGTAGCATGATTATGTAAGATGTAAGCATTAGTGGAAGCTGGGTGAAGGGTGTATGAGAATTGTCTGTACTATCTTTATAACTCATCTCTATGTCAAAAGTTATTTCACAATAATAAGTTAAAAATATAACCAAATAAACTGGACTTTTAAAACCTATTCCCTATGTCCTTAATGGGTCAGAGTTTTCTTCATGAGCGTTCCTTAATTATTAGGTTGATGTAAAAGCAATTGTGGTTTTTGCCTTTTTTTAAAAGTAATGGCAAAAACCACAATTACTTTTGCACCAACCTAATATTAGAAATACCCACTCAAATACATCCAAGATGTATTTAGGAAACTGAAGGTGCCATTTAGGAACTGGTCCAACAGTGTTACTTTAAGAAGATCAAGAAAATGTGGCACATATACACCATGGAATACTATGCAGCCATAAAAAAGGATGAGTTCATGTCCTTTGTAGGGACATGGATGAAGTTGGAAACCATCATTCTCAGCAAACTATCGCAAGAACAAAAAACCAAACACCGCATTTTCTCACTCATAGGCGGGAATTCAACAATGAGAAGACTTAGACACAGGAAGGGGAACATCACACACCGGGGCCTGTTGTGGGGTGTGGGGAGGGGGCAGGGAAAGCATTAGGAGATACACCTAATGTAAATGACGAGTTAATGGGTCCAGCAAACCACATGGCACATGTATACATATGTAACAAACCTGCACGTTGTGCACATGTACCCTAGAACTTAAAGTATAATAAATAAAAAAAAGAAAAAGAAAAGATCATCTTTTCACCCAGAAAGGTTATTTCATCCCCCCTCAGATCGCCCCTGGAAATTTCCATGAACAAAACTCTTTCCATTGCAGGAAGCACCTCTTTCATAAGCTGTGGCAAGCAGAGCATCTTCTGAAATGCCTTTGGTGATGTCTGTGGTCCCAGCTCCTGCCCACAGCCTCTGCAGCACCCTACACTGTGAAGCCAGACCCTGTCTGAGCTCTTTCTCATCTGGCTGCTCTGTCTCTGCTTCCCCTTCCTTTGTTCCCCTCTGTCACCCACCAGTGTTTCTTACACAGATGTTCTCTACAGTCTGCTGTGTTCTCACTGAACCTCACTGTTTATGCTCTGACACTTGATTTAGGCATAGGACCTGCAGATTTTCAAATTTGAGGAGACGTGGAACTGCCATTCCTCCTCATGTCTCTCATAAAGAGCTTCTCTGAGCTGAAGGTCTTCACTAAGGCCATATATCAACCCAGCAAGTATCTATGTACTGCCTCCTGGGTGTCTGGCATGGGCTAGGGGCTCAGAGTGGGATACATGGATAAACAAATCAAATGAGGAAAGACGCAACAGCCTCTGAAGGGACCATGTCCTGTTTCTCCTCCCACTCTTGGAAGCCTGGATCAGCAGAAGTAGGGGAAAGCCAGTGGCAAGAAAAATCCTCTTTAAAACCAAACTGGAGGTCCTGAGATACTCCAGGCCTACTTGTGCAAATGGGTAGAAACAAGCAGAGAGGAGCAGTTGTCTATTACGCTGTATTCAAGGGAAATATTTGTTCAGGAATAGTGATTTTCAAATGAGATGGTAAAATTCGTAACAACTCATCTAAAATCATTAATCAAGCCAGAAAACGTTTATGAGTTCTTGCCTTGTTTTTAAAAGGCTTTAAGTAAAAACCAAATGTTATAAAGATTTTCTGAGACTTCTCACCCACCAACTTTCTCTTTATTAGAATTATTACTTCATCATTATTTTAAAGTTACATACATTCATAAAAATTAATTTACCCTGAAATGAAAAGTCCATTTTATCATTATGTGTCCTATGCTTGCGTTTTAAAATCAGAAAAAAATTCCTTAAGATAAAAGTGATTCTTTTTTCCTTTCTTTTTGTTTTAATATTCCAAAATTGGATGAATTGGGACATTGCTTTTATTCTCAGGTTCGCTAGCTTACCTTGCTAGGAACTAGGGAGTTTTACCTTCAACTCTTATTTTCCTAGTTTTGCTTAAAATGAAAGGTGAATATGTGTGTGTGTGTGTGTGTGTGTATGATCTTTTATGTATAATTAAATTTATTACCTCTCAAGTAATCTACTTTGAAAAGAGAGTCCTATCTCTTAAAAATCAGTGTCTTCTTGCTTTATTGATTTTTCTTTAGAGGGTGGGGACATAAAAGGCTACCAGGAAAAAAATGTCATAGTGGAATCAACCCTGCATTTAGTCTTGGGCACACAAAAGAATCCACAGGTCTAGGTAGCATAACATGGTGGATAAGAGGAGGAACTCTGCGACCAGGTGACTTGGGTTTGAATCCCAGTTCTATCACGCTCTAGTTGTGTGATGTTGGCCAAGTTATTTAACCTCTGTATGCCTTAGTTTCTTCATCTGCAAAATGGAGGTAATAGAAGCACATGCTCATAAGGTTGTTGTGAGGTTTAAATGTAGTAATTATAAATAAATCATTTGAAAATTTCTTAGCACAAAATGAGAAGTGCGTGTGTGTGTGTGTATGTGTGTAGCAGTTTTTATTTTCAATCATTTTCTGCAGTCACAAGTGAAAGTAAGTTAAATGATGACTCAGTTAACCAATGTTCAAATTAACTGATGCTACCAAAGAACACGGACCTCAGTACCATGTTAGCTGCTTTTAAAGAGTCTACTCAAGCGCTTCCCTGGGCCTCATTATTGAACCACTACCAACATGTTCAAAAATAGAGAGAGGATTAGAAACCAAATCCTTCCAACATTTGCATCTCTAGATGTAGAGCTAAGAATTCTGAAATAAACAAATGCAGTGAATTTGGAAATGATACATCAATTGCTTCCTCCTATGACATCAATACTGGGAGTTATCAAGAGTCTGCCCATCAAATGCTAGGGAGATGTTTTCCTCCAGACACCAAAGAGAAGCAACAGCTCAGAATGACTAAACTCTGCGATCCTGCAGAAAGTGAATTGTCGCCATTTCTCATCACCTTAATTTTAGCAGTTTTACTTGCTGAATACCTCATTGGTATCATTGCAAATGGTTTCATCATGGCTATACATGCAGCTGAATGGGTTCAAAATAAGGCAGTTTCCACAAGTGGCAGGATCCTGGTTTTCCTGAGTGTATCCAGAATAGCTCTCCAAAGCCTCATGATGTTAGAAATTACCATCAGCTCAACCTCCCTAAGTTTTTATTCTGAAGACGCTGTATATTATGCATTCAAAATAAGTTTTATATTCTTAAATTTTTGTAGCCTGTGGTTTGCTGCCTGGCTCAGTTTCTTCTACTTTGTGAAGATTGCCAATTTCTCCTACCCCCTTTTCCTCAAACTGAGGTGGAGAATTACTGGATTGATACCCTGGCTTCTGTGGCTGTCCGTGTTTATTTCCTTCAGTCACAGCATGTTCTGCATCAACATCTGCACTGTGTATTGTAACAATTCTTTCCCTATCCACTCCTCCAACTCCACTAAGAAAACATACTTGTCTGAGATCAATGTGGTCGGTCTGGCTTTTTTCTTTAACCTGGGGATTGTGACTCCTCTGATCATGTTCATCCTGACAGCCACCCTGCTGATCCTCTCTCTCAAGAGACACACCCTACACATGGGAAGCAATGCCACAGGGTCCAACGACCCCAGCATGGAGGCTCACATGGGGGCCATCAAAGCTATCAGCTACTTTCTCATTCTCTACATTTTCAATGCAGTTGCTCTGTTTATCTACCTGTCCAACATGTTTGACATCAACAGTCTGTGGAATAATTTGTGCCAGATCATCATGGCTGCCTACCCTGCCAGCCACTCAATTCTACTGATTCAAGATAACCCTGGGCTGAGAAGAGCCTGGAAGCGGCTTCAGCTTCGACTTCATCTTTACCCAAAAGAGTGGACTCTGTGACCAGCACCCAAGAAGACCACAGGACCTGGCCTTACCAGCTCTGCCATTCCCTCACCTAGACCTCTCTTTTCTCTCTTCTTTTCTTCTCCAACCCTCATCTGACCCTTTTCGCCTGATGTGGCTTTTTATATAGGAAATTGATCATTTCTTTTTTGCTTCATGGGTACAATCTTAGTGGTACTGTCATATTCTTTACCTGAGCCCTCTACCTCCCCTTGCTCTGTTTAAAGCAGTGATTCTAAGCACTGGCTACCCATTAGAATCTCTAGGTTGATTTTTGAAAATACCAATGTTCAAACCCAATCTCAGATCTATTAAGTCAGAATTTCTAGTGTTAGAACTCACACAATTTTCTAAGATCTCCAGGTGATTCTGCTGTGCAGCAGGGTTGTATAGCCACCAAAATAGAAGAATGTTCTGAAACTAGTTCCTGACAACTCTCTTTCTCCCTCCACATGCCTTTTAAACACATTTAGATAACTTGGGAAGTTTTCTGAGCAGAAGTTTGAAATGCATTTTGTCTCCATCTTTCAAAGATATAACCAAAATAATGTGGAACTATTTATCAAAATTAATAATGCATAAAACACCTTTCATCCTAAAAATTACTAAGAATTTTTTCTAAGCATGGTTTTGTATAAATAAGCAAAAATATGTGCAAGAGGCTCTTCACAGCTGCACTGTTCATGAATGACGGGAATTGAATGTCTGAAATGAATATTATGTTAACCTTTTTTAAATGAGATAGATGCATGCTTCCTGAGATGAAAAGATTTCCAATACACAGTGCAAAAAGCAAGGAGATATTTTATGATTCCATCTGTATTTCTTTTTTTCATAATACTTATATATTTGTATGTATATATATGTACATGCAAAGTTTCTGGACAAATATACCAAAAATAATTCACAGAGGGCTTCTGAGTGGTGTCACTGGGTATCTGGGGAATAAATGAAATATTTACCGTTTATTTTATGCCTTTATGCATTGTTTGAATTACTTAGAACATGTATTCACTAATTTTAAAATTTTAAAAGATTTATATTGATTTTTATTAGAAAGAGAATTGGTAAGTAAAAAAGATTTGAGAGAAAGGATAGTGCACATTATTTTGTTGATTGGCTCTCTCACTATTGGGTTTTATTAAAAATGCAAACAAATCACAAATTAAACATCACAGGCTTTCAATCCATTGACACCTCTATATTCTCTGTCCCTCTATCAGGCCTGTCCTCTCTTCCTTTCATATTCAATTTGGATTACTGGTCAATCATTATACTCACCCTTCAAAAATAGCTTCAATATTTACAGATGAAATGAGCTGTATCTGTGATTTGCTTTGAATTAATCCAACATAGGACAAAGGAGTAGAGAACGGGGTGGTTTGGGTTATTCTTATGCTAATGTTTTTTTAAACAAGGCTTCAGGCATGTGGAGTTCTTTCTACTATTCTATTTCAGAATATGTTTGAGAATTTCCCTAATATAGCTTTTATATAAATAAATCATACAATATTCTAAATTCCTGACCCTTCTAAATGTGAAATAATCCCACATTTAAATGACTATTTAACATTCTGTGTTTGCTTCTAAGCAGCTGAGTGTTACTTGAGAGTATTTCAGAACTGGATGAGTTCATGTTCCTACAAATTCATGCTATTCAGCCTCAAACGAGTAACTTCATTGAGCATTTCCATCCCATATTTCCCTAGAGAAGTCACTCATTAAAGTCCCCACAATGACTATCTCACATCTTTTTCTCAGTCTCCAAACCTTCAGCCTCTCTTCTCCCTGACCCATTTCAGCCCTTAAAGTCTTTGTCAGGCAACATTTGAAGGACAATCCTCTTTTTCCCATTAGTGAATCTACTAATCCACCAATTTCTGCCTATATCCCCAATATTCAATAGAAAGGGTGCCAGTCAATGAAAAAAAATCATTAGACATGTTTTAACTATGTTCTACTCCCTCTATATTTTTTCCTCCTCCAAGTTTCATTTTTCTATGTGTTTCAGTTTGTTTTCTCTCGTGATCGAGTCTTTCCTTAAACATCCGATGATCCTTGAATGTCAGCGCTAAAAAGTCGACTGCCAAATTTTAAAAATTCATTTTAAAATATCTTTTAGAATATAAAAACTATGTTGAAACATCTATGTGAGTGGTCGCTCAAAAGTAGAACATGCAAACTTGGATTCTTAATTTTCCCCTTGAAACACATTTCCTTTTCAGTTTTCTCCAACTCATTAAATAGTGCCACATTATTTCCACTGGTGAAGTCAGAATGCTAGGAACCACCATGGATGTGTCTTCTGTCTTACTCACTTCATGCAACTCATCAGTAAGTCCCATGTTTCTGTCCTGTGACGTGTATAAGTAGAGGATCATTCAGTTATTAGTTGAACAAGTATTGGCTGAACACCAACTATATGGCATATTCTATTCCAGTTGCTATGTATACAATGAACAGGGCTCTTGTCATCATGGATCTTCTAGTCTAGTGGGAAAGCATTGGTAATAAAACCTAGAATGAATAGCACATCATGGTGGTGGTGTTAGATCAGCCCAGTCAGGAAAGGCCTAAATGAGTAAATAAGATATAAAGAGGTAATTGTTAAAAATATAAATCTAGGCCAGGCGCCGTGGCTCACGCCTGTAATCCCAGCACTTTGGGAGGCTGAGGCGGGTGGATCACGAGGTCAGGGGTTCGAGACCAGCCTGGCCAACATGGTGAAACCCTGTCTCTACTAAAAATACAAAAATTAGCCAGGCGTGGTGGTGGGTGCCTGTAATCCCAGCTACTCAGGAGGCTGAGGCAGGAGAATCGCTTGAAACCAGAAGGCAGAGGTTGCAGTGAGCGAAGATCACACCACTACACTCCAGCCTAGGCAAAAGAGCAAAACTCCATCTCAGAAAAAAAAAAAAAAAAATATATATATATATATATATATATATATATATATATATATATATATATATATAAATCTAGATAGAGGAATAAGTTCTAGAGTAGCACTGTAGGGTGACTTATAGTTAACAATAATTTACTGTGTATTTTCAAATTGCTAGAAGAGAGGATTTTGAATGTTTCCAACACAAAGAAATGTTTGAAGTGATAGATATGCAGATTACTCAGATTTGATCATCCCACATGGTATACATGTACCCAAATATCACTGGGTCCTATTAATATGTACAATTACTACATGTTAACTAAAAATAAAACAAAATTATAAAAATAAAAAATTATAAATATAAACCAAACATTTAGGATAATTACGAAATAAATCTAAGGAAATCAGAACATATTAAATATTGATTTGATAAATAAAATATAAAAAAGTTAAAACGGATACAAAACTGGTTCATTGAAAAGAGGCAGTAAAATTGGCATCATTAGCTTACATAATCAAGAAAGAAAAAAGGCATAAATACACAAAATAAGACATGAAAGAAAAATAACTACAAATCAGAGAAATTGCAGTACTTTTAAGAAACTATTTTGTTTAACTCTATGCTAGAGTTTGAAAACGTAGATAAGATAGATGTTCCTAGAAAAATATAATTTACTAAAATTGACTTCAAGAAAATCTAAGCAGAATAATCATCACAGTTGAGCTAGAGAAAGTTGTGAAGAGCCACTCCTCAAATAATGCTGGCACCAGATGTTCACAAGGGAATTCTATCAACTTTTTAAAAGCAAATAATATGAAGTCTATGTAAATTGTTTCACAGCACAAAAGTTAAAGGAAGCTTCCAAATTTGTTTTGTGAAATAAATATAATTTAGATATCAAAACCTAACAAAAATTGTCTCCCAGAAAACTACAAATAAACCTCACCTCACTTATCAGTGTTTATACAAAAATACTAAATAAGATTTAGTATTAAATTTAAATCTAGAATACAGGTTTATTTCATAAAAGTAAAGATGGTTTAATATTAGAAAACATATCAATATAATTAACCATATTAATAATACTAAAGAGACAAATCATATAATAATGTTAAGTGCTGAAAAATAAAATTCAAGAACCATTCCTAATTATTAAAAAATCTTACAATAAAAATAGATGATTTCCTAACATGATAAAATATATCTATCTCTTAATAGCTAGCAAGCATCATTCTTTTTTTTTTTTTTAGACGGAGTCTCACTCTGTTGTCCAGGCTGGAGTGCAGTGCGATGGCACAGTCTTGGCTCACTGCAAACCTCTGTCTCCCAGGTTCAAGCAATTCTCCTGCCTCAGCCTCCCAAGTGGCTGGGATTACAGACATGAACCACCGTGCCTGGCTAATTTAACAGCTAGCATCATTCTTAATGAGAAAACATTATTATTTCCATTAAATTCAGGTAAAAAGACAAAGATGTTTACCCTCACCCTATTAACTGATGTTAACCCTAGATAAGTATCCAGTACAACTAGAAGAAGTGAAATTAATTTAAAGGATTTTAAAAAATTGGAAGTTTCCTGGTGGAGTATCTTATCTGCAGATGGTTATATAAATAAAAAACCCAAGAGAAGCAACTAAAATATTATTCTAAATAACAAAAGCATGAAATATGGAAGGAAAAAAATAAACAGCAACAAAAAATAAGATACTAGAGCAATAAAGTTAACAAAAAATGAGCACGACTGAAACAGGAAATTTTCCCTGACCCCTTCATAGGCCTCACAAAGGGAGTTGCTCGTTTATTCAGCCTGCAGCTCTCAAATCCTTTGTAGGAGGGGAGGCATGCAGGTGAGTGGGTGCAGGGACCAGGAGGAGTTCTGGATGCCGGCAGGAGCAGAACTCCTTGCGGCCCCACAGCAGCATCCAGCGGGGTACCCATGACCCCTGGAGCCCCAGAGGGCATGTGTTACTGTGCTCTTATAGCTTTGCTATCCATGTACGGCTTTAGTGTTTAACAGCTCAGTGTGATAGCCCTCTGTATCTCAAGCTCTTGTTGGGCATCCAGGAAGAATCAGGTCGCAGGAACAAACTGAACATGGTAAATGCAGGGGATTTTATTGCTGATAAAAGTGGTTCTCAGTGGGATGAAGGGCTTGGAAGTGGATAGAGCAGGAAGGGGGTCTTCCTCTGGAGTTAGGCCATCTCTTCTCCAAGGTCCAGCTATCAAGCCGACCCTCTGAAGTCAAGCTGCTTCTTGCCAATGTTAAGCTGCTTTTTCTCTTCTCTCCTCTGATGCTCTGCTGCTAGTGGAGCCTGGGGTTTTTATGGGCACAGGATGTGGGGGGCGGGGGTGGAGCAGGCCAGGGTAATTTGGAAGAGGCAACATTTAAGCGGGAAAACAGAAATGCATGTTCTCACTTTGGGCTGTGAGTCCAGGCTTGAGGGTGGGGCTTCAAGAAGGACCCGCCCTTTTCTACCTAATATTTCGCTGCCTCCTGTCCATATCACAATCTATATGAAGACTACTTTTAAATGCTTCAGATATACACACAGAAGACTTGAACAGGAGAAAGGCTACCATGCTATTGAGTGGAAAATGTCAATGTCATCAGATACAACATTTCCCTAAATGAATCTACATTTACTGTAATTTGACACAAATGCCAAAAATTTTTTAGACAGATAATAAACATAATCTGGAAAAAATGAAGCAAGAATGGCCAGAAACATTCTGAAAATGAAAAAGTAATGAGGGAGGACTAACCCCATGAAATAACACACATGTTATGAAGCTGAAAAACACAAAATAGTGTGACAGTGGAAATCAATACTCAATAAAACAGAGTAGACATCCAGAAAAATGAGAATTTAGTATATGGTAAAAGTGGTATTAGTAAAGGAATAATGGATTATTCAATAAATTATGTTAGAACAACTAGCTAGCAAAGTGGAAAAAAATTTTGGATGTCTCTCTCACATCTTATACTAGGCCAAATAAATCAAATAATTCATGTTTTTATTTAAAAAAGGAACTATTAAATATTAGAAGAAATTTTGGAGATTTCAAAGTTAATTTTAGAGTTGAGAAGACCCTTCTAACCATGATAAGTGAAAAAACAAGCATAAAATGATTTATTTAATCTGGTTACATAAAGTAAAAAGATACTACATGGCAAAAACTACCTAAGCAAAGTCAAAGACAAACAAGAAACTGGGAAATAATATTTGCCACTCACATTCCAGATAAAGATTAATTTTCTGAATATATTAAGAGCTCATACAAATCAATAAGAACAATTACTGAAGTTAAAAATTGGCAAAGGATATGAACTGATAGTTAGAGAAAATGAAATAAAGGTGGCTTTTAAGAAATTAAAAGCTTATAAAATGTGAAAAGGTATTTAAAAATTAAAATTAAAAATCATCCATTATCCTTCAACCCAGAGACAACTTTTAAAGCGTGTGTGTCTGTGTGTGTGTGTGTGTGTGTGTGTGTGTGTGTGTAGTTTAACAAAACTGGGTTCATACTAAAGTTTTTGTAATCTTTTGTTTTCATATAACATTTAGATGATTTTTCCAATTCATTAAGTTGCTTTCAGAAGTTTGTTTAAAAAATTTAAAGGATGCTCAGCCTGATTTACTACAAGAGAAATAGAAATAAGAACTACTCTGAGATGTACTTTTTCACCTATCAGATTAACAAAGATCAAAAAGTTTGAAAACACACTGTGCTGATGATCATAGGGACCAGGTGAGCTCATAAATGATGGAAGTGTTAATTGCTACTGCCTCAAGTACAGTTTAGTAATAGCTATGAAAATCATGGTGGTACATACATTCACTCAAGAATTTTACATGAGCGAAACAAGAATACATATACTTGAACACATAAAAGATAACATATGTACACAGGTTACATGTTACAGCATTGTTTATAATAGAAAAAATAGGAAAATCATAGGATATCATCAATACAAATTGATATCAATACAAAGGTTCAGTGTAAGAAGCTATAGAAAGAAAATATTAAAAGAGGCACAAGAAAGAGAAAGATAGAAAGAGAAAGGAACCAAATGTATTTATGTGTTTGGAATGGCTTCCAAATGTATTATTAGGCGCAAAAAAAAAGCAATGCATTTAATATACTATCATTTGCATTCAATACTGTTGTTAAAAATAATTAAATACATGTGTGCTTGCATATACACTAATTTTCTCTGGAAGAATACAATAAGAAATTAATAATATTGTTTTCTTAAAATAGAGTTAGAAAATGGGAATTTTTTTTTCTGAGACAGTCTTGCTCTGTTGCCCAGGCTGGAGTGCAGTGGCATGATCTCAGCTCACTGTAACCTCCTCCACCTCCTGGGTTCAAGCAATTCTCCTGCCTCAGCCTCCCAAGTAGCTGGGACTACAGGCACCTGCTACCACGCCTGGCTAATTTTTGTATTTTCAGTAGAGATGGTGTTTCACCATGTTGGCCAGGCTGGTCTCAAACTCCTGACCTCGTGATCTGCCCGCCTTGGCCTCCCAAAGTGCTGGGATTACAGGCGTGAACCACCGCGCCTGGCCCGGAAATATTTATTTATGTTTTCTTCCACAGATGTAAATTATGGACTGGGAGACAAGAAGCAGGAAGAAGACTTTTTACTGTATACATTTTGTATCTTCTGAATTTTCAATGATATTACCATATAATCTATTCAAGAAATGAATACATAGAAAATCTGAGCTGTTTTGTCATAAAGACATACCCAAGACTGGGTAACTTGTAAAGGAAAGAGGTTTAATTGACTCACAGTTCCATATGGCTGTGAGGCCTCACAATCATGGTGGAAGAGCAAGGGACATCTTACATGGCGACAGGCAAGAGAGAGCCTGTGCAGGGGATCTCACCTTTATAAAACCATCAGATCTCGTGAGACTTATTCACTATCACGAGAACAGCACGGGAAAGACCTATCTCCATGATTCAATTACCTCCCACTGGGTCCCTCCCATGACACAAGGGAATTGTGGGAGCTACAATTCAAGATGAGATTTGGGTGGCGATACAGCCAAACCATATCAGTGCTACTAAATCTTGAGAATTTAGTCACACCTATTATAATGCTAACAACACCCACTGCCATCCTGTGTGTTTCTAGAACTTTGTTTTGTTTCAGCCACAAACATTTTTTTCGTATCTGGTCAAGAATTGTATACACTATGCAATGGTGAGTCTCAGGCAGCCAGGAGTACTCTCAATGTGTGCTAACTTGAATTAAGGGAGGACATATTTCTGCGGCCCAATAAATTTAAGAAATGCTCTCTTGAGCCCCAGTAAACAGGTTTCTATATAATAAACAAAATGTTGCTAATTCACCATCAGCATTGGAATGATAAACCCTAGCAAGCTGACCCTTTCATTTCTATTATACGTGTGATAACATAAAATCTCCCATATCACCAGCCATTTAGCAGAAAGAATTTCTCCTACTTGGCACTAGACCAAGAGTAACAACCTACAGTTGGGTTGAAAAGGCCAGATAGAGGTACCTGTAAAAAAAAAGACTAAAGACAAACTGAAAACAAAATGCTGAGGAAACAGTAATTAAGAAAGTGCTCTGAGAAGAAAATTAGGTTGAATCTTAGAGAAAATTGAATTAACAACAAAAGTAGCAGCAACAACAACCAAATAACCACAGAGCAGAAAGTGTCTACAAGCAAGGAATGGTAACAGTAGTTAAATTCAAGTTAAAGTTCTAAGTCTCTGCCATCTACTCTGTTTATTCTTGAGCAAAAAACTAACCTATGCAAATCTTAATTCTCTCATCTATAAAATGAGGAGGATAATAATGCTGATCTCACAGGAGGGTCCTGAACAATAATTAAAATAATATATATATAGCAAATGGCTGATACAAGCTGGCCGTACCTGTTATTGAAAGCAGCTGTATCGGGGTAACAACTAATGTTGAATCACCAGTCTCCAGAACTTGACCTATGATAAATTTTCCAAACAAAACTTATTTTACCCTCTATTCCCCTCTGCAAAGTACTAGGTGGAACTCTTCTGAAATAGAGGCACTATTTCTTTTTTCTCTTCAGGAAATTGCAGTGATTCTTCTTAAGGGTCTCATTTTCTGAACTTTAATGTCCATGGACTTCTAAGAGGAGATAAATAAAAGCAAAAGAGCAAAAGGCAAGAACAATCCTGAAACTCTCAAGTCAAGAAACAGATGCTACAGATCGTTTTAATCAATTCTGGGTAGGTTCTGGGCATCAGGCTTCTGACTTGGAGTGGAAAGGGCCCCAGAAGGTAGACCTTCCTAAAAGGAAAAAGGTGAATGGAACTGCCCCCATTTCTAAACTAATCTCTAAGACAGTCTGTAAACATGGACACCTGTTGGGGGTCCTCACTGGACCAGTGACTTATCTGTGTTAGCCATTGTTCCTCAGATCCACCATCCTTAAAAGCTAACAACAAGTAATAAGACATTTTGTTGACACCCTTTCACAGCCTTCCAGGAAGAAACATGTCTGTTCCAGGTGTGTTAGACAAACAACATTATTATCTTTCATTTGATCCCTAGTGAGGATTTTGTTGTTGTTTAAAAAAATAAAGTATTTGGTATTCAAATAATGGCATGCTTCCTTGTACATTAACAAAATGGATTTTGAATAATATACTGGATGCAGAGGAAACAGGTAAGTGTACTTTGTAAATGCTTTTTCCTGTCTCATCATTCTCAGGGGCTGAAAACATTAAGTCAACAACTGTCAAAACATTGCCACAGACAGCTGGAAGTAGAGCATTAAAGCCATCGAAAACCACCTGGGAGAAAATATTTATGGGAAATGATGAGATTTCTTAGCAAGCAGCTCCCAATCATTTTAGTAACAGGTAATTTGGTGAAAACATGTCACATGTCACAATTGTTTGCTACTACTTTCTCGTAATGTTGAGAGGTTTTATTTTCTTGTGAAATAGCCTGATGAGTAGAAAGTTAAAATTGTCATAACTCAAATTCTCATGTAAGGCCTTTTTAAAAAATGGATTGGGAAGACTTACAAAAACATAATAATATTACTCATTTTTAAATCTTCTCCCTAAAAAAATACAGAAGCAAAATTGGTTGTTTCAAAATGATGAAACTTTCAAAATTATTATTATCAAAGTAATACTGGTTTCTGGGGGAAAAAATTAAACGCTAAAAAAGGTGTTTTGTGAAAAGCAGCAGTCTCCTGTCTCACCCCAATTAACATTTCCAAAAGCAACATTTCTATCAATTTCTGGCATTAGTTTTTGTGGTGGTTACTCTCACAATTCCAAATACATACACATATACATGTATGTGTATTTTTTGTCCATTTGTAAATAATATTCATTGACATATCACTATAAAAAGTGGGAATTTCTTTTTCTGGCTGGGTGCTGTGGCTCACACCTGTAATCTCAACATTTTGGGAGGCCGAGGCGGGAGGATTCTTTGAGGCCAGGAGTTTGATACTAGCCTGGGCAACATAGCGAGATCCCACCTCTATATTTTCTTTTTAAGTGAGAATCTGAATGTCACTTACATTACTCTCAAACTATTGACCCTGTCCTCTTCTAAAATTTTGAGTTGTATTACTATTTTCAGCTCTTGTTTTCATTGCCTTTAAATTGTTAAGTGATAATTTTAAGTTTTCATTTCTATTCAAGTATTTATACTCAATGCCCATAAAATGCACTTTATAAAAAGAGTATATTAGCTCTCTACCCTTCCTTCAAACACCTTCCCTTTTCCACCTTATAACTTCTGAAAGCAATATGTTCCTTCTGAATTGTCATATGCTTTTCTATAACTATAGTTCAGTCTTCTATGCTTTATTTATAAGTTGATTTAAATATGGAAAACCAATAAATAGCATTTCTAATATTGTGGCTAAATATTGTTCAACTCAAATAGAAAACTGTTTCCCATTAAGGTCAATGACACAATCCATAGACCCAAATCAAAGGAGAATATTTCCACAATAAAAGTCAAATGTGTTTTATAGTTTTCTGTGTACAAGTCCTTCAACTTCTTTTATAAGTTTATTCCTAAGTATTTCATTATTTTTGATGTGATAATTTTTGACAGTTTTTTAAAATTTCATTATCAGATAGGTCATTTTTGGTGCAAATAAACAGTACTGATTTTGTATATTGGCTTTGTATCTTGCAACTGTACTGAATTTGCTTGTTCGTTCTAACAGATTTTTGTAGTCTTTAGACTTTTCTACATATAGGATTATATCATCTGCACACAGAGATAGTTTTATTTCTTCCTTTCCAAATTGGATGCCCTTTATTTCTTTCTCTTGCCTAATTGCTCTAGGAAAGACTTCTAATACTATGTTGAATAGCAGAGGCAAGAGTGGGCAACCTTGCCTTGATCTTGACAGGAATAGCTGTCAGCTTTGAGCTATGAGCTTATCATGTGATATATGGCCTTTATTATGTTGGGGCAAATTCTTTTTATACATAATTTGTTGAAAGTTTTCATCATGAAAGAGTGTTGAATTTTGTCAAATGTTTTTCTGCATTGGCTATGATGATGATATAACTTTTATTCTACATTCTGTTAATGTAATGTATACATTTATTGATTTGCATAGGTTGAGCTATCCTCGCATCCCAACAATAAATCCCAGTTGATCATGGTGTTTTCAATGTGCTACTGACTTCATTTTGCAGTATTTTGTTCTGGATTTTTGCATGTATGTTCATCAGGGATATTGGCCTGTAGTTTTCTTTTCTTATGGTGTCTTTGGTTTTAATATCAGGATAATGCTGACCTCATAAAATTAGTTTAGTACTGTTTCTTCTTCTATTTTTTAGAAGAGTTTTTAAAGGATTTTGTTTATCTTATCATTTTTATCTTTTCAAAAAACAAACTCTTAATTTCATTAAGTTGTTTTAAAATATTTTCTATTTTATTTATTCCATCTCTAATCTTATTATTTCTTTCCTTTTATTAACTCTAGTAAAAACTTAGTTTAGGGCTTAGTTTGTTCTTCTTTTTCTAGTTCCCTGAAGGGTAAATTTAGGTTTTTAATCTGAGATTTTTTTTTTAATGTAGATGTTTATCACTGTAAACTTCTCTCCTGCTGCTTTTACTGCATCCCATAAGTTTTAGTATGCTGTCTTTCCATTTTATTTGTCTCAAAGTAGTTTTTTTAATTTTCCTTTCGATTTATTCTTTGAAACATTGATGAAAGAAATTGAAAAAGTCACAAATAAATGAAAAGACATTTCTTCATGTTCATGGACTGGAATAATTAATGTTGTCAAAATGTCCACAATATCCAAAGTGATCTACAGATTCAATGTAATCCCATCAAAATTGCAATGGCATTTTTATAGAAATAGAAAAAAATCTAAAATTTACGTGGAACCATAAGATGCCCCTAGTAGCCAAAGCAGTCTTGAGCAAGAAGGAAAAAAACAGAAGGAATCACACTTTCTGATTTCAAAATATATTAAAAAGCTATAGAAATCAAAACAATATGGCAGTGGCATAAAAACATACATATCAACCAGTGGAACAGAATGAAGTTCCCAGAAATGAATCCACGCATTTACAGTAAACTTATTTTTGACAAGAAGGGCAAGAATATACAATCAGGAAAGGATAGTATCTTCTTCAGTAAATGGTGTCAGAAAACTAGATACCCACATACAGTAAATAAAATTTGACCTTTATCATACACCATACCAAAAAAATCAACTTAAAATAGGTTAAAGATCTAAATGTAAGACCTGAAACAATAAAATTCAAAAAAAAAAAAAAGAAAGGCAAACCTTCTTGACGTTAGCCTTGACAATGATTTTTTGGATATGACACCAAAAGAATAGGCAACAAAAGAAAAATAGACAAATGACATTATATCAAATTAAAAACTGCACAAAAAAGAAAACAATCAGCAAAAGGGACAAGGCAACCTATTGAATAGAAGAAAATATTTGCAAAAGATATAGTTGATAAAAGACTAATATCCAAAACATAAGGAAGTCCTACAACTCAATAGCAAAATAGTAGCCTGATTCAAAAATGGGCAAAAGATTTGAATATACATTTCTTAAAACATCCAAATGGCCAAAAGGCATATGAAAAGGCGCTCAACATCACTAATCATCAGGAAAATGTAAATAACAATGATATATCACGTTAGAATGGCTGTTATCAAAAAAGAAAAAGTAGCAAATGTTGGTAGGATGTGGAGAAAATGAAACTCTTGTAGACTGTTGGTGGGAATGTAAATTTCTACAGTCACTATATGGAAAAAAAGTATAGTTGGTGGAAATGTAAATTGGTACAGACACTATGGAATAAGATCCCAAAAAATTAAAAATAGAACTACCGTATGATCCAGCAATCCTACTTCTTGATATATATCCAAAAGAAATGAAATCACTATCTCTATGAAGTATCTGCACTCTCATGTTCATTGCAGCATTATCCATAACAGCCAATACTGAAAACAACCTAAGTGTCAATTGACGGATAAATGGATAAAGAAAATGCAGTATTTATCCGTGTGTGTATATATAATATATATATGTATGTATGTATATATGCATACCACACACATACACTCACACTCAGTGGAATATTATTCAGCCTTATAATGAAGGAAATCCTATGACAGGCAACAAAATGGATGAAACTTGAGGATATTATGCTAAGTGATGTAAGCCAGACACAGAAGAACAAATACTACATGATCCCACTTATATTAGAAATCTAAAACAGTCAAACCCATGGAAGCAGAGAGTAGAGTAGTGGTTACTAAGGACTGAAGGAAGGAAGAATTGAGAAAATTTGCGTCAAAAAGTACAAAGTCTCAGTTATACAAGATGAGTAAGTCTTAGAGATCTGCTGTGTAGCACAGTGCATATAGTTAACAATCCTGTATTGTATACTACTTTCAAACTTGTTAAAAGGGAAAGTCTTATGTTAAATATCCTTATCACAAAAAAGGAGGGAAAAAACTTTTAGAGGTGACAGTTATGTTTATGGCATTGTTTATGGTGATGGTTTACATAGGTATATACTTGTCTTCAAACTCATCAATATATATACATTAAATATATACACCTTTTAGTATGTCAGTCACACCTCCAATTTTTAAAATCGAATGCATTTTATTTTCTTATTATCCATCATTGACTCAGTAGCATTCAAGAGGTTGGGTTTGTAATAATTCTACTCAGTTGCTTTATTTTACGTTGTTTGGATCCCTCCTCCAAAAAATATACACATATGTTTTACTGTCTCCTCATAGTAACTCAGCTTTGTAATCACACTACTACCAAGTAGATGTAATCCACTTTTTTTGCTCCAGGAGCACCGTTTTCAAAGCCCTTTATCCTCTTATTTCAGTCTCAACAATTGTGCCCTAATCCTGATTCACATTTGGAAATTCCTTCGCTGAATGTCTGAATTATATCCATTAACTATTTTCTAGATCTCATATCTTACCCTTCATTTATTTTCTCACTTTCTTACTGGAACACATCCTTAAGTAATTCCCTCAGAAAAGTGACCTGAGAACGTAAACTCTCTCAGTCCTTGAAAGTTTATAATATTTTTATTTTGCCCTCATTCTTGATTGGTAGTTTTGTTGAGTATATAATTTAGGTCTAAAATAATCTCCCTTAAGAACTTAAAATACATTTCATTATCTTCTAAGATTCCTTGTGTATTAGTCCATTCTCATGCTGCTATGAAGAAATACCTGAGACTGAGTAATTTATAAAGAAAAGAAGTTTAGTTAACTCACAGTTCCACATGGCTGGGGAGACCTCTGGAAACTTATAATCACGGTGGAAAGCACCCCTTCATAGGTCAGCAGGAGAGAGAATGAGTGCAAGCAGGGAAAATGCTAGACGCTTACAAAATCATCAGAGCTCATGAGACTCACTCACTGTCACGGGAACAGCATGAGGGAAACTACCCCCATGATCTAATCATTTCCCACCAGGTCCCTCCCATGACACATGGGGATTATGTGAACTACAATTCAAGATGAGATTTCGGTGGGGACACAGAGCCAAACCATATCACCTTGTTACAAATTGTTAATCTGAAAGCAATGTGTCTTTTTCATTTGTACATTTTCACATTCTTTTTCTCTAGAAGTTTTTAGGGTCTTCTCTTTATTTTTGGTGATTCACTAGTATTGTACAACTTCATATAACAGAAATCTAGCTACAGTGACCATATAATGACTAATATTTTTAATGTAACATGAAGTCTAGAGGCTGGACAAAATGCTCCACGCAGTCATGAAGGACCTAGGATCCCTCCTGTCCTACCACTCTTTTCTTGTCGCTTACTCTCTCGTTCATTGTCACAGATGGCTTCTCCACAATGAGGCATCACATTTTTTTTTCCACACAGGCTCACCCTCTGCCACCCAAGTTGGAGTGCAGTGGCATGATCTTGGCTCACTGCAGCCTCCACCTCCTGGCTCAAGCAATTCTCCTGCCTCAGCCTCCCAAGTAGCTGGGACTACAGGGATATGCCACCACGCCCGGCTAATTTTTGTATTTTTAGTAGAGACAGGGTTTTGCCATGTTGCCCAGGTTGGTCTTAAACTCCTGGGCTCAAGAGATCTGCCCACCTCGGCCTCTCAAATGCTGGGATTACAGACATAAGCCACTGCACCCAGCCAAGGCATCGCATCTACATTTAGAAGTGATGGTTATGTTTATGGCATTGTTTATGGTGATGGTTTACATAGGTATATGCTTGTCTTCAAACTCATCAAGATATATACATTAAATATATACACCTTTTAGTATGTCAGTCATACCTCCAATTTTTAAAATCGAATGCATTTTATGCAGACAGGCAGAGCTGGGTCACATGGACACCCCTGCAAGGAACTCTGTGTGATAAATGATTTTTCATTGTGCACACTTCCACACTAAACAAAATTGATGTTTTTTTCAGGAGAAAGGGGAGAATGAACATGTCTTAGTAAATTTGTAGTGAATGTTCCACTTGATGAAAATTATGTAAGACCAACTCTGGGCTTACCAATTAAAATAACATGTTTTTTGTCGGCACTGAAATTTTTTCTTCTATTTAAAAAAAAAAATAATGTTTTTCCCTCCATTGTCTCTAACTTCACTACCTAAAACTTCTTTCAGTCAGATCTTAGACCTCCTGGGTTAAACAACTGTGTCTCTCATCTTTTCCTTTATCTTTTTCATGATTGAGTTTTGCTCTGAATTCTGAGAGATTACCTTGACTTCATCTTGTTTTTACTATAATCATATATTGCCTGGATGTAATTTTAAATCATACTTTAAATATCTGAAAGCCTGTTGTGTCTTTTTTACTTTGTTTTTAATTGGCATTTAACAATTATTCATATTTATGAGGTATAATGTGATATTTTAATACATGTATAAATTGTGTAATCATCAAATCAGGATATTTAATATATCTATCTCCTCATATAATTATCATTTCTTTACAGTGAGAACATTCAAAATTTTCCTATTTTGATGTTTGTTTTGTTTGTTTGTCTGTTTGTTGGTTTGTCTATTGCACAGGCTGTAGTGCAATGGTGAAATCTTGGCTCACTGCAACCTCTGCCTCCCGGGTTCAAGTAATTCTCTTGCCTCAGCCTCCCAGGTAGCTGGGATTACAGGCATGCATCACCACGCCTGGCTAACTTTTGTATTTTTTTAGTAGAGATGGGGTTTCACCACGTTGGTCAGACTGGTCTTGAACTGACCTCAGGTGATCCACCCTCCTTGGCCTCCCAAAGTGCTGGGATTACAGGCTTGAGCCACTGTGCCCCACCTTTCTAACTATTTTGAAATACACAACATTGTTAACTAACATAGTCACCCTACTGTGCAATAGAACACCAGAACTAATTCCTCCTATCTAACTGTAACTTTGTAGTCATTGACAAATCTCTCCCCATTTGCCCCCTAATCTCACTATCTTCCCCAGCCTCTGATAACCACTATCCTACTCTCTACTTCTATGAGATCAACTTTTTAAGATTCCACATATTGGTAAGATCATGCAGTATTTGTCTTTTTGTGCCTGGATTATTTCACTTAAAATAATGTTCTCTAGGTTTACCCATGTTGCCACAAATGATAGTACTACAATTTTTTTTTTTTTTGAGATAGAGTCTCACACTGTTGCCCAGGCTGGAGTGCAGTGGCACAATCTCGGCTCACTGTAACCTCTACCTCCTGGGTTCAAGCAATTCTCCTACCTCAGCCTCCCAAGTAGCTGGGATCACAGGCATGCACCACTACGCCGGGCTAATTTTTGTATTTTTAGTAGAGACAGGGTTTCACCATGTTGGCCAGGCTGGTCTCGAACTCCTGACCTCAGGCAATCTGCCCGCCTTGGCCGCCCAAAGTGCTGGGATTACAGGTGTGAGCCACTGTGCAGGCCGTATTCCAGTTATTTTTTATGTCTAAATAGTATTCCACTGTGTATATATAAAACACATTTTCTTTCTCTATTCACCCATTGGTGAACACATAGGTTGATCCCATATCTTGACTCTTGTAAACAGTGCTGCAATAAACATTGAGAGTTCAGATACCTCTCAGTGATTTCCTTTGGACATATACTCAGTAGTGGGGTTGCTGGATCATATGGCTAGTTCTATTTTTAACTGTTGAGGAATTTCCATACTGTTTTCCATAATGACTTACTAATTTACATTTTCACCTTCTCATTTCTTAATTGTTTATTTTTAATAGCATCCTTCTCTTATTTTATGGAGGCAATATCTTCTGTGCCTCCTCTAAGGACACAAGCTTAAATTTTTTGTCTTCTTTGATCTTTATTTCTTCAGGGGTAATTCACTCTTGGTGTTTAGCTTGGTCTTTCTCTTTCAGGCTGTGGATTTTGTTCCTATTTCTGATCATCCTTGATTAGTAATTCATGAAGGAAAAGGAAAGGCTGTTTTGGGTAAGCAGGTATCATTCTCCAGTAGAACGGTCTCCTGAATGGAAAGGCTGATTGGAAGCTCTCTTTTGTAACTGGGCCACCTTGACAGGCTGGCTCCTCTTTTAGGTATGTGGGTGTGGAATCTGACATTAGCCTGGAAATTCAAAATGCCATAATAAAAAAAGGGTTTAATCTATGTGCAAATATCTGCACTTGAAGCCCTAGTTCTTCCTTGGAAATGTATTCAATTTTTCTAGAAAAGAATTCTCAATATGAAGGTTTTCGATGGTTCTGTATGCAGTGGCAAGGAAGGCACTGGAAAGCATCAATGATGCAGCTATATGGCAGACAGAATTTTAATGATGCCTCTGGTTTTTGCACAATGTCTCGCTCCTGCTATCCAAAGCTAGGAATCCGATAGCCAAGGCCCTCCAGGCTTCTAGCAGCCTGATCAGCCACCACATTCCCAGAGGCCCATGACATGCATATTCTGAGCATCCTTTACTCCACTTCATCTACAATATGCTTTTTCTGATTGTCCACAACCAAGAAATAGGATGAAATCTCCAGTCTGCTCTTGGCCATCCTCATTCCCTTCTCTTTAGTGTTATGATATTTTTTTCTCTATGGAGTCTCAGAAGAAAGGGAAGTAGTGAACACATTATTTAAAAAATCAAATCAAAACCTTATACATACTTTTTTTTTATCATACAAGAACCTCTGGGTCTATTTCAGAAGCTTAATATTTGGTGCCCAAAATATTTTATCCTGGACAATCTTATATTGCACAAATCTTAATTCAGAGTCATAAAAGTCCCCCAAACTGGCTTTTTAAGCTGGTGCATAAACCCCATTGATGATAGTCTTATCCTATTTTTGTTTATGCTCATGTGCTTTCTCACCTGTTAAGAAACTTGCTAATTCTATTATGCGACTCTCTGGCAAAGCTTATCAAAGCTTCAAATTAATTAAGCAGTGGCAGCTCCCAATTTCCTTTTCTTACTGGCAAAAATTTGTTTCACAGAAAATGTTTAGAAAGCTTAAGTTGGTAACAGCTGATTGTTGACCTGGAAATAAGAGGTCTTCATCAATATGTTAAGCGGTCAGGATACTTAAAGAAAAACATCTATGGAGACTTCTTAGCATGCACTCTAGGCAAATACTTGCTGTCCTTCACCATTATTTCAGGATTTTTTTTTCCTAAAAGCATAAGAACAAACACATAAATGATAAAAGCAGAATTTAGGCCAACTCTAGCTTGCCTGCCAAGTAGGTAAGATGCGGTGGCAGAATACTGGCTACACTTGTGCCTGTATCACCATGGAGACCCTACTCTGACCATCAAATAATGGGATTCTAATGAGGAATGCTGCTGAACAACAAGCATGGCTGAGCACAAAGACAGAGCTGCTGGCATTGGAACATGGGAGTGAGCAAGAAAGGGGCAGCCCAAGGGAGAAGAAAAGGTGACACTGAACGTAGGTGTCGTGATGAGAAGAAAATAGGTTGCAGGTGGTGACTGCCTGGAGACCAGCCCAAATCACCTTCCACCTTTACGTGGAATCCAGGCTCAAAGCAGGAGGGACAAACTTGAGTGGGATAAATGTGACATGAAATGAGTCAGTTTGCCCAGAATATGTTTTTACCTATGAGGTGGATTGCATGGGATGGGGGAGGGGGGCTTGTAGGCAGGAGGGGCTGGGTCATGGAAATTAAATGAATTACTTTCCTAATGTGCATTGTTGTTTTTTTTTTTTTTTACACAATTGGTTCACAAAATAAAAAATTAATCCTTACTTTATGTATGAGCTCATCTGGGATTTTGAAATAGCCTCCTGATGCACATCTGTACTTAGACCAATTCTAAATCCTGGACTAGAATTTTGAGTAAAATCATCTCCAGGCAAGAGCCAGGACCAGTGAGAGCTGAGAGGCTCAAGAAGTGATGAGAATAGATTAGATGAACCCTCACTGCTGATATCAGAATTAGAAATGAATTATAACAAGGCTGAGTTTCAAAGAGAAATGCCCAGGATGGGGTCAGGATGCACCTTTCTCTCTCTCCATACAAGCTCTCCCTGAGGGGTCTCCTCTATTCTAAGTGCTCAGGTCCCCTCACAAGCCAATGGCTTCCAAACTTGTGTTTATCTCATCTCTTGCTCTTGATCTCCAGGCCTCTCTACCCACCAACAATCCCTTCTCCTATATATATATTTTTGGGCCCAAATTTTTGCTAAGTGAATTGTTCTGGCTCTAACTATCCTCTCCTTTGCAAATGAGAGGTCTTTCATTCTAAGAATTATCATGGGCCGGCATTTGTAGCTGACATTGAAAATAAACCTCCCCCCTCCCCAGAACTGCCTATAAGATGTGATTTTCTGAAAACCTGCAGGCCTTGGGAATGCAAATCAGAGAAAGATCCAATTGTCACCAACACTTACCAGGGAACACTGCCATTTGCATCTGCACTCCAGATCCCCGGTGGCTGCAAATATATCAGTGGCTCATTCAAACCAGAGCCCAGGCACAGATTGAAAGCTTGAGTGGAGGTGGATTTGGAAAGAGGAATGAAAAGGACACAGCTCTGGAAACTGGGGGGAATGAGCCCGTGTCACTGCCAAGATGGAAGGGTAGGCAGTGCATTCCCACATGTCTGACCCTAAGATTTCAAATTTCATTAGTAGCATCTCCTTTAGCTCAACCTAACTACAAGGAGAACGAGAAATACAAGGAAGTCCCTGCCATGTTTGGGGAGCATTTTTATCTCTGCCCCAGCATCTCCCATTTTCTGCTGAACTAAAAACCTTTCTCTTTCTCAAGATATGTGGAAAAGGAAAAGGAGAAATAAGGAATATCTCTTACTTTAGTCCTTCATTTTTCTAGCTTCCCAACTCTCCAACTCAGACTCTCGCTCTGACCCCCAAGTCAAATATGGCAGGTAGCACTGCCTTCTTTAGGGGTCTTCCAGATTATGCTACCACCACCACCACCACCACCACTCCACTTTTCAGAAACATGTGGGTTTCCACTTGTCAAAAATAAAACAACCCTCTTGATCATTATAGACTTGGGGTCTTGGCTAGAGAACAAATGAAAACAGAATTAAGAACAAAGAGGCGGGGCATGGTGGCTCAAGCCTGTAATCCCAGCACTTTTGGAGGCTGAAGCAGGTGGATCACGAGGTCAGGAGTTCGAGACCAGCCTGGCCAACATGGTGAAACCCCATCTCTACTGAAAATACAAAAATTAGCCAGGCGTGGTAATACTACTACTAATAATAATACTAATAATAACAAAGAAAAGCAAATAGTTAAGTATTTAAACATTTTGAATTCCATAAATATTGATCAAGGCCCAGTATATACCTAGACTCTTTACATTTAATATTCACTATACCCATCCAAGTTCCGGGCACCTTATAATGCACACATTTGCAAGCCACAGCCCAGCACAAAGGGCACTCCCTAAATGAGAGCAACCACAATCCCTCCTGAGAATCGCACGATGTAGAGATCCACCCTCTCTCCCTTTGAAAAAATACGACCATGGAACATAAGGCTGATCGCATCAAATATAGGAACAGAGGAGGGAGGACTCGCTGCTGGAGGGAGATAAAGCAAGTAGTCCCAATGCAGACAGTAAATGAAGGTGGCACAGGGTTCTCTGGCGTTTGTTGTATTGATGCGCCCAGCGAAAGGAAATTTGGCAGCTCTTTAGAGGTAATCTGCCTTACAAGGGACCGTGAGCTGACTGGCAAGCAACAGAGTTGCTATGCCATCATCATGGTCACATTTGTTACCCTCACTTGCGGAGGAAGAACAGTCACATTCCTCCCCACCGCAAACGTCCAAAGAGATCTGGCACCAAAGAAGACTTCCTGCTTTCCTGCCACAGCCCAAAGCCTCAGAGTCCCCCACAGATTTCACTTCCTCCATAACCTCAGATGCCATTGCTTGTAGTAAATCCATGTGATAGTGCACAGAAGCACACACACATACAGGGAGGTCTTCATTTCTTTCCTCCCTCTTTCCTTCCCTCATTCCTTCTCTTCCTTACCTCCTTCCTTTCTTTCCACTTTTCTCTCTTCCAACTTCCTTCCCTCAACCAATTTATTTATTGGTAGCCTAACACATGGACAGGCATATCTCTTTAATTTAGAAGATAAGACTTTACTACATGCAATTTAAAAGTAAAATGCACCTGTCCCCAAATAAACAGGGACAAATACATGGAGAGAGACAGAATTCAGCTTCAGTTGCATACTTCTGCCCACCACCTGAGCAAAACATACAGCTACACAGGTTCTTTCCTTTGTCAGATAATTCTAGCAACTTTTTGGCATGAAGATAGCATGCACCCACAGAGCTAAGTATATAAATGCTGTCTTACTTCCAATATCTGCAGTGAACCTGGAGTAGAGCTTTCACAATTCAATCCTATTTAGGACCTAGAGACAGGTTAATTCTGTTTAACTCTTATCACTCTTCCCTCCCTCCCACCCACCATGTCAGTCTCTTATGTGGCTCTTCTCTCTGGACCTGAAGCTCTGTTGAGGATTGAGCCCAGTTCTCCAGCTTTGCATTTCCCTCAGGCCCTATACTAATGTGGGAGGCACAAAATACCTATGTCTTATTGCATTATCTTCATGACCTGCTGCACTTTATCCTGAATATTCCATTCCATTCAAACAGATATTCCAACATCTTGTTCCCTTCATGTAACACACAACCATTTTTGGTGCTCCATAATCTTCTATCTCCCCAATGCCGTCCCCCCCGCAAAGAAAGAAAAAACAAAAACAAGCAAAAGACCCAAATCACTGTATCTCTTTTTATGGAAAAATTACAACCAGAATATATTTGCCACTTTTTAATTGATGACCTAAACAGGTAAACTCTGTAAAATATTTGCAGAGATTTATTCCGAGCCAAGTATGAGTGACCGTGGCCCATGACACAGCCCTCAGGAGATCCTGAGAACATATGCCCAAAGTGGACAGGCTACAACTTTGTTTTATACAGTTAGGGAGGCAAAAGACATCAATCACTAAAACTTAAAGTGTAATAAAAAAAAAAAAAGAAAAAAAAAAGACATCAATCAATATAAGATGTATATTGGCTCAGTCCAGAAAGGTGGGACAACTGGAAGGGGGTGCTTTCAGGTCATAGGCAAATTCAAAAATTTTCTGATGGACAATAGGTTGAGTTATTATCTACAGGCCTGGAATCAATAGAAAGAAATGTCTAGGTTACAATATGGGGTTGTGGAGACCAAGGTTTTATCATGCAGGTAAGCCTCCAGGTAGCAGGCTTCAGAGAGAATAGATTGTAAATGTTTCCTATCAGATGGAGAGTCTATTAGTCTTAAGGTCTGTGTTGATGTTAATACTGGTCAGTTGGGCCTGAATTCCAAAAGGAAGGAGGATGTAATGAGGCATGTCCGACTCCCCCTTTCTATCATGGCCTGAATGCGTTTTTCAGGTTAACTTCACAATGCTCTTGGCCAAGAGAAGGGGTCCATTCAGATGTTGGGGGGCCTGGAATTTTATTTTTGGTTTACAGAATTCTTAAAATGGTCTTCAAAATTATATATAAATAGGGCCGGGCACGGTGGCTCATGCCTGAAATCCCAGCACTTGGGGAGGCTGAGAAAGGCAGATCACTTGAGCTTAGGAGTTTGAGACTAGCCTGGACAACATGGCAAAACCTTGTCTCTACAAAAATTAGCCGGGCATGGTGGTGCCTGTGGTCCCAGCTACTCGGGAGGCTGAGGTGGGAGGATCACTTGAGCCCAGGAGGCGGAGGTTGCAGCGAGCTGTGATCACGCCACTGCACTCCAGCCTGGGTGAGAGAGCTAGAACCTGTCTCAAAAAAAAAAAGTATATATATATATATATATATATATATATACACACATATATATTTAAAAAACCAAAATTATATATAAATATATTTTTTAACCATATCACATGTAATAAAAAGCCATAAGTAATTCTGGTTTTAGATTAACAATTTCCACTCAAAGTTTTAGTGTTTGAGTAACCTGTCCTACTATGTTCCTGGATCCCAGAAAAGTGAAGGACTCAGGATGAAGGCTCACCCAGCGACGAGGGGAGAAACTTGGGTTTAGACGTTTGATTGGTGTCCTCAAGAAACCCAGGAAAGTTCCCTGGTTACAGCTTTAGCGTTTAAGCAAGCCATCCATTTACAAATTGGAAGCATTTTTAAGTTTGATTGCAGAGAGGCAAGCTGTACCTCTCTCCCTTTGGTGGCCGCATGCCCCAGCATTTTCTGCCAGCACAGATTTAAAATATTATCTATGTATTCTTCTCTCACAAGAAGGCTGGTGGCTCTCAGTCCAGGTCTTTCCACTTTTCTCTCACACTTCTCTCTTATCTCCTTCCTCTGCTGCCTTCCCCAAACATCTAGGTAACAGAAAAACATCCGGTGGTCCTAGGAAAAGAAAAAAAAACCGTGGGCTTCCCAAGGCACCACCTCTCAGTCTCCTGGTACCGACTGGCACAACTCCCAGCAATCTCACCCTCTCTAGGAAGACCTTCACAGTCCATGAGGTGGCTTCATAGAATTTTGAAATCCCCTCCCCTAAAATCATCTGGTTCCAGGTTTATTCAAAGAACCAGATTCTACAAAGCACCACGAAGGATAACTTTTTCTCTTTCCATCACTGCCTTTGGTTTTACTGTTTAACAGCTTTCTTCTGCGTTTAAGAGCAACCTTTCAGGTCTAGACATGTCAGAAATCAAAACAACATTATTTTTAGGTAAAAGATTAAAAAAAGGTTCAGTCCTATTACAATCAAAACTGTTATCTCCCATCTCATTTTAAGGTGCTCTCCCTCTCTCCAGCAAGGCCTGGGCCACAGAGCTTTACCCCAGTTCCAGCAATGAGAATGGATCCGATAAAATCTCTTTTCCTCACCTTCCTTTCCCTGCTTGCTCAACTGCTGCCAGTTTCTGGAGGCAGGAAGGGAGGGAAGAGGAAAAAGTTTAGGTAATTACTTAACTAGTTCCGGTGCAATGTGGCTACTCAATGCCCTCTGGTTGACATATGCCCAAATACTAATGAAGCGGGAAAAATTCCCTTATTCCCTTTGCAGATTATGCCACAGGGGTGTGGCTCGATTCTTTGGTGCCCCGCTGCTCAAACCCCTAGCCGGAACATGCAGATAAGCAGGTCTTGGGGAGCTTTTTTGGGCTCCAACCCCACAGCAGCATCTAGGGCTGAGTGTTTACAGTTCCCAAAGAAGCCCCAGTGGGCGTGTGCTACAGTTTACTCTTTGAGCTTTGCCGTCTGCAGGCAGCTGGTGTCAAGCGGCTCAATTAGATCCCTTGACTTATTGCAAGGACAGAGGGCTGTCTGTATCCTGAGTTCTTGTCCCAGGGTACTGGGAAAATCGAATCACGTGGGCTTGGAGGATGGGTGCAAGGTTTTATTGAGTGGTGGAGGTTGTTCTCAGTGAGGTGGATGAGGAACCAGAAGGGGATGGAGTGGGAAGGTAGTCTTCCTTGGAGTCGGGCTGCCCAGCGGACAGACTCTCCTCCGACTGCCCCCAACCGAATGCCACGTCGTCCTGCCCTAGATGGCGTGCCGGTGTCTGCTGGTGTCTGTCAGTGTGCTCTTGTGCCCCTCTGCTCCTCTCAACGTCCAGCCACTTGTGTCTGTGTCCGCTTAAGGTCTTGGGCTTACACGGGTACAGGATGGGGGGCGTGGTGGGCCAAAAGGCAACTTTTGGGGCGCAAAAACAGAAATGCTTGTTCTCATTTGCGTCCGTGGGCACAAGCCCGAGGGTGGAGCCCTTGTCAGGGACCCTGCCCTTCTCTACTCAGCACTTCCCTGCCCCCACTCCCCTGTCACTGATGGGCAGAATAATGCTCCCCAAAATGTCCATCTTCTAATCTGTGGCACGTGTGAATGTTACCTTACGTGGCCAAAGGGACTTAGCAGGTGTGATTAAGTTCAGAACCTTGCAATGGAGAGAGGATCCTGGATTATCCATATGGGCCCTATTTATTTATTTTATTGAGACAGAGTGTCACTCTGTCACCCAGGCTAGAGTGCACTGCCTTGATCTTGGCTTATTGCAACCTATGCCTCTGGAGCTCAGGTGATCCTCCCACCTCAAGTAGTTGGGACCATGGGGACCAGCCACCACGTGTGGCTAATTTTTTTTTTTTTTTTTATAGACAGGGTTTCACCACATTGCCCAGGCGGGTCTCGAACTCCTGGCCTCAAGTGATCCACCCACCTTGACCTCCCAAAGTGCTGAGATTACAGGCATGGGTCACCACACCTGGCCAGATAGGCCCAGTTTAATCCAAAGGGTCCTTAGGCAGGAGGGTGAGAGTCAGAGAAGTGAGTGACAATGGAATCAGAGATCAAAGTGATGCCATTGCTGGCTGGGAACTGTCAGCCAAGGAATGAGGGCCGTCTGGAAAAGCTGGAAAGGGCAAGGAAAGGGATTATCTGGAGCACTTCCAGAAGGAACACAGCCCTGCCAGCACTTTGACGGTAGCACAGTGGAATCTTTGCTGGACCTCTGACCTCCCTCCAGAACTGTAAGGCAATATACCCGTGTTGTTTCATGCTGCTAAATGTGTGGTACCTTATGACAGCAACCCCAGGAAACGAATACACTGACTTCCTTATGGGACACATTGTAGGTTTTCCAGACCTCCGTAGCAGGATTCTTGACAATGCATCTTTTTCTAAAGCAGTGTTTCTCAACCAAGGACAATGTTTGCCCCCACGGCATCATTGGTTAATGTCTTGAGATATCTAAGATCATCATGACTGAGAATATGCCACCAGTATCCAGTGAGTAGAGCCCAGAGATGCTGCTAAACATGTTACAATGCACAGAAAGCCTCCACAACAACAACAAAAAACTATCTGGTCTAAAATGTTAATACTGTCAAGGTTGGAATACCCTGATCGCAAGCAAGCAACTCTTTGACTTCCAATTAAAGTGCTTTCCTGGCCGAGCACGATGGCTCATGCCTGTAATCCCAACATTTTGGGAGGCTGAGGTGGGTGGATCACCTGAGGTCAGGAGTTCCAGACCAGCCTGGCCAACATGGTGAAGCCCCATCTCTACTAAAATTACAAAAATTAGCTGGGCGTGGTGGCATGTGCCTATAGTCCTAGCTACTCAGGAGGCTGAGGCAGGAGGATCGCTTGAACCCAGGAGGCAGAGGTTGCAGTGAGCTGAGGTAGTGCCACTGCACTCTAGTCTGGGCGACAGAGCGAGATTCCATCTCAAAAAAAAAAAAAAAAGATAAAGATATGTACGGAATTATTGGGACTTAGACAGCTGCTTATTAACTAATTCTGCCAGGAAGCACTGTAGGCCAACATTGTCATCAAAGAATGATGACTTTTATTTCCTGAGAGTGACTTTTACAAAAATTTGTAGAACTGGAGTAGGGAAGGATACAATCTAATGTTTATGTATCAAAGAAAGGCTATTTACAAACAAAAGAAGAGAAAACTGGGAGCAGAGCAAAGTTTATGTGCTTTCTCCAGTCATTATTTCAACAAATACTCCACTCAGATGTTACCTTCTTACTGAAACCTTCTCTTAAAATAATCCCATCACTACCCTATGCCCACTTTCTCTCTATTCCCTCTCCCTACTTTCTCATTAACTTTTTGAGGAACTGTTTTCCAAAGTGACTGAACCATTTTGTGTTCCCACCAGTGGTGTATGAGGGTTCCAGTTTCTCCATAGCCTTGTCAACACTTGTCATCATCTTCCTTATTTTTGCCATCCTAGTGGGTAAGAAATGGTATCTCCTTGTGTTTTTGATTTGTGTTTCCCTAATGACTAATGATGCTGAGCATTTTTTTCATGTGCTTATTGGCCATTTGAATATCTTCTTTGAAAAGATATCTATTCAAATCCTTTGCCCATTTTTTTTTTTTGAGACAGGGTCTCACTGTCACCCGGGTTGGAGTGCAGTAGTGCAATCACGGCTCACTGCAGCCTTGACTTCCCAGACTCAAGTGTGACTCTCCCACCTCAGCCTCTTGAGTAGCTGGGACTACAGGCATGTGCCACTGCACCCGGCTATTTTTCTTTTTTTTTCATTTCTAGTAGAGATGGGGTTTTGTTATGTTGGCTGGTCTCGCACTCTTGGGCTCAAGCAATCTTCCCGCCTCAGCCTCCCACAATACTAGGAATTACAGGCGTCAGCCACCATGCCTGGCCCTTTGCCCATTCTGCGGGGGAGGGGAACATTATGGTAGAAGTTTATTCAGAGGCAGAAGAAGGGAACAGTCACTTTTTTAAATTATAAATTCAGAGGGGTCCATATGCAGGTTTGGTACATAGGTATATTGCATAATGTTAGGGTTTAGGCTTCTAGTGAACTCATCACCCAAATAGTGAACACACAATAGATAGTTTTTCAACCCTTGCCTCCCTTCCCCCTCCCTGCTTTTGGAGTCTCAGTGTCCATTGCTTCCATTATTTTTCAAATAGAAGAGCATAACAAAGTTATTTTATCACAGCTCATGTGACACAGCCGTCTTCAGAATGAAGACTCAGAGATCCAGGGGAAACTGCCCATGTTTATAAACATTAACATGGTTCAGCAAAGTATGGAAACATGATTGGACAAAAAGAGTAAGATCAAATGCTCATAGACTGAAAGGAAGAACCCAGCCAGGCCTGTCAGTTCAGATTCTTCTTGGCATCTCTTAGCAGCATTCCCTTTGCCCATTTTTTTAATTGAGTTTTCTTTTACTGTTTGCTTGTAAGAGTTCTTTATATATTCTGAATACTAGGCCCTTATCAGATATATGATTTTGCAAATATTTTCTCCCAGAATGTGGGTTGTCTTTCAGTTTCTTGATAGGGCCCTTTGAAGCACAAAACTTTTGAATTTTTATGAAGCCCAATTTATTATATTTACTTTTCTTTCATTGCTTGTACTTTAGGTCTCATATCTGAGAAACCATGGCCTAATCCAAGGTCACAAAGATTTACACTTATGTTCTCTTATATTTACATCTTTGATCCATTTTGAGTTACTTTTTGTATATGGTGTAAGATGGAGGTCTAACTTCATTCTTTTGCATGTGGATATTCAGTTGTTTCACTACCATTTTTTAAGAGTTTTCCTTCCTCCAGATAGTTTTGGCACCCTTGTGAAAATCAATACCTTATTGTCTTTATGACACTTATCACCATCTGAAATTATATTATTTATTTGTTTATTGTCTACCCTTCCCAAACTCCCTTACTCCCTGTATTAGTCTGTTTTCATGTTGCTGATAAAGACATACCCAAGACTGGGAAGAAAAAGAGGTTTAATGGACTTAAAGTTCCACATGGCTGGGGAGGCCTCACAATCATGGAGGAAGGCAAGGCGGAGCAAGTCACGTCTTACATGGATGGTGGCAGGCAAAGAGAGAGCGCTCATGCAGGGGAACTCCTCTTTATAAAATGATCAGATCTTGTGAGACTTATTCACTAACAGGAGAACAGCACAGGGAAGACCTCCCCCCATGATTCGATTATCTCCCACCAGGTCCCTTCCACAACTCATGGGAATTCAAGATGAGATTTGGGTGAGGACACAGCCAAACCATATATCTCCCCTTCCTCCTACCCCCTGCAAACACACATACAAATTCAAATGTACATCTTCTTAAGACAGGAACCTGTCTTATCTACTATTTATCCCCAGGGACATCGTGGGCACTTAATAAATATTTGTTGAATGAATAAAAAGGGCTCCAGTTTTGTTGAAAATTAATGGCCACTGTATGTGTCTATACCCAAGCGCAGGTAATTACTTCATTTAGGGCAAAAAGATTGTTGAACATTGCCTAAATGAGATTTTATAGCCATTTCCTGGGTTGGATGAGAAGAACCTAATTAGGCAAGAAATTACCTCATTGGCAGAAAAAAAAATCCAGCAGAGAATTTTAATGAAAATCCAAATGCAAGTGTGAAGGGACTTTCTGAGACCCTCTGCTTGATAGTCCAATAATACCTCAGTAGGTGTATGGCTTTGGTCAATTCCCCTCACTTCTGAAGGACTTCGTTTACTCACCCCTATATGGGGAGCTCCTGTGCTAAGCCATCTTGCAGGTCACTGGCAGCAGTAGCATTATATCATTCTAATGTTTTGGATTGTTTTTGTTTTTGTTTTTGAGACAGGGTTTCCCTCTGTTGCCCAGGCTGGAGTGCAGTGGCGTGATCACAGCTCACTGTAGCCTCAACCTCCCACCTCAAGCAATCCTCCCACCTCAGTCTCACAAGTAGCTGGGACTATAGATATTCACCATCATATCTGGCTAATGTTTTTTTTTAACAGATGAGGTCTCACTATGATGCCCAGCTGGTCTCAAACTCCTGGCCTCAAGGAATCCTCCTGTCTTGGCCTCCTCTCCTGCCTTGAAATTACTCTGGGGTTCCAAGAGTAAGCCACTTCGCCCAGCATGTTTTGGATTCTTTAGAAATAGCATCTGTAATCAATTAAAGTTAGTCTACTTAAGGACTATAGTTTTCATTTGCAATTTATCTTGCAAAAATATACTGACCAATCTGTTAATTAAAAGTATATGTGGTTGGGGAGAGTGGCACATGCCTATAATCTCAGCTCCTCAGGAAACTGAGGCCAGAGGATCACTTGAGGCCAAGAGTTCGATGCTGTAGTGATGCACCGTGAATGCATCTGTGAATAGCCACTGCACTCCAGCTTGGGCCACATAGCAAGACCCTTTCACTAAAATATATTTTTTTTTAAAGAGGCTTGATTAAGAGACAATATAAATTTTCTCTTGAAAACTGTCTGAAATAACTGATCATAAGTACAAAGAATCAGAGACCTCCTTAGAAGAGAGGAGGTAAAACTCTCAGTCAATTGTCTCAAATAGGTTTTGAAAGGTTTCCCCAGAAGTTTCCTATTTAGAAAGAGCATGCCTGCCCACTAGTGGGCGAATTAAGGAATTGCTCCCTTTTCCGAGAGGCATTCATAAGGCTCCATCTTGTGGTGAAAACTGTTAATAAGCTTTACTGCTAACACATAATCCATTCCTAAGTAAGACCTAGGCCTGGAAGAGCTCATTCAAAACTCCAGGGTCTGCAGAAGCCAGAGACGTCAAGGTGTACGGGCGAACATGGCAGCCGTATGACAAAACAAACCAACTGTCAGGAAAATAATCACTGTGTTTATTTTTCTAAACTAAGACTGCAACCATACCAGATAATGTGTATGTGTATGAATATATATGTGATATTGAAGATTGTATCTTAAATTCAGAATTGAAAAAAAGATAAAATATAAATATTTCATTTCTAGTATTTTATTTTACAATTTGCTCACTTTTTCTTCAGTACCAATATGTCCTTGTTAAACCTGTGTTAAGTTGTATAATGAAAACAGAATTCAGCCTTGACTGGGACCCATTAACTAGAAGTGATAATTAGTCCTAATTAGTTTAATACTGGGAGAGAGCTGTTCAAAAACGTAGATATTTTAAAATATGAGTCTTTGCACAACTGTGAAGATATTTGTAGAAGCCTGGCATTCCAGTGTCACTGTACAAAATGTCCAATCCTATATCACACCATGAGTCATTTTTCACACTATAAGTAGGAATTGACAAGGTGCATTGAACAATGGGAGGTTATCTTCACAAAGTCTGAAATCAATAAGCCATTTTGAGGAATCAGTTTTCAGTGTATCACAATTTTTATCACAGGTTTCAGGCCATCAGTTGTATTTCTAGAAACTAATTCCAACCACAGAAAAGAGGACTTAGTAACGATGCCAGATATGCCTTCCTAAAACATTTTTTTTTCTTTTTTTAACACCCTTGGCAGCAGACTCTATTCTACATTTTATAACTGCTTTGTGGATGCCTTTGCGGGGAAATATTCAAAGTGTTTGTCTACCCCAAAGGTCAATTATATGATAACAATCTTCGCTGCTTAACATAAGCAAAGCTTTTTTCCCTCCAATGATGTGAATAAGTTCATTTCTCTTAACTGTTCAACAATGCTGCTTTGCTTTCAGCCATGACTAAGCCACCCACCCTCTGTGTCATGAGCAGACTGCCATGCTACGTGTCCAATTCATCACACAGTGCATCCAACACTCTGTGCCTGAAGCCCTACAAGGAGATCCAGCTCACAGTATGAACGCTGTGTTCGGGACATCTTCAATTTTTAGCTTCTCGCAGAAAGCAATTCCTGCTAAATAATGCAAGCAAGTAGATGTAAAGCCTGTGTCTTTATATAACTTGCCACCTAGAGTTTAAGTTTTATTGCAAGTCTGATATAAACACTGCTCATCCCAGGAATATCATCCTATAGGCACACAAGTCTTCTGCATTAAATTGTTTGAAAGTTTCCTCTATACACACAAAAAAATTATTTTCTTAATCATTTCCTAAGGTTGTGTCTGTCATGAGCACACTGTCCAAAATATTTTTCAGTCATATAAAAATTCTTAACCCCCATGGTGGTTAATAGAGCTCATTACTACATCTAAATATTACTAAATATGTATCTTCACCAACTGCAATAGCAAATGCCACCATTTAAAAATTTTTTCACATGATTTTTCTTTTCATTTCTTAGTCACATTTCCATTGCATTGAGCAACAGTATTTCTAGTTACATTTACATTTGCACGTGCTTGTATCTTTTCAGGACACACAATTTCCGCTACATTCAGTAGATTCTCTTTTACAACTTGCTATCTGTGAAGAATTTGATGTCCCAGGCAGATTTTTTATTTATGACTTCTTATTTCTTAAACAACCAAGACAAACCTTGTTGACATTACAATTCTCTCTTCAGCTCCTTAGGTTTTGATCACATGTCTCTTCCATGGCCCTCTTCTTTCTTCTTCCAGTGGTTTGTTTCATAATGGCACCTACACTGTTTTCTTAAATTACATCTTTTGCCAAATATGCACACAGGAGGGTTCTATGAGGAACACAGGAGGAACATATGACCCCCTCAGTCTATCTTCCTTTTCCTACTTTTAATAAAGATATGACTACAAGAAATATGCTACTTTTCTAATACTATTGGGTAGATGTGACTTCACACCACCAAAAACCCAGTTCTGCAAAATGTTATAATTATTTTCCTAATTCAATCTCTGAATTTGGTCTCCTACCACCTGATAAACGATATGTCCTCTTAGTCTTCTTCAGGAAGTCATTCGGTCACTTCTACAAAGATATTGAGGGCCACTTTTCCTGTTGCCCCAAGTAACCCTGGAGCTCATACTAAAAACCATAAGGGTAAGTCCCCCCAAAGGGCAGTGATTCTCAACCCTGTCCTGCTTCATATAAGAATCACAGTGGGGAGTTTTGAAAATGCCAATGCTTAGCTGTTCTCCAGAACAATTATTCATAATCTTCGAGGGTGGGACATATGTATAGGTGCTTTGCAAAAGCCCTTCCAGTCATAAGGGTAATTCTAGAATGTGGACAGGGTTGAGAAAAACAGATCTAAAGAAAGCAGCCAACAATTGAGGCCAAATATCTACCTGCAAAGCTTAATAAGAGGCAGCAGTACCTGCAAATGGCCAGGATCCCAGCAGCAGCCCTCCACCTGAGTCTGCACATATAGAAAGATTAGGGAGGAAGAAGGGGGGCCTATGGGAGTTATGGGCAGCAGAGTGAAGAGTTGCTGCAGAGCCTCCTCAAGACTCACATGAGATCCTCACAAGACAGCCAACATATGGATATCTGGCACCCGGAAGTCATGGAGGGCCAGATGGTGTTGGCCAGGGGAGCAGCAGCAGCACAAAAGAGTGCATTTACAACAGCAGCCAGGGAAATAAAGAGACTCTTCTGCCTGTCCTCTCTCTCATACACTAGCCAAAAACTGAAGAGGGAGAGACGGGTGTCTCAGGGTCCACCTTGTCTCCTCCCAGTCCTAGCAGATGGGGTGTCAGCTGAAACTGTGCTTGGGGAAAGGCAGAAGATAATACTTAAACCAAATATGAAATTAAACTGGACTGAGTATTAATAACCAAAAGAAGACGAACATTTGGAACCTGCCCAAGACATTACAATTGGATGGGAAGCACAGAATGGGGCACTGAAACTGGAGGGGGAGAAACATGTTGTGTTTATCCCTTCTCCTTTCTCCTTCTTGTCTTCCATGAAGGACACCTATGCTCCTTGGGAGTCACTCAAAGATTTGGCATGAAGGTGGGATGTAGAGTCTATACTGTGGTCATTCCTGTCCTTACGTTGATGTCAATTCACGTGTCCACACTTTGATCTCATGCTTGTAAAGTCTCCTTGATATGGCCACTAGACCCCATGGAATCCGATAACTCCCTTAGCAGATTTCCAAACTCCTTCTGTGAACACAAGGAAGGTTGAACAGCTCTCCCAAGTGTGGACAGGCTGCAGGGGACTCAGGGGCCCTCTTGCAGCCTGTCTGCCTTTGACACCCCCATGCAGCCATGAGCAGTGGGCCAAGATGTGGGACCCCTTCAAAAGAGATCCTTACCTTCTCTAGCTCTTTCCTGCCTCCTCTTCTTTCATTCCTCTCCAACTGGGAAAGCATTTTCTAGTCTACATGGTAGTGATGGAGAGAGATGTGAAAGAAAAATGTTTCCCTGGAAACATTGGAAGAATAGGTGTATTCTTCCAATCTGTTCTATCCTATGCCTGGACCAAAGCTTTTAAACTTCGTAGCCAAGAATTTGAAACTTTTGTTCCTTGAAGACCCCCATGAGAACTTCTCTAAAGCAGGCCGGGTGCAGTAGCTCACGCCTGTAATCCCAGCACTACGGGAGGGCAAGACAGGTGGATCACATGAGGCCAGGAGTTCAAGGCCAGCCTGACCAACACGGTGAAACCCCGTCTCTACTAAAAATACAAAAATAAGCCAGGCATGGTGGCACACACCTGTAATCCCAGCTACTTGGGAGGCTGAGACATGAGAATCGCTTGAACCTGGGAGGGGGAAGTTTCAGTGAGCTGAGATCGTGCCACTGCACTGCAGCCTGGGTGACAGAGCAAGACCCTGTCTCCAAAAATAAAAATAAAAAAAGAACTTCTCTAAAGTAGAGATGATGCCTCCATTCTAGCTCTCCAAATGATAAAATATGGAATAAAAATGAATTGGCCCCACATAGCTATAAATGTGGCACTGTGAGTGCCTTGGAGTTGTCAGCCCAGACTGCCAGCTTGCATTGAGCCTCAGCAATAGTCCCACACCCCAATGGCTGATCCCCTCCCTGCTCCTCTTGCCTGAGCCTCTGGGGCTGCAGGCAGACCCTGCCCAAGATCTCCTTCTGTTCCCACCTCTTAAAATCAGAGAAAAACATGAATGAAGACCAATAGAAAACAGTACCAGAACAATGGAAGTCAACGATTGTGTGCCAGAAATTTGGGGAGATATCATTTATTACAAACTTGCATATGTTGGGACAAAATAAACCAAAAAGTGAGTTTGATGCTTTGGAATACGTGAAAGCTGCTGACAAATACTACTGTCCTCAATTAAGAGAACTAACCAAAGTTAATGAGTCTCTTACAGGAGATGCAGAACCTGCCAACAAATCTCGTTTCCAGTTCTGACTATTATGAATAAAGCTGCTGTGAGCATTTTTGTACAAATCTCCGTGTTGACATAAGTTTTAATTTCCCTAAATAATGCTTTCTTAATTTTGAAATATATTGCTTTGCCTGGTGCTTATTTCTATACAAATAATAAATCTCTACTTCCTTATTTAATTAATTTATTTATTTTTGAGACACGGTCTGGCTCTGTCACCCAGGCTGGAGTGCAGTAGCTCCATCTCAGCTCACTGAGACCTCCGCCTCCCAGGCTCAAGGATCCTCCCACCTCAGCCTCTCGAGTAGTTGAGACCACAGGTGCATGCCACCATGCCCAGATAATTTTTTGTATTTTTGGTAGAGAAGGGGTTTCACTATGTTGCCCAGCCTGACCTCAAACCCCTGAGCTCAAGCAATCCTCCTCCTCAGCCTCCCAAAGTGCTAGGATTGCGGGCATGAGCCACTGCGCCCAGCCAACTTCCTTATTTTAAATAAAATTAATTTGGGGTGGGGAAACCCATTTTTATCATTCATCAATTTATATTATTAAAAAATATAATGGACCAAGGCCCAAAATATAATGGACCAAGGTGTGAAGGATGGTAGCTCACACCTATAGTCCCAGTATTTTCGGAGGCTGAGATGGGAGGATTGCTTGAGCCCAAGAATTCAAGATCAGCCTAGCCAACATGGCGAAACTCTGTCTCTACAAAAAATACAAAACTTAGCCAGGTGTGTTGGCATGCATCTGTAGTCCCAGCTACTCAGGTGGCTGAAGTGTGGGGATCACCTGAGCTATGGAGGTCAAGGCTGCAGTGAGCCATGATTACACCACTGCACTCCAGCCTGGGTGATAGAGTGAGACCCAGTCTCAAAAAGAAAAATAATCAAATAAAAATAACAGGGTAAGCACACTGGAAAATGATAACTGGCACTCAGCTTCTGTGTCAAGAAGACACTAGGAATTAGTATTGTCAACAAACTGAAAAGTATATACCTTGTTTAAAATGGGCAGCCATTACTCAGCTTCAGCCAGTTCACTATGAAGACCCAATACTGCCAAATCTTCTAATTTTTCAAGAGAAGATAGATTTTTTGTGCATGCATATAAGTAATCTCCTAAGTTTAAATGTTTGCCAATAGAACCCCTCAAAAAGAAAAGTTACACACTGGTGGATTAATGCTGTACAGCATTAACCAATGCAAGGTAAAATGACTACAGGCCAAATCTGACCCAAGGCTCATTGGTTTCCAGCTAAGATTTTGGATCTCAATCCTGACTATGAGCAACAAGACCTTTCGGCTTTTTTAAAAGATAGCATGCCTGAGCCCTAGTCCAGTTCTGATTTCCTAGATTTGGACGAGTCCTGGGCATCTACATATTCTTGTAAAGTGCCAGAGTTCATTCTGGTTCACAGCCAGGGTTAAAAAGTAGGAAATTAAATTTCAAGTCATAGTACCTTATCACATTTCCAAACTTCAACACCATGTCCAGAACACTGAATTCTCCCCAGGCTCATTCTACCTGATTCTGAGCTCAAATAGTCATGTGGGATCTCAGTAAGCTGAAATTGATGACACATACACAAACAATAAAAACTGGGACTATGGAGACTTCCTTCTCTCCAACTCGAATAGCATCCAATTTTGGCTTTTCTATATACTATTCGAGGACATTATAATAGCAGGCCTTTTTGGAAGAAACTCAATTCTAAGTAAAAGATGTTCATATATGAGCTTATGGGAATTTCTTATTCACAAACATGGTAACTATCAAAATAAAACTCTCTCCCAAAATAAGAGAGACAAGAAAAGAAGTGGGGAAAACAGATTTTAAAAGCTGTATGAGCTTTTACAAATAATTTAGCAGGTAACAGAGATCTTGTGAGACAAGTAAAAAGGCCTTGTATTCATTGCTTATCAGGTAAATGTGGACTTAAAGTAAATAAGGTAAGAAGGTGTTGAGCTAGAAACATGTCTCAAATTATTTCCAGTGAGCTTCTGAAAGCCCAAGACAAATGTATCTTTATGAAAAATTGAGACAGACCCAGTAACCAGATCCTCTCATTATTTGCATGTGAAGCCTCTAACTTGTAGTCATGTGATAAACAAATGGAGAAAAATTGGAAATAACCATTAATGAGGGCGGCAGAAATTATAACATTGAGCAAGGGTCAGAAGATTGCAGAGCAGTTACCCATTCTTGGCGCAGAAACCTGAAAGTCAGGATCAAAGAGAATGGCAACGGTGAACACAGATGCCACAGATAAAGACATATCCAAGTTCAAGGTCACCTTCACTTTGGTGGTCTCCGGAATAGAGTGCATCACTGGCATCCTTGGGAGTGGCTTCATCACGGCCATCTATGGGGCTGAGTGGGCCAGGGGCAAAACACTCCCCACTGGTGACCGCATTATGTTGATGCTGAGCTTTTCCAGGCTCTTGCTACAGATTTGGATGATGCTGGAGAACATTTTCAGTCTGCTATTCCGAATTGTTTATAACCAAAACTCAGTGTATATCCTCTTCAAAGTCATCACTGTCTTTCTGAACCATTCCAATCTCTGGTTTGCTGCCTGGCTCAAAGTCTTCTATTGTCTTAGAATTGCAAACTTCAATCATCCTTTGTTCTTCCTGATGAAGAGGAAAATCATAGTGCTGATGCCTTGGCTTCTCAGGCTGTCAGTGTTGGTTTCCTTAAGCTTCAGCTTTCCTCTCTCGAGAGATGTCTTCAATGTGTATGTGAATAGCTCCATTCCTATCCCCTCCTCCAACTCCACGGAGAAGAAGTACTTCTCTGAGACCAATATGGTCAACCTGGTATTTTTCTATAACATGGGGATCTTCGTTCCTCTGATCATGTTCATCCTGGCAGCCACCCTGCTGATCCTCTCTCTCAAGAGACACACCCTACACATGGGAAGCAATGCCACAGGGTCCAGGGACCCCAGCATGAAGGCTCACATAGGGGCCATCAAAGCCACCAGCTACTTTCTCATCCTCTACATTTTCAATGCAATTGCTCTATTTCTTTCCACGTCCAACATCTTTGACACTTACAGTTCCTGGAATATTTTGTGCAAGATCATCATGGCTGCCTACCCTGCCGGCCACTCAGTACAACTGATCTTGGGCAACCCTGGGCTGAGAAGAGCCTGGAAGCGGTTTCAGCACCAAGTTCCTCTTTACCTAAAAGGGCAGACTCTGTGACTGGAACTCACGGAGTTCTGCGGGACCTGGTCCAACCACTTCTGCCTTTGCCTCAGGTAGAACTCTCTCCTCACCCGTCTCTTCTCTCCCAAACCTGCTCTGACACTTCTCAGATAACGTGATCCTTTTATAAATATGAAGCTGAATTTTTAACTTGAGATTCTAAACAGAAGTAACTAAGAAACCTGAAGATGGACTTTGAAAGCTCCTTGAACTATGTTCATTCATATCCTGCCCTGAGATCTCTCCACTTTCTTCTCCTCCTGAGCCTTAAGGAGAGGGTGGCCAGACATATCGGTTTGCCAGGGACAATCTCTGTTTATTGTCTGTTGTCAATTGAGCATCCTTTAATTCTCAAGAATATCATGGTCTGGATGAAGAATTACATGATCATCCTACTTAAGACACCCAACTAACACACAGTTAGGGCTGGTGAAGCAGAGCACAGCACTCAGTCCACGGGGTAGAAGGGAAACCAGAGTGGCTACAGAAAAAGAAGATTCAGGAAAGAAAGGCTGCTGGAAATTATCAAGTGCTGCAGAGTTCCGAGGAAAGTAAAGGGTGAAGAAAAAGGCTCTGGATTTGACTAAAAGGATGCCATGTGTGCCATTAGTGGAGTGATAGGGTGACATCCTGATCCCAGGAGTTCCAGAAGATAATGCCAAAAGGGAGGGGATGGGTAAAAACCAATAGTCTAGAGAGGATGTTTGCAGATAAAGATGAGTTATAGAACGGCAGATGGATATGTGAAGGGTCAGTTCAATGCTTTATTTCTCCAAATGGGAGGGGACAAAGTGAGCAGAGAGGAAAGAAAGAATGCAGGGAAAAGAGTGAAGTGGGCAGGAAGCAGAAAGAGAAAAGGAAGAGGCCAGAGTAAGTAAGCGTCTGTTTTGCTCAGCTCCTGACTCTGTGGCAATGCTAGCGGCACCTGTGCCTCTGGTTTTACCAGTTCTGGGTTACCTTGAAGTAAATAGTGGGGCAAGAGCGGGTTACTTGGGGCAGGCTGCTGGAGAAGAGGAAAAACATTATTCTCCATTGTCATTGTTCAGGATGGTTCCAGCAGCATTGTCTCAAAGAGCTGTTCACAAAACATTGGACACCCTCTCCCCAGATATCTTAGAGCTTGAACGTTAGGAATCTGAAGTTGTCTTTTATTAGGTAAGTTTTAAATCATGATTATTGAGGAAAATGAAAAAAGAATGCTGTGGATCATACCAAGCTTAGGTAGCCCCCAAATGAAAATATGAGGTCAGTAGCAAAGTCTAGTTCTGAGCTCCAGCGCTCTCAAGCACACATTTCAGAGAGAGTTCCTTACATCCATAAACTGCAAAAACCACACACACACACGGCATACACACAGACACATGGCATACACACACACACACACACACACACACACACAGATTCCTTTATAGCTCAGACAGCTTGGGACTTATTTACCTGAAAAGTAAAATATTAATAAAACACACATTTTTGATAGTTTTCTTAAGCTATAGTTATTTATATGACTATTTCAGGCGGTATTTGTTATAGTAAGACAAATTAGATATTGAAGTTTTATTCCAGTCCCTAGAATAGAGAAATATACATTTTCTTCCAAGTTATATATATTGATAAAAGGGTCATGTACCCACTAAGGGTTCTCTGATGCATTACAGAGTTAGAGAGAAAATTGATTTAAAGTTGCCATTATATTAACATGAACCATGTCAAGACCACAAAGTGGATAACTCCATACTTACTATGAAGAAATATCATCTCATTGCTAGCAAGAGCCTAAGGCAGCACATAGCTAACAAAAGCTCCAAGGATGATAACATCCTTATCGATGCACATGTTGGCCTGCCTTCAACGAGATAAAATTCTCTCCAATTCTCTTTCTTCTGTATGTAAAACCCAAGTAAGCACTCAGAAAGACCCAGAATACCTAGTCTTCAAGTTGTCTGGCTTTAGACAGCAATCAGAAGTCCTAAATGAAGACAATAATCGACTCTGCTGGACAAAAGTCTGTAACCAAATGCAAAGCCCGGCTTGCTGTGGTCTCAATATTATTACAGGTTTTCACCTTGCAAACTCTACATCATCTCCCTCGCCCCACAGCCCTGCGGGATGTTGAAAGTGATAGAGTGAAGGATTCCTTTACCCACAAAGTCACTCTGAATATTCATCTAGCATGTGGAGCAGGTAAGGGGACTTTGGTTAGCAATGGATTCCAGTCTGGCAGGCCCAGCCCAGAGGCAGGGTATCTGGCTTCTTTCCTCATACCTGGTCGAGTCCTTGCAAATAAAGGCTAGACTGGCAGCCATGGCCAGTCTAAGGGCTATGACTTTATGGGCACCAGATTGTCCCACAATCCAGTATCATCTTCCCCTTCCAACTACTTCGGTGTCTGCTAAAATTCCACTGTGGTTCTGGCTTTTCTTTGCTTTTATTCTACAGGAAATCTGTTATTCTCTCAGGCATTCTTTACTTGGGGCAGCAGGGAAGAAACATCTATGTAATAAAAAGAAAAGAAACTATAAGTCCAACCAGTCTAAAATGTCTTGTGCTGGGGGAGGGGAGCAGAAACCAAGGGCTAACTAATTATGTCTTGTTGGAGACAGGGCAACTTGTGCATTAGGAAAGATCATGGAAGGAAAGAAAAAAAAGACACCGAGAGAGGAAGCCTTCCCATCTGTCTTACGTTTTCTCCCTCTCCTCTGGAGACAAGGAATATATATATAGTTTTCTTTTTTTTTTTTTTTTGAGACGGAGTCTCGCTCTGTCGCCCAGGCTGGAGTGCAGTGGTGCCATCTTGGCTCACTGCAACCTCCGACTCCCTGGTTTAAGCGATTCTCCTGCCTCAGCCTCCTGAGTAGCTGGGATTACAGGCATGTGCCACCACACCCAGCTAATTTTTTTATTTTTAGTAGAGATGGGGTTTCACCATGTTGGCCAAGATGGTCTTGATCTCCTGACCTTGTGATCTGCCCGCCTCAGCCTCCCAAAGTGCTGGGATTACAGGCATAAGCCACCGCACCCAGCCAAGAAAAATCTTTAGAAGAGAGGTAAGAGGAGGAAATTTCTTATGTACTCAGAAAGATTTGTTTGGGGGAGAAAGAGGAGGACAGAACGGCTAAAAAGCCAGTCTGTAATGTTTGAAGGCTGGGGGAACTCTCTGTACCCTTTTCTAAATGGGGGAAGCGTTGCCTAAAATAGGAGAGGCAAAACTTTCAGGGAAATGCTCAAATCAAGTGTATGCTGGGAAGAGGTAACATGTTACACTGCTACAAGTTTCTGTTGACAGGAGGAAGATGGAAGCATTTTGGAGCCTGTGACATGGCCCAGGAAGGGCAGGCCTGGGCGGAAAATGGGAGCAGACAGCAGAAAATGGGTGGTGTGAAGGGCTGGGGCAGTGGGAACCTAAAGGGGAAGATGTGGAGGTGTTGAGTGCTGAGTTAATCTTGGCCACTCTCAGTTGGGAGAAGCTCTTAACTGACAATTCTGCCTAGGCCTGTGGGGATTACCCTGTAAGCAGCAAAACAAAGTTTTCCAAGAGCTTTGAAGAGGAGCATTTCTGGGTTGGACTCTTCCCTCCCAGTGTGGTATTGCAAAGGTGCTCTGTGTCTGTGGCGCTAGCCCATCAAACAACGTCAGTAGGAAGAATACAGATTTGTAAAAAATTTTCCTGGTTTGTCTCTCATTTGGTTTTTCTTATTTTTTTTAGCAAAGTGTCTTATGAATGTTCTACCCTCTTTCAGTTGCATCAAGAAGAAAATAAGAGAAAAGTGGTTTTGAAGATAGCCCAAGAAAGAAAAGTACCAGCCACCCCCTAGGTTTAGTATGGCAGCAGTAGCAGGAGGGGATCCAAGGCAGGGTGGAGCATTAACAGAAAAACCTGCATCCCCTCAACTTCCACACCCCCGCCCGTGCAGTTCCCAGAGTCGTGAGACTGGGTTTGGGTCCTGGCTCTGCCACTTACTGGTGTGCAAATGGGCATGTTATTGCATCTCTCTGAACCTCAGTGTCCACATCTGTAAAATGGGAACAATAATGGGAAATACCAGCCTCCTAGGGTTATCTCATCCTAAGAGAAGAATGGGGTAAAGTGTTTAGCACACAGCATCTGACCCAGAGTAAGCCATCAATAGATGTTAGCTGTTAGTATTCCAAAGGGAAGTGGAGTGACACTGAGAGGCATCTAGAATGAGGATATTTAAAGCAGGCCAGATATGAAAAGGACAGACCAGACTGGGCCAGATGCACACAGAAGGCTTAGCCTTTATAGTCCCACAGGCTTGGTGGCAGAACATGGCCATGGATCCAGTAGTTCAGTCATCCAAGTGGCAGGTGAAAAGTGTAGGGTGGCCTTAAGAATTGGATTCCTGTTCACTTCCTGACAATGTCAGAAATGAAAGACATCTAGTATTCCACAGTTTAGCTGCCCGACAGTTATCTGAGTGTAGATTTGAACCTAACAGGCACTAGGTTAGGGGTCAGCAAACTTTTTCTGTAAAGGACCAGAGAGTAAATATTTTAGGATTTGTGGGCCACATGCAGTCCCTTCCAGAAGAATTCAACTCTTCTGTTGCAGCACAAAAGCCACCATGGTGATTCAAAAAATAAATAAATGGACATGGGTGTGCTCCAGCAAAATTTTGTTTATGGACACTGACATTTGAATATCATATAATTTTCACGTGTCATGAAATATTATTCTTCTTTTAATGTTTTCAACCATTAAAAATGCATTTTTAATAAATGCCTCTTGCATTTTTAAATGGTTAAAAAATTAATATTTCATGATGTGACATTTTGTTGGAGCACAGCCATGTCCATTCTTTCCCAGCTGTGCACTCTTGGAGGGTGAAATTTTTGCTTAGTTGATCTCGTGGGCCATACAAAACAAAAAGAATCAGTGGGTCAGATTTGCCCCCAGGCTGCAGTTGCAGACCCTTCACTCAGGCATGTTCTCCTACCCCTGAAGGCACAGCATTCCCCAGGACCCAGTCACACTTCATTGCAAAACCAGGGATACTTATTGTGGCAACTTTTGCCATGTTATTTTTTCTTTCTTTTTTTTTTTTTATTATACCTTAAGTTCTGGAATACATGTGCAGAATGTGCAGGTTTGTTACATGGGTATACATGTGCCATGGTGGTTTGCTGCACCCATCAACACATCGTCTACATTAGGTATTTCTCCTTATGCTATCCCTCCACCAGCCCCCCACCCCGCAACAGGCCCCAGTGTGTGATGTTCTCCTCCCTGTGTCCATGTGTTCTCACTGTTCAACTTCCACTTATGAGTGAGAACATGCGGTGTTTGGTTTTCCGTTCCTGTGTTAGTTTGCTGAGAATGATGGTTTCCAGCTTCATCCATGTCCCTGCAAAGGACATGAACTCATCCTTTTTTATGAATTTTTGCCATGTTTTGAACGTGGCAACTTCCCCAATATTTTTGCCACTTTCAATTTCTCCAGCTTTTCTCTGTCCCTGTGCAATCTTTAAAATAGAGTCCACTAGCTCTTTGTAAAAAAATAAAATAAAAAAATAAACAGAAAGCTAATGTTCTAGTCCCCTGTCTCCCACCTGCTAAGGATAGACACGGAGCCCAAATTTTGTTTCTCCTTAAGGCTTTGAAAGCTATTGCCCTGAAGCTACTCACTTGATAACAATGAGTTTGAAATAGTCATGCCTCTACAAACCATCTCTGTTGAGGTTGAACACTAGGCTTTCTGAGTGCTTTCTCCTTGTGAATTTGATCCAGCAGGGCAATGTTTGTATTTTTGTGTTCTTTTAGATGACTAAGCAACAGGCTGGTTTATTGAATAATGATGGGAAATGTGGTGTATAGAAAGAATCTACATTCGGTGTCAAAGATCTAGACTTCAGTCTCCATTCTGTGTGATCTTGGGAAAGTCACTAAACCTTTCTGAGCCTCAGTCTCCCCATCTGGAAAGCAGAAATAATCATAACATCCGCTACACATGGTTGCTATGAGACTCAAATAAAATATGTCTATAATAAATTGTAAACCACGATATGAAGATAAGTGCATTCATTCATTCAACAAAAATGTATTTCTTAATGCATTTTTAGTAAATAAAGATCAACTCAACAAAAATTTTACCCTCCAAGAGTACACAGGCTAGAAAAGAATACTGGATTAAATTATAATGTGAAAAATTCCTGAGTAGTCATCTATGTACTGTGGAGTCAGGAATGTACCCTAAACCTCAAATGTGCACAATTAAAACGCCTATCCTCTAAAAACAATTTTTTAATCCTGATCTTCTTTCCCTAGTTCCTTCACCGTGGGGAGCAGATAACTCAGGACAAAATCCTTTTCTCTCGGTCTTACTGAGCCATTTAGGAGAAATCAGGGCTGAGAGAAAAAGAAATTTTCCACTGAGCTTCCTCAGAGATTCCCATCAGAGCCTGAGGATGGAAAACAGAGAAGGGTCCCATTACATCTAGCCCTCCCGAGGGAAAGCTGCTGTTTGCATTTCCTGCCTACAGCTCTCGGGACTGCAAATAAATCAGTGGTTTATTCAAACCAGTAGCTGGAGAGTAGATTATGGCTGGCGGCCCTGAGTGCAGCTGAGACCATGAGTGATGGAAATGCTTGGCAGGGAGGGAGTGGCAATGTGACCTGCGGAAAACACCAAGACCCCATAGGCCCGTTCTTCCCTCATCTCACTGCTCAGTGGAATAGCACCTGACACTCACACTCTACTCATAAGAGTTAACTAAGATTTGTTAAGATTTATGTGAGATTTATCTTAACATAATAAAAATTAAATATCTCCAAATACTACAAGAAATGGTCTTAACCTCTTTGTTATCTAATCAAATTGTTAAGTGATTCAAACACCTTTGCCTAATATTTTATCTTTCATGAGTTATTTCACTAAGTTTTGTGTCTATATTCTAATTTACGTTTTTGGCACTGATGGCATTAATTGTACCCAATGGCAGAATTTTTTTTTGAAGGCTAAATAACTAAAAAACATGCCTAGTAAGTCCTGATCTGAATAAGTTAATAATATTTTAAAAAGTCAAACCTGTGGCCTGAGTCTCCATTGCCTCTGATCCCCTTAAGGGTGGGGCACTGTTGGCCACTCTCTCTGTTTTAAAGATCTTCACCCTTGACTTCCATATCTATTCAGCTGCCTGAGTTTTCTTCTATTTCCTTATCCACCAAGTACCCTTCAAACATACAACTACTCACAATTTGTACCCTTTATCTATTGCCACCACTAAGGTGACCAACCACTCAGATTTTATAAACTGAAAGTTCCACAACCCAGAAAACCTCTCTGTCCTGGATAACCTGGGACAGTTGGTCACCCTAAGCTCCACCCAAATGACTGAGGCTAAATTCAGGTAACAAGTATTACCTTTCAACTCAGCTATGATATTCACACCAATTCCATAACTTTGTGAACAAGAAACCTATACACATTCACTTGAACCGCACATACACACACACACACTCTTATACTCTTTCACACACACCTCATGCACACACTCACATATACTCCCATTCACACACACCACATACATTCTCACACACCACATACATTCACACACACACCCCACACACTCACATTCACACACACCAACACACACATTCACACACACCAACACACTCACATTCACACACACACCAACACACACATTCACACACATCACACACTCACATTCACACACACCAACACACACATTCACACACACCACACTCACATTCACACACAACACACACATTCACACCCACCAACACACACATTCATTCACACACACCAACACACACTCACATTCACACACACCAACACACACATTCACATACACACACCAACACACACTCACATTCACACACACACCAACACACATTCACATACACACACCAACACACTCACATTCACACACACCATACACACGCACCAACACACATTCACACACACCACCACACACATTCACACACACACCAACATACACTCACATTCACACACACCAACACACACATTCATACACACCACACTCACATTCACACACACCACCCCACACTCACATTCACACAAACACCACCACACACCATCTCACACGCACACCACCACACACATTCACACACACCACACATTGACAAACACAACACATATTCACACACACACCACCACACACATTCACATTCACACACACACACCAACACACACTCACATTCACACACACCACACACATTCACACACCACACATTCACACACCACACATTCACACACACCAACACACTCACACACACACCACACACATTCACACACACACACACACCACCACACACATTCACACACACACCCCACCTGCTTAAAATCCTCCAAAGGCTTCTCATTATGCAAAAACCTTCTGACTGGCCTGCAAAGCCCTTCACACTGCATCTCAGGACTACCTTTTCTGGCAGCTCTTGATGCTTCATTCTATTCACTTCACTACGTACAATCACTGAAAGGGCCTGATGGTTAGGTTCTACTTACAATTTTAATTTTGGAAAATTTAAAACATATACAAAAGCAGGTAATGGTACATCCCCTATGTAACCACTACTCAACCATTAACATAGTGCCAGTACACACTGTTGAAGGCTTTTGATGAGGTTTATTATATAATTCAAATATTTCTAGTACCTTTAGCCTAAAAGATTTTGTGGGTTCTTTTCATTCCAGTTAAATTTTTAGTACCTATTAAAATTAATTGGGTTTCAAGATTCATCTTTGAAATCCACACTATCTGAAATATACCAAAATATACATCATTCTTCTGGTATGTGTTTCCTCTAATTCAACTTTTTTCCCTTCTATTTTTAATTGACATGTAATAATAGAACATATCTAAGAGTGGTATTTCTATACATGTATACAATGTGTAATTATCAAATTAGGGTAATTAGCATATCCATCAACTCAAAAGTGTATCATTTCTTTATGTTGGAAACATTAAAAGGCTCTCTTCTAGCTTTCGAAAATATGCAGTTACTGTTAACTATATTCACCCAATGCTATAAAGCACTAGAACTTATTCCTATCTAGCTGTGATTCATCTGTTAGCCAACCTCTCCTAATCCTCTCCCCTAACCCTTCCTAGCCTCTAATAAACACAATTCTACTCTACTTTTATTAACTCAACATTTTTAGCTCCTACATATGAGTGAAAATATGCAGTATTTCTTTTCATTCCTGACTTATTTCACTTAACATAATGATCTCCAAGCTCATTCGTATTGCTCCAAATGACAGGATTTCATTCTTTTTTGTGGATTCATAGTATTCCATTGTGTATATATACCAAATTTTGTTTATCCACTTACCTGTCGATGAACATTTAGGTTGATTCCATATCTTGACTATTGTGAATAGTGCCGCAATAAACAATGAGGATGCAGATATGTCTTCAATATATTACTTTTCCTTGGATAAATACTCAGTAGTGGGATTGCTGCATCATATAATAGCTTTATTTTTGGCTTTTTGAGAAACCTCCATACTGTTTTCCATAATGGCTGTACTAATTCAAATTCCCACAGTGTATTAGAGCTCCTGCTTCTCCATGTTCTCACAAGCATTTATTACTTTTTGTCTTTTTGAAAATAGCTTGTTCTAATTGGGATGAGATGATATCTCATTGTGGTTTTAATTGGCACTACCCTGATGATTAGTGATGTTGAGCATTTCTTCATATACTTGCTGGTCATTTGTATGTCTTTTCTGAGAACTGTCTATTCAGATTCTTTGCCCACTTTTTGATGAGATTGTTAAGGTCTTTTGCTATTGAGTTGTTTGGGTTCCTTGTAGACTCTGGATATTAGTACACTACCAAATGTATAGCTTGCAGATATCTTCTCTCATTCTATAGGTTGTCTGCTCTCTTGATTGCTTCCTTTATCATGTAGAAGCTTTTTAGTTTAGTATGGTCCTATTTGTCTATTTTTGGTTTTGTTGTCTGTATTTTAGAGCCGCAGGCATAAAATTTTTGCCTAGACCAATGTCCTGGAGTGTTTCCCCTATGTTTTTCTCTAGTAGTTTTATAATTCCAGGTCTTACATTTAAGTCTTTAATCCATTTGGAGTTGATTTTTGTATATGGAGAGAGATAGGGGTCTAATTTCATTCCTTTTCATATGAATGTCCAGTTTTCCCAGCATCATTTATCAAACAGGGTGTTATTTCCCCAGTGTTTGTGCTTGACACCTTTGCCAAAAATCAGTTGACTCTAAATATTTAACACATGGATTTGTTTCTGGGTTCTTTATTCTGTTCCATTGGTCTCTGTGTTCGTTTTTATACCAATACCATGCTGATTTGATTATTATAACTTTGTAGAATAATTTAAAGTCAGATAGTGTGATGCTTTCAGTTATGTTCTTTTTGCTCAGGATTGCTTTGGTTATTCAGGGTCTTTTGTGGTTCCATACAAATTTTAGCATTCCTTTTTCTATTTCTGTGAGGATTGTCATTGGTATTTTAGTAGGGATTAAAATGAACCTGTAGATCACTTTGGGTAGGATGGTCATTTTAACAATATTAATTCTTCTAATCCATGAGCATGGAATATCTTTCTATTGGTTTGTGGCCCTTTTCAATTTCTTTCATTAGTGTTTTGTGGTTCTTATTGTATAGATATTTCACCTCCTTGGAAAAATTTATTCCTATGTACTTTTTTTGTAGTTATTGTAAATGAGAATGTTTTCCACATTTCTTTTTTAATGAGCTGGTGATTGGCGTATAGAAACACTACTGATTTTTATATGTTGATTTTGTGTCCTGAAACTTTACTGAATTTGTTTATCAGTATTTCTTCTAACAGTTTTTTTGGTGAAGTCTTTAGGGTTTTCTGTGTATAAGATCATGTCATCTTTAAAAAAAGAAAAAAAAAGGGAGGGGACAATTTTACATCCTCTTTTCCAGTTTGGACACCTTCCATATTTCTTTCTCTTGCCCAATTCTAGTACTATGTTGAAGAAGAGTGGTGAGAGTGGGCATCCTTCTCTTGTTCTGGTTCTTTGAGGAAAAGTTTTCAGCATTTCCTCATTCAGTAGGATGTTAGCTTTGGGTTTGTCATATATGGCCTTTATTGTGTTGAGGTATGTTCCTTCTATATATAATTCAGGTATGTTCCTTCAATTCCTAAGCTCTCAAGTCCCTATGTTGAGAGTTTTCATTATGAATGGAGGTTTAATTTTATCAAATGCTTTTTCTGCATCTGTTGAGATGATCATATTGCATTTGTCTCTCATTCTTTTGATGTGATGTATCACATTTATTAACTTGCCTCTGTTGACACATTCTTGCATCCCTGGGAAAGCCCACTTCATCATGGTATACTATCTTTTTGATGTGCTGTTGGATTCAGTTCCCTAATATTTTGTTGAGAACTTTTGCATCTATGTTCATCAAGGATATTGCCTGTTGTTTTCTCCTTTTTTGTTGTGCCTTTGTCCGGCTTTGGTATCGGGATAATGCTGGCCTATTAGAATGAGTTAGGAAAAATTCCCTCTTCTTCAATTTTTCAAAATAGATTGAGAAAAGTTGATGTCAGTTCTTCTTTAAAATTTTAGGAAAATTCACCAGTAAAGCCATTCTGCCCTGGGCTTTTCTTTGTTGGGGGACTTTTTATTACACAATATGTGACTGTATTAGTCCATTTTCATACTGCTATGAAGAAATACCCAAGACTCGATAATTTATAAAGAAAAAGAGGTTTGAGCCGGGCATGGTGGCTCACGCCTGTAATTCCAGCACTTTGGGAGGCTGAGGCAGGAGGATCACCTGAGGTCAGGAGTTCAAGACCAGCCTGGCCAACGTGGTGAAATCCCATCTCTTCTAAAAATACAAAAATTAGCCAGGGGTGGTGGCGGGTGCCTGTAATCCCAGCTACTCAAGAGGCTGAGGCAGGAGAATCGCTTGAACCCAGGAGGCAGAGGTTGCAGGGAGCTCAGGTCACACCCAGCCTGAGTGACAAAGCAAGACTCCATCTCAAAAAAAAAGAGGTTTGATTAAGTCTTCTTACATATTATCAAACAATACATGACTGCATTAGTCCATTTTCATATTGCTATGAAGAAATACCTGAGACTGGGTAATTTATAAAGAAAAAGAGGTTTGATTAAATCTCATTACTCATTATTAGTCTGTCCAGGTGTTCTATTTCTTCCTGGTTCAATCTTTGTAGGTTATATGTGTCCTGGAATTTATCTATTTTCTTATTTCCTCTAGGTTTCTCAGTCTGTTGATGTATTGTTGTTTATAATAATTTCTAATGATCTTTTTTCATTTCTGTGGTATCAGTTGTAATGTCTCCTTTTTTGTTTCTGATTTTATTTCTTCCCTCTTTTTTCTTAGTCCAGCTAGTGATTCGTTGACTTTATCTTTTCAAAAAGACAAGCTTCATTTTGTTAATCTTTTGTATTTTTGTCTCTATTTTATTTAGTTTTATTCTGACCTGTATTATTTCTTTCCTTCTACTAATTTTAAGTTTGGGTCATTCTTGCTTCTCTACTTCCATGAGATACATTTTGAGGTTGTTTATTCAAACTCTTTCTACTTTTTTGATGTTGGCATTTACTGCTATAAAGTTCTCTCTTAGTAATATTTTTGCTGTATCCCATAGGTTTTGGTATGTTTTGTTTCTATTCTCATTGTTTCAAAAAAAATTTACTTCCTTCTTATTGCTTCATAGATCCACGTTTGTTTGAGTGGACATTGCTTACTTTCCATGTATTTATACAGTTTCTGAAGTTCCTCTTGTTGTTTTAGAGTTTTGTTTCATTGTAGCCTTAGAAGATACTCAATACTATTTTGATTTGTTAAAATTTCTTGAGATTTGTTTTGTGGCATAACATACAGTATATCCCAGAGAATGTTTCATGTGCTGATGAAAATTATTTTCTGCTGCTGTTGGATGAAACATTCTGTCAATGTCTATTAGGTCTATTTGGTCTACAGAACAGTTTAAGTCCAATGTTTCTTGTTGATTTTGTCTAGAGAATCTGTCCAAAGCTGAAAGTGGTCTGCTGAAGTTCTTACCTATTATTGTATTGATACCTATCTCTCTTTCTTTAGCTCTAACAACATTTGCTTTATATATCTGGGTGCTCCAGTGTGCAGTGCATATATATTTACAATTGTATGTCCTCTTGCTGAATTGGTTCCTTTATCATTTTATAATGACTTTCTTTGTCTCTTTTATGTTTTTGACTTTGGTGATTTTCTGTACTGATAATGTCTGATTCCTTTCTTTCTCTCATTCATGTATCTGATCTACCAGTGAGTTTTATACTTTTGTGTATTTTCAAGATGGTAGTTATTGTCCTTTCACTCCCAGATGTAGGACTCCTTTAAGGCAAGTCTAGTGGTGATAAATTCTCTTGGTTTTTGCTTGTCAGAGAAAGACTTTACTTCTCCTTCATTAGTGAAGGATAGCTTTGCTGGGCATAGTATTTCTGGGTAGCCATTTGGTTTTTTGTTTTGTTTTGTTTTCTTTCAGCACTTTGAATATGTCATCCCATTCTCTCCTGGCCTGTAAAGCTTCTGCTGAAAAAATCTGCTGTTAGTCTGATGGCGATTCCCTTATATGTGACTTGACACTTTTCTCTTGCTGTTTTTAGAATTCTCTCTTTGTCTCTGCCTTTTGACAGTTTAACCAAAATGTGCCTTGGAGAGGACCTTTTTGGGTTGAATCTATTTGGGAATGTTTGACCTTCCTTTATCTGGATGTCTGTATCTCTCACATGACTTAGGAAGTTTTCAACTATTCTTTTATTAAATACATTTTCTGTGCCTTTTCCCATGTCTTCTGAAACTCTCAAAATGCAAATATTTGTTCACTTAATGGTGTCCCATATGTCACGTAGGTTTTCTTCATTCCTTTTATTCTTTTTTTGTACTTTATATCTTTTTGTCTGACCGGGCTATTTCAAAATATTTGTCTTCAAGTTCAGAAATTCTTCTGCTTGATCTAGTCTATTGCTGAAGCTCTCAACAGTACTTTTATTTTATTCATTGAATTCTTCAGTTTTGAAATTTCTATTTGGCTTTTTTATTATAGCTATTCCTTTTCAAATTTCTCATTCAGGTCATTAATTGTTTCCTTATTTCTTTGTATTCCCTATTTGTGTTCTCTTGTATCTTGCTGAGTTTCCTAAAGATCATTATTTTGAATTCGTTTTTGGACATTTCATAGATTTCCTTTTCTGTGGGGTCTGTTATTGGAGAATTATTGTGTTCCTTTGGAGGCATCATGTTTCTTTGCTTTTTCATGTTTCTTGTGTCCTTATGTTGATATCTGTGCATCTGGCACAACAGTCACTTCTTCTAATTTAATTAAATAGCTTTAATAAGGAAATATTTTTTCCTGTGGATTTATCTGTAGTCTCAGTTGGGTAGATTGCTTTGGCTTTATTTCTGAGTGAGTGCAATAGTGCAGTTTCCATATGATTTATTTGGCTGTAGTCAACATCACTGGTGTCTACCAGTTCCTCATTTACTTAGACTGTAGTTGTTTGTGGAGGCTGTGGAAAAATTTTGCTGGAAATGAGGACATTGGGCAGGCCAGTCTTTGGTTCCCTGGTAGGCACATGCAGGTATGTGGCAGCCCCACTACTTGAAGGGGCAGGTTTTCTGGCAGTGGTAGTGGTGGGCACTGGGTGGGTTGATCCTCAGGCTCTTGGGCACCATGCATAGGCACTAGTGGTAGCAGCAGTGGGTCCAGGCATTCTGATTTTGGGGCCCCTGAGTGGTGCATGTGGGTACACAGCACCTCTACTGCTGGAGGGGTTGGGGACCACCAGTGACAGTGGCAGCCCCAGGTAGGTAGGCCTCAGTTTCTAGAGAGCATATGCTTTGGCTCCCTGTGTTTTGAGACGGCCTTCCTGGTGTGCTAGACTGCTTGATATGCCTGTTCCTAAGAGTGTAAGGTGCTGCATGGGCTGGGGTGGCAGGGATGCAGTTGCACTGCTGGGTCCAGGTGGTGTTGTGACATTGCAGCCTTCTGAGTGTATGTTGGGGGATATTGGTGGAGCCCAAGGGCTATGGAGACGCAAGACCTATTGGGTCCCAGGCCAGGATGCAGTCTGACGGTAACTCTGCTTCCAAGATGGTGCTGTACTGTGGTAGTTTGGGTCTCATGCATAAAACCCAGTGTAAATGCCCTCTCTGGATGCAGTCTACTGGTAACTCTGCTTCCAAAATGGTGCTCTGCTGTGGCAGTTTCAGTCTCATGGGTAAAACCCAGTGTAAATGCCCTCTCTGGAACAATGTAGATAGATGGACCCCAGGAAGCTCCCTACACTAGGCCTGGCTCTCCTGTAGTCAAAACTGCAAGTGTCTGTGATGAGAATATAAACTACTATGCATCTCTTGCTTAGCTTTTCCTCAAAATGGTGAGTCCTTCTTGGCTCTAAGCCAATCGCAGCCAGCTGCTTCACTTGCCTCTCTATGCTGCCATGTTGAGTTTCTATGCTTGAGAGAGTCTTTGTCACTTCCTTGCTGAATTTCAGTGTTCTCACTTAGATGCTCTATTCAACATGTGATTATCATCTATTTATTGTTTTGGTCCTTCTTTGTGGAAGAGGCAAGTGCCAGGACTTCTGAGCAACCATTTGATGACATCTCTTTGCATTGGCTTTATTACCAAGAAGAAAGAAACTAATGTTATTTTAAATATATATATGTTTTCCTGAAATGTACATTCCAGGAATGTTCTGACTCAGAGGACAACAGCAGCTGCTGGGTGTTTGCTGATTCCTGTGCTTATCTACTCTGATTTGCTTTGATGATGTCTTAATCATGTATCATTTGGATGCAAGAAATAAAAATCAACTCAAAGAAGCAAAAGTAAAAGAGAGAATTATTAAAATGATTTAAGGGCTCTCATGGAACCCCATTCAGGCATTTGCAAGAAATATGACTGAGCATCATGAAAACTAAAAAACCATGAGGGAGTCTCCCTCTCTCTTCTCCTCTTTCATTTCTCTTCTCTCCTTCCTTCTCTCTTCTTTCCATCAATTTTCTCACTAAATAGCTCTGACCTCTGCATCTCTCTGTACATCTGTTCTGGACTCCTCTCTTCAAACCGCCTTCCACTGGAGGGACGCTCATTAGTCTATGGCCCCTTATAATTCCAGTTTGCCATAGCCCCAACACTGAACAATCTTGCAGCTCCAGTATACAATACTACGTTTCCTGTGTCTTTAAATTCTCAGAGTATAATATAGCACTGCTTGAGTTAGGGATTCATCCATAAATTATATCCAGGAGACCACATTATAATTTGTTGCACCTATTCCTTCAGGAGGGGCTATAGAGGCATGTCCAAAAAAAAAGTGGGGTGGGGGTGAAGAGGACCACAAGCTGGAATTCCTAACATGTCTTTTTTACCACAGATTATGTGAAGAAAAAAACCTCAGATGTGTTCTTCTTACACATCGTAACATAATGTAGGTTGTTAGTGACCATACTTACATATTGTAATATCTCTTCAAGCTGTTGTTTAATGAATGTAGTCCACAAGAATAAAGGTCTCCTCCCAACTGAGAGAGAGAGAGAGAATATGTGTGTGTGTGTGTGTGTGTGTGTGTGTGTGTATCACTCCAAGCATTTAGATAAGGGGAAGAAGTGAAGTTGTAGCAATTTTGTGTCATTTCCCCTAAATTTCATGGCCATTCTCAGTGTCTGATTTGATCCCCTGCAAATTGGCATAGATGTATTTGTTCTCTGAATTTTAGAGATCAAATACAGAATAAATAAAACAGGACCTACTTAAAATTTCTTGAAATAGGCAATGCAATTTTGCCCATCTCAAGAAATTTTAAGTAGGTCCTGTTTTATTTAGCTTCAGTTCCTCTAAAAAAATAGTTCTGCTTGTTTTTTCTGACTCATCTGTTTCTTTGCCATTTTTAATATGCACTTTGCAACTGAGCCTCTGTAACCATTTTGTTTTCTTTCCTCATAAAGCAGTTGAGCAACTGCATACTCTTTGGTAAGTCTCTCTTCATTTTGGGAAGTTCTACATTAGTCATAAAATACCTATTTCTGATCTAGTACAAAATATCAGAAGAAAAGTCTTAAGGTCTCTTTATTTTATTTTTTACAAAAACCAGGTTTTCAGTACTTTCCAAATCTCTTTTCCAGCTTTCCAAAAAAAAAAAAAAAAAAAAGCTTATGAGTATGTCTCTTATTTCTTAGTCCTTCTCACCCTGCAAACCAGCTCTCTCTAGGAGGTGGAGCGGGGAGAAAAACAAAGCCCAGATGTGTAGAATTTTCTGGTTTTCATAGTGTAAATACTCCCACCATGACAGAATTGAAACTACCAGTGTGATGTCACTGAATGTGGCTTTGGAAAGAATGCACACCATCCACTCTCTCTAGCTGGTAGGAGACAATCCTAGCATACCGCCCTCTTTTTCTTGCAGTCATAATAGCAAATAGTTTGAGTATATTGATTCTCGAGTCACACAGTCCAGATTTCAAAACAGTATTAGCTCTATGACTTTGGCAAACTGCTTAACTCCTCTAAGTTTCAATTTCATCATCTTTAAAATGGGGGGGTAATAATAAGCTATGTTTCACGGTGTTACTGTTGTAATGTGTAAAATTCTTAGAATAGTGGGTAGCCTATAGTAAGTACCCTAAGGGTGTCCTATTACTCAGGACTAGAGCTCCAGTGGTGCTATGTAGACTTAGAGCCACTAGATGGCGGGCTCCTCATTTCTGCAGCACAAACCTTTTCCGCTGCGCTATTTGCAACTTAACATTCAACAAACTGCTAATTCGATTATATGAATTCACTGACAGCATTTTTTCTACTGCCATCTCCTAGTTTAAGCTACATATTTGACCTTGAAATTCCACTGGGAATCCAGCTACTGGCCCTCACGTGCAGCCACTTCTAAAGCTCTATGCAGGAGTTATTCTCAATCAGGACTTGCTAATCTTAGTGAGTTATTGTAAGAATTAAAACCAAAGCCACAGTTGTCCCTGTTACAGAAGGGAGTCAATTCCCTGGCCTTTCTCTCCACCTCTGTCTTTTCTCACTCAAAAGAAGACAAGATGGCCTCAAATCTGACTTCCATCATTACATAATTTATTCTCCTTCCCAGTCACTAAAGAGATCATAAATTCAACAATAGTTCAGTTCTATAAATATTTATTGAGCATGTGAGATACTATGCTACGAAGTAAAGATATAAAGGTAAATAAAAGTCATAAAGAAGCAAGGAATTTATCTACCAACAAATCTACTAGATCTTTCCAGAAATAATATATTAATTTTTTGATGAACCAAGCAAGTTACTGTAAAACTTAGAGGAATAAGGGTTCTTGAATAACGAATATCTCTATGAGATCTAAAGACATACTAAGTTATAGGTAGACTAATACAACAAAAAAATGAGCACAAAAACAGACTTATTTGTCCAGGGGAACTTGAGATATGATAAAAGTGAACCACAAATAAGTGGGTAAAGGATAGATTATTTATTAGATGGTATTAGATATGAGGCTTACTATTTGGAGAAAAGTAAAGCCGAATACCTTCCTTTTACTTCCTACACAGGTAAACCCAAGTGGATAAGAAATCTAAATGCAGAAGGTTAAGGTATAAATCTAATGGAAGAAAACATAGAATAACTTTGTGAGCAAAGGGTAAAGAATGGCTAATTAAACAAGGTCCTAAAAGCTCAAATCATAAGGCAAAAATTGATTGGACTTCCATTCAACGAAAGGCACAGGTGAGAGACAGATTGACAACATCTAAAATCTACAAGAAACCCCTAGCTGGACTATGCAAGGATAATTGGTGCACATACAAACACACAAACATGAATGGGCAGAGGAAACCCAAATAGTCAGCACATAGAAGAGGTGCTCATGCTTACTTGTAACCAGAAATATGTAAATTAAAAGCAACAACAGGGTACCATTTTGCAGGCATTAGAATAGCCACAAATTACCAAGTGTTGGAGAGGATGTGAAGAAAGGAAAACCCTGGTGCTACTGGCAGGAGTGTCAAATTGTACGTTTGAACGTGGAGAGCAATCCTTCAACACTTGGTGAAATAAAATATTCACATATCCTTTGACTCAGAGAACCACTCTTGAGTACACTCCCAAGAGAAATTCTAGCACAGGTTCATGAAAGGCTATAAATAAAGATGTTTCTTGCATCATTTTTGTGGAGGTAGCAAGTTGAAGGTGCCCTCATTAAGGAGAATGGACCAGTAAAGTGTGATGGGTGGCCAGGATAGAATATTATGCCGCAGTCAGAAGCAGTGAACTCGATGTGCCAACAGCGACATAGAGGGCGTGTCTAGAGTGAAAACTATGAGAAGCAGAGCTGTGTGGCCCAATGCCATTTATGTTTATGAAAAACATCTCACACACAAAATGACACTATACGTTGTAGGAAGTGATATTCACGTCCAAGGACCTCATCAACCGGAACAGCGCATGTGTCTGAAAGAGCCGTATGGTTTATGGAGCCTGACCAGTTGGGTTCAAATCCTGGCTCTCCCACACACTTACTCTGTCCGTTTGAGCAAGTCTCTTAACTTCTCTGTAACGTTTCTTTGTCTGAAAAAAATGGGAAATAGAAATAGTAAGACTCTATGGGGGTTACTGTGAGGAATAACTGAGTTAATATAAAGTGCTTAAACAATGCCTGGCAGTAAATGTTCACTGTTATTCCTATTATTATTGTCAATAATAATGTGAATGGGGAATCAAGAGTGAAGAGAAAAATTAGATTTTTTTAAAAAAAATGAAGGTGGGGGCCGGGCCTGGTGGCTCATGCCTGTAATCCCAGCACTTTGGGAGGCTCAGGCGGGCGGATCACCTGAGGTCAGGAGTTCGAGACCAGCCTGGCCAACATGGTGAAACCCTGTCTCTACTAAAAATACAAAAATTAGCTGGACATGGTGGCAGATGCCTGTAATCCCAGCTACTCAGGAGAGTAGAAGGCAGGAGAATTGCTTAAACCCGGGAGACAGAGGTTGCAGTGAGCTGCGATCACGCCATTGTACTCCAGCCTGGACGACAGAGTGAGACTCCATCCAAAAGCAAAAAAAAAAAAAAAAAACGAAGGAGGGACTTCGTGTACAATAGTGAGCTATAAATTAAAGTTGATGATTAACTCAAGTCTCTCCGAATCCGAGGTTAAAAACACACACATGCGTTTTCCTCCCTGCAGAAACAGAGCATGGTGGAGGATACTGATGACTTCAACGTAATATGGTAAGGTCCATGATAAGAGAAAACACAGATGGCATGAGAATATAAAAGTGGAACACTTAGCCTGGAAGCTCACAAAGGAATTAGGGAGAATAGGAGTCTTGGCAGGCAGTATGGTTTAGGGCTTAAGATTTGGAAGCTGGGTTAAGATCGCAGTTCTGCCTTTTACTAGTTTACATGATTTTTGGCAAGTTACATTCCCAGAATAATAGCACCTAGATAGAAAATATCCAGGCCCTAAGAATGTATTACCAGAACTCAAAGACCCCAGAGGAATCTTGCTGTCGCCTTAAGTATGCTTGAGTCTTTGCTCTAGGTAGTTCCTATCTCTTCAAGAACAATCCTTCCTGCATATCATCAATCATGTGTATGTTAACCTAAAAGCCCCACAGTGCCTCTCCTTACTAGTTTGCTCCGAACATGTTAGACAGTGGGCTGCCTCATTCTTTTGTAATCCTTGGCAAAGTGAAGATGCAGAGAGTGTTGTGATCACATCAAATCTTGAGAGCAGTAGTAGGTGATTGCTGTGGTGACCTTTAACATCAGAAAGAAGCAATTGCCAGCCAGAGGTGAAGGGTCCTCTGAGCAATTGGCTCGGGAGCTCCTGACAGGCAGCCCATGCATTGTCACTGACACGTGCTTTGTAGCCTACCAGCTGCTGTATTAAAAAGAAATCCACCAGCCACACAGACTAAGTCAGTAGCTAGAATGTTATTTTGAAGGTAGTTATTGGTCCAGGAAAGAGGACTTTGTCACTGGAGAGTTTAAAAATCTCATTTTCAAAACACTCCCTAGGTTTGTTCATGTTTCTCACAGAAAGGACGTGAAAATGAAAATACTTGAGTGGCCTGAGATTTGCCTAGGGAATCATCTTAGAAGCAAAGAAGGAAAAGAACATCACGGAAATTCCCGCAGGCATAATTCCATGGACAGAACTAGACAACGTATTCTCTAGCAGTTTTGAAACCAAGATCAGGTAAGGGAAAGAAGGCAAGCTTTATTTATTTATTATCTTTTTTTGAAACTGATGACAGTTTAAACAAAGGAAGTAGCCATCAAAGTTTAGTGTTAAGGTCACAGAGGTTCGTGGTGAATGGCATAAGTTCAATTCCTACTGCCACCATTCACAGGCTTTATGACACTGTAGAAGTTTCACCTTCAATAAAAGGGAAATGATGATGATAGTATCTACCTAAATAGCCACTTTGAAGAACAGTTTGTCCATTTCTTAAAAAGTTAAACATAGACTTACCATTAGACCTAGTAATTCCACTCCTAGGTATCTATCCAAAAGAACACACATGTCTATGCCAAGACTTGAATGCAAATATTTACAGCAGCACTATTCATAATGGACAACAACCTGAAACAATCCAAATGACCATCAACAATGTGTTACATCCATACAATGGAATACTATTCAGCAATAAAATGTTTAAAACTATAAATACATGCTACAGCATAGATGAACTTCAAGAACATTATGCTAAGTAGAAAAAAGTCAGATGCAAAAAAAAAAACTACGTATTGCATGATTCCATTTATATGAAATTTCCAGAAAGGACAAATCTATAAAGACAAAAAGAAGATCCGTGGTTTCTTAGGGGGTGGGAGTGGGATTGAGTGCAGGTTCTCAACCAGGATTGACTACAAAGTAGCAAGCACCAAAGAAAAAAAGAAAAGACTTTGAGATGATGAAAACATTCTAAGGCTGAATTGTAGTGATGGTTGCACAACTGTATAAATATACTAAAAACTATTGAATGGTACACTTACAATGGGTGATCTTTATGGCAAATATATCAAGTTGCTAAAAAATGGTACTTACCTTGTAGGGTTGTTAAAAGGATTAAATTAGTTAATATTTATAAAGTACTTAGAAGAGTGACTGATGTAGTAAGCTACATGTGTGTTTGCCAAACAATAAAAATAAATGTGGCTGTGTGATTCATCGCAAGAGTAAATTACTAACAGTTCCTGTATGTTTTTCTACACCAACAGGAAGCAATTCTGAGTACTTAGGCAATGAAATTACTTCTTTTCTATAAAATACGTTTTTAAGATCACACTAAGCTTGAGGTTATTCCAGGAGAGATTGTAAATCTTGTCACATGACTTTGCCTTGCCTCTACCTGCCGTAGCTCCAGCCTCATCTCTCACCATTGCCCTCCTTCAAATCCTTCAGCTAAAGAGAATTTCTCTCAGTTCCTCAAGACTCCAGACAATGGGCTTTTCCATAATGTTGCTGGCTCTGTATGGAATATCTATCTGCTCTTCCTCTCTGCTATTGGCTGAATGTGTGTGTCCCCACAAAACTCATAGGTTAGAATCCTAACCCCCAAGGTGATGGTATTAGGAAGTGGGGGCTTTGGAAAATGATTAGGTCATGAGGGTGGAGCCCTCATAAATCGGGTGGGTGGCCTTATGAAAGGGACCCAGAGAGTTCCCTGTCCTTTCTACCACATGAGGACACAGGGAGGAGATGGCCATTTGTGAGCCAGAAAGTGAGCCCTCATCAGACACCATATCTGCCAGCTCCTTGATCTTGGACTTCCCAGCCTCCAGACCTACCAGAAATAAATGTCTGCTGTTTATAAGCTATGCAGTCTATTGTATTCTATAATTGCAACCCTGACTACAGTGCTATCCACGGTCTACTTACTTCCTACCTACAGTTCAAGTCTTCATTTAGGGTTACTTCCTCTGAGAAGCATTCCCTGATTCTTTCTCAACATCCTTAACACTCCTTCCCTCAACACACACACACACACGCACACACAAAACACACTTTGTATTGAATTTGCCAATTGATGTTTTGCCTTTTGACTCCCACATCAGATGGAGTGCTTATAACCCCAAGCACTCAGAACAGTGCATGAGGCAGAGGAGACACTCAATAGACACCAGTGCAGGTTTGCAACCAGGGTGATTTTGATGCCACCAGGAAACACTTGGCAATTTTGTCACCTTAAAAGTTCCCTCATGCCAATGTTCAGTCAATCCCCACTCTCACTGCCAGCCTTAGGAGAAACCACTGATTTGCTTCCTGTCTATTCTGAAAATGTTATGCAAATGAAATTGTATAACACATAGTACTTTGCATCCATCTTCTTTCATTTAGCATAATATTTGGTGGTCACACCTGGGCACCTAGTGGCATCCAGTGGGTAGAGGCCAGAAATGTTACAAAAACATTTTTACAATAAACACAACAGCCCCCACAACCAATAATTATCCATTCCAATGTGTCAATATGCTGAGGTTAAGAAATCCTGCACTAGTGAAATGAATAAACGTGTGAATTAATGAACAAATGAATCCTCTTTTCTGACATGAATTTAAGGATTGTTCTCACTATCCTTTCAAATTCTTTTAAAAAAAGAAGAGTCTCTGAAAATATTTCCATATCCCTTCCCTTCCCACATTTCAACTTTGTTTCTCTAACAACTGTGTTTTCAAAGAACGGCTCAGAATGGGAGAAATACCAGGATTATTGCACTGGGGACACCGATGTTCTGCACAGGCTCCCTTAGACATAAACCCAAGCAGGTGAGGTGCTGCCAGCAGCCTTCAGCTGTCAGCCCTGAGCTGAAGAGTCACCTCAGCCAAGGTCAGGGCCCCTTCCCAGGGCAGCGCATAACCTGAGACTAGCTCATAAGGGGATGTAAAGTCCCAGCCAACTCACCGGAACTCAGTACAATCTCAGAATTCCTTGTAGAACTGACAGGGTCCTTTGCTGAGACAGCATCACAGCACCACAGCCAACCTTTCCCTCTGCCTGACTCTCTCATTTTCTTCCCTTCTCTTCCCATCCCATCACTTCCTCTCCACAGGTGTTGATCATAAAATCAATCCCTGATAAAGCTCCTCCACTGTAATCTTCAGGAGGCTGCCTCCCAAATGTGACAATGTGAAACAATGACTCTGGCTTCTCAAGTTTATATTGGAGCACAAAAACTTTTAATGTACAAAAATATATATTTATAAGATAATCTATCATGACAGACACCAGATCAGTGGGGATGGAGGGCAGGGAGAAATGGAGGAAGGGATTGCAAAGGGTCGTAAGAAAATTTGGAAGGAGGGTGACATAAATGTTCATTATCTTGATTGTGATGGCAAGTTAACAGGGATATACACATGTCAAAACTTACCAAGGCATATACTTTAAATATGTGCAGTTTATTATGTGTCAGTTAAACTTCAATAAAGCTGAAGAAAGAAAGAAGGAAGGAAAGAAGGAAGGAAAGAAAGAAAAAGAAAGAAAGAAAGAAAAAGAAAGAAAGAAAGAAAGAAAGAAAAAGAAAGAGAGAGAAAAGAAGAAGGAGGAAGGAGGGAGGGAGAGGGAGGGAGGAAGAGGGAGGGAGGAAGGAAGGAAGGAAGGAAGGAAAAGACATTAGAGTCTGAGAAATTAGGAGAAATTACACGATATGTAATGCAGCTATTTTTATTTTTTCATTTTCTTTTGTTTTTGTCCATCTGAATACATATTTTATAAGGATATAATTACAGTATATATTAGTTGTTCTCAGCTTCAATATTGTCACACTGATATGTCCCGATGAATCATGAGATGTTCTACCTAAACTTATTAATCATATTTAAAGTACCCCAGTTTGCTAAGGTTTATCTCTTTTAATATAGCATAGCACACCCAAGATTAGAATTATAATAATGTCAATTTCACTCTCTTACATTTGGTATGTTTTCCTAAGTGAGAAAGCTAGCACACAGAGTTTCATATAACCATTGATAAATCCTTAGGAAAATGTCAAGTGCTGAGAACCAGTAATATAAATACTCAGTACTCAGTGGTATCTTGGCAAATATTGTATCTTAACACTCTGTCACAGATGTTGCCATATGGCCTTCATAATTGACATTTTCCTTAAATCCAGGTAAAATATACAAATGGTAAAAGAAAATCACATAAATAATAACAGCCTCCTTCTAATTCCCTCCCACTTCTGCCAGTATAATTTCCTAAGGGCAACTTTCTTCCTTTCTTCATTGCTTTTTTTCCCTCCTTCCTCCCTTCATCTTTCCCTACACCCATTCCTCCCTCCTTCTTTCCTTCGTATCTGTGCTTCTTTCTGGGTAGATAATTTACTTACATGGGTCAAAAATTTAATGAGTTTTAAATGTCATATACAACAAAAACTCTCCCTCATACCCTGGTACTCACTTACCTATGTTTCCTCCTCAAAAGCAACAATTTTGTCAGTTCTTTGTCACTCCATTAAGCAATATCAGGAAGTATATACATGCATGTGTATTTCACACATTTACAGAATATTTCCAACTTTTAAGATAATAATATGCATCATTTTACATCTTGCTTTTTTCACTTATTAATATATGGAATATCATTAAATAGTAATAGAAAAGAGCTTCCAAATTCTTTTTAAAGATGCAAGATATTCTAAATATTGATGTATTGAATTACTCCCATAACAATGAACATTAGGTGCTTTCCAATCTGTTGCTATTACAAAAAGTGTTGTAATTTATAACTTCATAGGAAGGGAAGTTCATGCCCCCACATATTTGCAGAGCAGAGCATTTGGCTGCACCCAACTCTTGTGGTCAAGCAATGACCCTTCCCTGCTTCACAGCCCAACCTGAGGTTCTTCCAGGCCTGGGGAGGGAGGAAAGCTTGAAACTGTGCATATCTGTAGAGCATAGCCTCTGGCTTTGCCCATCCCAAGTGGGCAAGCAGTGACCTCAGAGACTCATCCAGCCCTAAGGCTAAGGCCCAGCCTGTAGCCCTGTCCAGCCAGATTCCAAACAGCATACCACTAACCTATGAAAAAGAGCCTGCAAATCTGCTCAATCAGACATGATTGCAGAGCCTAGCCACAAGTTCTACCTAAACACAAAGCCCAGCCAGTGCTCTTACTAGAGTACAGAGTACAGCCAGCAGCTCCAGCTGACCTTTGAGCTTAGGCAGCAGCTCAGCCCAACTAAAGAACCCAAGAGCAAGGTCTGCCTGCATAGGGTCACTACCAGCTGACCCGTTCAGAAACACAGGCCAGGCTAAATAGCGAAGCTCCATCCCCAGTGCAGAACACCAGCAAAAACCAGACAAGGTAGGTGATTCCTCAAATGTGCAGACACTGACACAAAGACACAGAATTACAAAAAAACAGAGAAATATGACACCACCAAAGAAATTAATAATGCTCCAATAATGGACCCTAAAAAAATGAAGAACTATAAAATTTCAAATAGCAGTACCACTCATTTAGGAAACAGACCCTAGATGACTGATAAAAACTTCAGAAAAAAATCCTCTTCAAGAAGCTCAGGGAACTACAAGAAAACATGAATAGAAAATTAAATAAAATTTAAAATACAATGCACAAACAAAACAAAAAGTTTGGCAAAGAAATAAAAACAATAAAAATAGAAATTTTAGAGAAAAAGAATATAATAAATGAGCTGAAAAATTCAATAAAACTCTTCAATGGCAGACTCAATCAAGCAGAAGAAGGAATCAGTGAGGTTGAAGATGGTACATTTGAAATTACTCAGGGAAGAAAGAAAAGAGAATAAAATGAAGACAGAAAGCCTATGGGAATTATAGGATATCATCAAGATAACTAAATTTACATAATAAAAGTGGCACTGGGAGGATCGCTTGAGGCAAGGAGTTCAAAACCAGCCTGGGCAACACAGCAAGATCTCCATCTCTACAAAAATAAAATTAGCCAGGCATGGTGGCACACATCTGTAGTCCCAGCTATTCCAGAAGCTGAGCTTGAGCCAAGGTGTTCGAGGTTATGGTGAGCTACGATCATGTCACTGCACTCCAGCCTGGATAACAGAGAGAGATCTTGCCTCAAATAAATAAATAAGTAAAAATAGAAGTGGCAGAAAGTGGAGAAAGAGAGAAAGTGCCAGAAAGCACTTTTTAAAAAATGGTTGAAAACTTCCCAAATCTAGGGAAAGATGTCAATACCCAGGTACAGGGAGCTCAGAGGTCTCCAACAAAATTCAACTCAAAGAGGTGTTCAACAAGACATATCATAATCAAACTGTCAAAATTAAAGACAGAAAGAACTCTGAAAGCAGAAAGAGATAAGGAAATATCACATCTTAAGGAATCTCAATGTGACTAGCAGTGGATGTCTCAGCAAAAACCCTGCAGATAAGGACAGAGTGGGATAATATACTCAAAGTGCTGAAGGAAAACAGTGCCAAACAAGAATATATCCAGAAGAAGTCCCTCTGAAATAAGGAAGAATAAAAACTTCACCAGACAAACAAAATTTAAGGGTGTTCATCATTACTAGTCCTGCCTAGTAATCATGCAGGAATTGCTAAAAAAGAGTTCTTTAAGCTGAAATAAAAGGTATTTAATTAATAACAAAGCATATGAAAATATAAAACTCAATGGGCATATTCAGGATAATCTACTACTCTAATGGTGGTGTATAAAGCAATTTTATCTCTACTATGAGGGTTAAAAGATAAAAGTATTAAAAACAACTATAGCTGCAATAAATCGTTAAGGGATACAAATTACAGAAAGACGTAAAATTTTATATCAATATTATAAGAGGTGGTTGGGGTAAAAGTGTAGAATTTTTGTATGTGAATAGAGTTAAGTTGTTATCTGTTTAAAATAGCCTATTATAAGTATAAGATGTTTCATGTAAGCCTCATGGTAACTACAAAGCAAAAACAAAAACCTATAGTAGTTGCACAAAACATAAAAAGAAATAATTTGAAGCATATCACTACAGGAAACCACCAAACCACAAAAAAAAATAGCAAGGCATGAAAAAAGAAAAATGACAAAAGAAAACAAGTTACAACATAGCAGTAGGAAGTCCACACCTATTAAATAATTACCTTAAATAAAAATGAATTAAATTATCCAATCAAAAGAAAGTAACTGAGTGGATTTAAAAAAAAATGTAGCCTACAAGAGGCTCACATTATTAGTAAAAACACACAAAGACTGAAAGCAAAGGGATGAAAAAAGATATTCCATGCAAATGGAAGCCAAAAGAGAGCAGTAGTAGCTATACTGATAGCAGACCTAATAGACTAAGTCAAAAACTGTAAAAAAAAAAAAAAAAAAAAAAAGACAAAGAAGGTCATTATACAATAATAGGGGGTTCAATTCATGAAGAGGACAAAACAAGTGTAAATACATATGCTCCCAACATTAGAACATCTAAATATAAAAAGCAACTATTAAATGATCTGAATGCAGGCTGGGTGTGGTGGCTCACGTCTATAATTCCAACACTTTGGGAGGCTGAGGCAGGAGGATTCCTTGAGCCCAGGAGTTTGAAACTAGCCTGGACAACATAGTGAGACCTCATCTCTACAAAACATAAACAAAATTAGCCAGGCATGGCAGTGCACATCTGTAGGCCCAGCTACTCAGGAGGTGGGAAGATCATTTGAGCCCAGAAGGTCGAGGCTGCAGTGAGCCAAGATCACACCATTGCACTCCAGCCTGGGTGACAAAACAAGACGCTATCTCAAATAAATAAATAAATAATCTGAAGGGAAAGATAGACTGCAATATAATAATAGTAGGAAACTTCAACACTCCATTTTGAACAATGGACAGATCATCTAGACAGAAAATCAGTAAGATAACATTGGCTTTGAATTACAAGTTAGGCTAAATGGAACTAATGCACATATACAAAACATTTCATCCAACAGCAACAAAATATACATTCTTCTCAAGTGCACACAGAACATTATCTAAGATGGCTCTAAATGTTAGGCCACTGATATGGTTTGGGTCTGTGTCCCTGCCCAAATCTCATGTCAAATTGTAATAATCCCCAGTGTCGGAGGTGGGGTCTGGTGGGAGGTGATTGGATCACGGTGGTGGATTTCCCCCTGGAGCTGTTCTTGTGGTAGTGAGTTATCATGAGATCTGGTTGTTTAGAAGTGTTTAGTACCTCCCCCTTCTCTCTTCCTCCTGCTCTAGCCACATAAGATGTGCCTGCTTCCCCTTCACCTTCTGCCATGATTTTAAGTTTCCTGCCATGCTTCCTATACAGCCTGTGGAACTGGGAGCCAATTAAACCTCTTTTCTTTATAAATTACCCAGTCTTAGGTATTTCTTTATAGCAGTGTGAGAACTGACTTATATAGCCACAAAATGAGGCTTAACAAATTCAAGAGGATTAAAATCATAACAAGTATATTTTATGATTACAGTAGTATGATACTAGAAATCAGTAACAGGAGAAATCTTCAAAAATTCACACATATATGAAAACTAAAGAGCACACTCTGAACAATCATTAGATCAAAGAAGAAATCAAAAGGAAATTGAAAAATATTCTGAGACAAATAAAATTGAAGCACAACATATCAAAACTCATGGGATGTGGCAAAAGCAGTTCTAAGAGGAAACTTTATAGCAATAAACACCTATATCAAAAAGGAAGAAAGAGCTCAAATGAGCGATCTAATATTATACCTAACAAACTAGAAAAGGAACAAACTAAGCCCAAAGTAAGCAGAAAAAAGGAAATAACAAACAGCAGAGTGGAAATAAATAAAATAGTAATTAGAAAAACAATAGATAAAATCAACAAAATTGGCCAGGCATGGTGGCTCACACCTGTAACCCCAGCACTTTGGGAGGCCGAGGCAGGAAGATTGCCTGAGTGCAGGAGTCTGAGACCAACCTGGGCAACATGGCAAAACTCCAACTCTACCAAAAAAAAAAAAAAAAAAATACAAAAATTAGCCAGGCATGGCCATAAGTGCCTACAGCCCTAACAACTTGGGAGGCTGAGGCGGGAGGATCACTTGGGCCCAGGAGGTCGAGACTGCAGTTATCTAAGATTGTACCATTGCACTCCAGCCTGAGTGACAGAGCAAGACCCTGTCTCTAAAAAATAAAATAAGTTAAGATAAAATAAAATAAACAAAACAGTTGGGTCTTTTTGAAAATATAAACAAAAGTGAAAAAAACCTTAGCCAGACTAGGGAAAAAAGAGACTACTCAAATAAAATCAGAAATGAAAGAGGAAACATAACAAATAGTACAGAATACAAAGGATCATAAGAAACTACTAAGAACAATTATATTCTAACAAATAGGATAACAGAAAAAAATGGATTAATTCTAGACATATGCAACCTACTAAGACTGAATCATGAATAAATAGAAAATCTCAGTATACTAAGAACGAGTAAGATGTTTGAGTTGGTAATAGAAAGTCTTTCATCAAAAAAAGCCCAGGACCAGATGGCTTCACAGCTGAATTCTAGCAAACATATAAAAAACTAATACTGTATTAGTCCATTCATGTTGCTATTAAGGAATACCTAAGACTGGGTAATTTATGAAGAAAAGTGGTTTATTTGGCTCACAGTTCTACAGTCTGTACAGAAAGCACAATGTCAGCATCTGTTTCTGGTAGGGTCTCAGGAAGCTTACAATCATGGTAGAAGGCAAAGGGGAGTCAGCACGTCACATGGCGAGAGAGGGAGCAAGCAAGATGCCAGGTCCTTTTAAACAATCTGCTCTTGTGTGGACTCACACAGCAAGAATTCACTCATCACCAAGGAGATAGCACTAAGCCACCCTATTCATGAGACATCTGCCTTCATGAACCAACATCTCCCACTGGGCACCACCTCCAACACCAGGGATCACATTTTAAGGTGAGATTTTGGAGGAGACAAACATCCAAACCATATCAAATAACAATTCTTTTTAAACTCTTCCAAAAAAAATTGAAGTAAAGGGAACACTTCCATACCCATTTTACAAGCCAGCATTACCCTCATACTAAAGCCAGACAAGGACAGTACAAGAAAAGAAAATTGTAGGCCAATATCCCTGATAAACATAGGTGTAAAAACCCTCAACAAAAAACTATAAACTTAATTCAACAGCACACTAAAAAGATCATTTACCGTAAGCAAGTGTGATTTATCCCAGGGATGCAAGGATGGTTCAACATATGCAAATCAGTAAACATAATACACCACATTAACAAAATGAAGGACAAAAACCATATGATCATCTCAATAGAAGTAGAAATCATTTGACAAAATTCAATATTCTTCACGATAAAAACTCTCAACAGGTATGGAAGGAATATACCACAACACAATAAAGGCCATATATGACAAGCTCACAGCTAACATCATACTCAAGGTGAAAAGTTGAAAGCTTTTCCTCTGACATCAGGAATAAGACCATAATGCCCACTCTCACCACTTTTTTTCAACATAGTACTGGAAGTCCTAGCCAGAGCAATTAGCCAAGAGACAGAAATAAAGGGGATCCTAACATGAAAGGGAGAAGTAAAATTGTCTCTGTGGATGATATAATCTTATATATAGAAAACTCTATAGAGATTCCACCAAAAAAATTGTTAGAACTGATAAGCAATATCAATAAAGTTGCAGGATACAAAATTAATATACGAAAATCACTAGCATTCTTGTACACCAACAGTGAACCATCTGAAAAAGAAATTAAGAAAACAATCCCATTTATAGTAGCAACAACAAAAACAAACAAAAAAAACTTAGGTGTAAATTTTTAAAAATTGGTTAAATGAGGTAAAACATCTGTGTACTGAAAACTGTAAAACACTAATAAAAGAAATTGAAAATGACACAAATAAATGGAAAGTTGTCCCATGAAAGAATTAATGTCGTTAAAATGTCCATACTACCTAAAGCGATTTACAAATTCAATGCAATCTCTATCAAAATTCCAGTGTCATTTTTCACAGAAATAGAAAAAAAAATCCCTAAATTTGTATGGAACCATTAAAACATACCCAGATAGTAAAACAATCTTGAGCAAAAAGAACAAAACTGGAGGTATCACACTTCTTGACATCAAAATATACTAGAAAGCTATAGTAATCAAAAGAGCATAATATAAAAACAGACACATGGACCAACACAGCAAGATTCAGAGCTCAGAAATAAACACACACATTTATAGACAATTGCTTTTTAAAAAAATTTAAGAACAGGGTCTTACTACATTGCCTAGGCTGGCCTCGAACTCCTGGGCTCAAGAGATCCTCTCGCCTTGCCTCCCATGTAGCTGAGACTACAGTCATGAGCCACCATGTGTGGCTAACTTCCTTTTTGCTTAAGGTGCCTAGAACAAACAAGGGAGAAAAGATAAGCTCTTCAAAAGATGGTGTTGGAACACTGGATATTCACAAGCAGAAAAATAAAATTGGATTATTATCTTACACCATATACAAAAATCAATACAAAATATATTAAAGACTTAAATATAGGGCCTGAAACTGTAAAACTACTAGAAGAAAACATAGAGAAAAAACCTCCACAACATCAGTCTGGGCAATGATTTTTTGGATATGACCCCAAAAGCACAGGCAACACAAGCAAAAATAGATAAATGGGATTGCATCAAACTAAATAGCTTTCGAACAGCAAAGAAAACAATTAACAGAGAGAAGAGACAACTCACAGCGTGGGAGGAAATACTTGCAAACCACACATCTGATAAGGGGTTAATATTCAGGCTATATAAGGAACTCACACAACTCAAAAGCAGGAAAACAAATAACATGATTTAAAACTGGGCAAAGAACCTGAGTAGATATTTCTCAAAAGAAGACACACAAATGGCCAACAGATATGTATAAAATAAATATGGTCGGGTGTGGTGGCTCACACCTGTAATCCCAGCACTTTGGGAGGCCGAGGCGGGCGGATCACGGGATCAAGAGATAGAGGCCATCCTGGCCAGGATGGTGAAACCCCATCTCTACTAAAAATATGAAAATTAGCTGGGCATGGTGGCATGTGCCTGCAGTCCCAGCTACTCAGGAGGCTGAGGCAGGAGAATTGCTTGAATCCAGGAGGCGGAGGTTGCAGTGAGCTGAGATCGCACCACTGCACTCCAGCCTGGCGAAAGAGCAAGACTCTGTCTCAAAGAAATAAAAATAACAATAAAAATAAATAAATAAATGCTCAACATCATTGATTATTAGAGAAATGCAAATTAAAACCACAATGAGACAGTACCTCACATTGTTAGAATAGCTATTATCAAAAAGATGAAAAACAAGTGTTGGCGCGGATGTGGAGAAGAGGGGACCCTTGTACACTATTGGTGGGAATGTCAATTAGTACAGCTGTTATAGAAAACAGCATGGAGGTGTTTTGAGAGCCCCAGCCAAACTGGGGTTCCAATACCAGAGTGGCTAGCAACACTGCCCCTAACAGGAAATAAAGGGGAACTGGATAGGGATGTTTACCATGTCCTTTCACAGGATACTTTTTTTAACCAGGGGGTGGACTAATGCCTAGTTTTCAGCCTGGATTCAGGGGATCCGTCACACAGAACACTCTTTTATACTGACAGACACTCTTGTGACCCTTGTCTGACCCATGCCCAGTTTATGCCTGCCTGGCTATCACTCTGGTGCTGGGTGCCTGACCTTGTGTTCTCCTCAGCATCTCAGGGAAAACCCAGCTTGGGGCATCTCCTAGTCCTTCAGAGGGGAGGCACAAATTCAATGCACCACCAAAATAGGAGACAAGTTCAGCAATTTTTGCTTACAGATATTGGGCAAGGAGATGTAATGAATGAAGAGGGCAATCCTCCATCCCTGGGTCATGACAGGCAGGAAGGAAGAGTTAGGCAGAGAGAGAGAAGCCCATGGCAACTAGCTGTATATATGAGGACTAGGATTGGGGGTACTTTAAATTCTCTGGAAAATACCTGAATGGCCCATTTAAAAGGAAGCAGTGGGAAAGGAGAGAGCCCAGTCTTCTAGGCCGGAGAGATGTCTCTGAATTCTTATCTCTGGCCACCGGCTTGAGCCATTTGGATGTGACGTAGAACTAGAAACCCTGTCAAGGGTGACTGAGTTCTGCTTCTGTTGTGAGAAAGTTAAACTTGTATTCAAAATCGATGCCAAGGCAACATAAAATAGAACTCACTGCAGGAGGGGAAATGAGAAGATACTGTAGAAAGAGTACAAGGTTTCTATTAGAAAAAAAAAAGGGATATGTTTTTGATATCTATTGCTCAGCATGGTGACTATAGTTAATAATAATGTATATTTCAAAATTGCTCAGAGTAATTTTCAAATGTCTCATCACAAAAAATAATAAGTGAGGTGGTGGATATGTTAATTAGCTTGACTTATACATTTATACCTACATCAAAACATCACCTTGTACCCCATAAATTTACATAATTATAATTTGTCAATTAAAAATAATAATTCATAACTTCACAGTATATCATGTCGCAGGTGGCAACCATGTTTATATCTAAATTCTTAAAACTGCTGGATCAAAGGGTACATCTGTAAAACAGAAGACATCATTAAACTGCCCTCTGCAGACGCTGTACCAATTTACACTCCCACCGGTTAAATAAAAGAATGGTTTTCCATGACTCCGTACCAACACTGAGTCATCAAACTTTATGAGTTTTGTCAACTCGATAGACAAAAGCATATCACAGGGTAGTTTTAACTGACAATTATCATAAGTATACAAAGTGTCTTCAAATGTTTAGTATTTGCAAGCCATCTATATGTCCATTTTCATGTATGTTCTCTTCATCTTCCCATTTTTTCCACTGGGCTTCTGTTTTTTTTAATGTATTGATTTTTAGCTCTTTCTACAGTAGAATAATTAAAATTAGCTTTTTGACTATGAAATAAGCACAGATATTTTTCCCAGTTATGTTTTTGACTCATTGGATTTTGCCAAGCAGATTTTTAAAAATTTGATATAATTAAATGCATCGATCTTTTAAGGTTTCTGCATTGGTATTACAGTTAGCAAGGCTATTTCTATTCTCAGCTGTTTTAAAAGTTTCTCCATAAGTTCTTGAGGCACTTTATTGGCTTCCTCTTTATAACATTTAGATATTTGATCCATTTAGAGGTGTTCCATGTGTAAGTTGTGAGGTATGGATCTAAATACATTTTTGGGCCAGGCGCAGTGGCTCACACCTGTAATCCCAGCATTTTGGGGGTCCAAGGCAGGCGGAGCAAGAGGTCAGGAGTTCGAGACCAACCTGACTACCATGGTGAAACCCTGTCTTTACTAAAAAATACAAAAATTAGCTGGGCATGGTGGCACACGCCTGTAATCCCAGCTACTCAGGAGGCTAAGGCAGGAGCATCGCTTGAACCCAGGAGGTGGAGGTTGCAGTGAGCCGAGATCGTGCCACTGCACTCCAGACTGGGTGACAGAGCGAGACTCCTCACAAAAAAACAAAAACAAACAAACAAACAAAAACAAAAAAAAAAACCTCTCAGTTGTCCCAATATCATTTATTGAATAGTCAATTTTTTATTTATTTGAAAAGGCAACTTAAAGCATTTCCAGTATCAATTATTTAATTCCAAATGACATGATTAAAGCGCTATTTACTGAGCTTTCAAATGTAGATAATACCATTGGCTCATCTACGAAAGATGAGAATTTGGATCGCATACACCACCTCTCCTCTGCCTCCTCCAATGTTTGATAATTATATCATGTTTTGTTCCTCTACTTAGTGCTTTTCCCACTTCAAATAACTTACTTATACCACTATTTCTTGTTTCAATAGCTCTAATCAGTATCTAGAGTAAAATTAAGTAAGCAGGAGGCTATTGACCTGAGACAGTCTCCATGCTTTGAATTCCTATGAAACAAAATGCAACCTAACTTAGTATGTAAACAAACTGAAACTTAACTTAGGAGTTTCATTTTTATAACAGATAACCAGGTCTTTGCCAATCACAAGCAGCCAAGCTTCAGCTAAGTGCAAGCAGCCAACGGACTGGCTCATGTCTAAATCAAGCAAAACACTTAGCTGCAACAAATCAAACTATTTATGTACTTTACCTTCCTGTTCTGCTTATAAATACTCATTGCTTACAGTTGCAGAGCTCTCGGAACCTCTTCTGGTTCTGAGTACTGCCTGATTCAAGAATCATTCTTTACTCAAATAAACTCCATTAAATTTAAATTGTCTGAGGTTTTTCTTTTAACACTAAATACCCCTCTCAGCAATAGGAAGATGATAGCCCATAGAAGTGAATATATTTTTCTTTTTGTTGTCTCTACTCCATTTTATCCACAACAGGGCCCAACCTAAAAATAATAATAATAACAACAGTAATAGTATGTGGAGATAGACTGTAAGGACTCAGATCAATGTTTTATTATTCTGTGATTCTTAAAGTAAATATACATGAGTCCATACTGATATAAATAACTGACTGAATAAATAAATAAATAGAAAGAAGGGACAACTCTCCTGTCAAAAGAATTCCAATTAATAAATGAAAAAAACTAAGGAAATAGAGAATCACCATTAGAACACCACAGTAACAACTGCTGCAGGCAAGATCCACTGATGAATAATAAAACTGATGGGTGACAGTTTAGGGAGCAACTGGATATTTGCATAGCCTCAAAGTATCTCCCCCAAATATTTATTAGTTACCATGGTAGTGTTAACGTATATCCACAACTTCTTTAATATTCTTCCCTCCAGTGGATGGACTTAATCTACTCAACCCTCACTCCCAGGATGGGCTGCACTTACTGACTCCCTTCCAAAAACTAGGGTTTGGATAGGGAAAAATGGTGACTTTACAGTGCAGAAATTTTCCAGTTGCTCCGCCTTAACCAGGTGACCAAGGTAAACACCACCAGTGATGAGTCATGTTGATATCCCTGTACCTCATGACATGATTCAAGAAGGGCACCTTACCTCTGTGGTAATCTTCCCAAAAGTCCACAACCTTAGTCTTACTCTGAGGAAATATCAGACAAACCCAAATGAAGGGACATGCCACAAAATAGCTGATCAATACTCTTCACAAGTGTCAAAGTCATGAAACACTAGAAAAGGCCAAGAAACTCTCATAGATATGGGAAGAATAAAGAGACATGACAACAAAATTCTGTATGTATGCTGGACTGGATCCTGGAACAGAAAAAGAACACTAATGAAAAAACTGGTGAAATCTGAGCAAAACCTGCAGTTCAGTTAATAGTAACGTACCAGGCTGGGCACAGTGGCTCATGCCAGCACTTTGGGAGGCTGAGGCAGGGGGATCACGAGATCAGGAGTTGGAAACCAGCCTGTCCAATATGGTGAAACCCCGTCTCTACTAAAAAATACAAAAAATTAGCTGAGCGTGGTGGCACACGCCTGTAGTCCCAGCTACTTGGGAGACTGAGGCAGAAGAATCGCTTGAACCTGGGAGCCGGAGGTCGCAGTGAGCCAAGATTGCGCCACTGCACTCCGGCCTGGGTAACAGAGTGAGACTCCAGCTCAAAAAAAAAAAAAAAAGTAATGTACCAATGTTAATGTATTGGTTTTTATCATTATCATACTTATGTAAGATTTTCACATTAGGTAAAGCTGGATGAGGGGTATTCAGAAACCTTGTACTATCTTTACAAGTCTTCTATAAATCTAAAACATTTCCAAATATAAAAAGCTTTTTAAAATAAGTGATTGATCTACCTTTGAAATGAAACCTTAAATTACCACGCTGAATTAGCTCTTGGACACTTTAAAATTATGATTACTGGAGAAAAACAAAAATGTAGCTGGGCATGGTGGCTCATGCCTGTAATCCCAGCAGTTTGGGAGGCCGAGGTGGGAGGATCACTTGAGCCCAGGAATTCAAGACCAGACTGGGAAGCATGGTGAAACCCCACCTCGACAAAAAACAAAAATTAGCTGGGTGTGGTGACATACACCTGTAGTCCCTGCTACTCAGGAGGCCAAGGTGGGAGAATTGCTTGAGCTTGGGGGGCAGAGGTTGCAGTGAGCCAAAATTGAACCACTGCACTTCAGTCTGAGCGAGAGTGAGATCATGTCTCAAAAAAAACAAGGTGGGCTGTGGTGGCTCACATTTGTAATCCCAGCACTTTGGAAGGCCAAAATGGGTGGATCACCTGAGGTCAGGAGTTCAAGACCAGGCTGGCCAACATAGTGAAAGCCCATCTCTACCAAAAACACACAAAAAATTAGCTGGGCGTGGTGGTGGGCACCTGTAATCCCAGCTACTTGGGAGGCTGAGGCAGAGAGAATTGCTTGAACCCAGGAGGCAGAGGTTGCAGTGAGCTGCAATTGTGCTACTGCACTCCAGCCTGGGCAACAGAACAAGACTCCATCTCAAAAAAAAAAAAAGTTTAGTTTCAGTGGTTGTTGAACAATTAGTTTACTCTGCAAGTAGGTAATGATAACATCATTTTTCATTCCATTTTGCATGCTCTTCTCCATGTAGGGGTTTACCTCGTATCTCTGTATTCTGATAGCCTGGAGTTGTTTTCCTTATTGATACAAATGAAAAGTGGAATCTTTATATGTTTTCCAATTTATTAAATTAGTAATGTTAAAAATAATTTTAACAAAGTTAAATGGAATTATTTTAAAATTCTGTTTCTTTGCAGTAAATGTAATCCCAATATAAGACAATATGACTCACATATTTGTGAAAACGAATAGGGCCAATCGTTTCCATTATCACCAAAATTATCTATAGTGAGGCCTCTCCATCTTCTACCAGTCCCTCTTTTTTTTCACTCACTCAAAATATATGTATCGATGGTCAAATGTGTCCCAGACATTGTGCAAATCTCTGACAAAGGTAACACAAGAAAATGTGTACTCTGAGAACTTCTTATTCTGCCCCAGTTTAGGAGATTCATGCAACTGCCAAGCAACAATAATAAGAGCTAGCAGTTATTGGAGTACCTCATTCCTCACAACTCGTCATAAGGCAGGTGTTATCATTAGATATTCCCCATGTGTATGCAGGATGAGGAAATAGGTTCAGAGAGGTCAAGTGGCTCACCCAAGGGGCACAGCTAAGTGAAAGGCACTGCAGGCATCTCAAACTACCCCCTTCCCACAAGACTCCACTGCAGAGCAGGACAGTCACCCTGACACCAGCCCAATGGGTTCATCTTGCCCATTACCCAGATGGGGCTAATTTATCAAGACAAGGGAATTGCAATAGAGAAAGAGTTTAATACACATAGAGCCAGCTAAACAGGAGACCAGAGTTTTATTATTACTCAAATTAGCCTCCCAAAATTCGGAGGCAGAGGCTAGGGGACTTTGTGGGTTTTTTTGTTTTTGTTTTTGTTTTTCTTTTGAGAGGGAGTCTTGCTATGTCACCCAGGCTGGAGTGCAGTGGCATGATCTCGGCTCACTGCAACCTCTGCCTCCCGGATTCAAGCAATTCTCCTGACTCAGCCCCCCGAGTAACTGGGATTACAGGCACATGCCACCATGCCCGGCTAATTTTTGCATTTTTAGTAGAGACAGGGTTTCACCATGTGGGCCAGAGTGGTCTTGAACTCCTGACCTCAAGTGATCCACCCACCTCAGCCTCCCAAAGTGCTGGGATTACAGGCGTGAGCCACCATGCCCGCCGGCTAGAGTTTTTTAATGATAGTTTGATGGGCAAGGGGCTAGAGAATGGGTGCTGCTAATTGGTTGGGGATGCAATCACAGGGGTGTGGAAAACCGTCCTCAGTGCACCGAGTTGCATTTGGATGCGGGCCACAGAGGAGTCACTGGTCCAGGTGGAGTCATCCTGTCATTAGAAATGGAAAAGTCTGAGAAGGTATCTTCAAAGGCCAGTCTTAGGTTCTACAAAAGTGGTTATTTACAGGAATAATTGGGGAAGTTGCAGAGCTTGTGACCTCTGGAACAATGTCTGGTAATTGTTAATGCCTACATCTTAGCAGAATTCAGGCCCCTCTCATAATCCTAAACTTGTGGACTTTTATTAGTTTTATAAAACTGGTTTAGTTTGGGGAAGGGCTATTATCATTTAAACTATAAACTAAATTTCTCCCTATATTAGCTCGTCCCATGCTCAGGAATGACCAAGGGCAGTTTGGAGGTTAAAGGCACGATGGAGTTGGTGAGTTCAGATCTGTTTCACCTTCGTAATTTTCTCACTGTTAAAATTTTTGCAAAGGCGATTGCAGCGCCCCTTGTCCACACCTGCGCGCTCCCCAAGGGGTCCCTACCCACCCCGCCCCTGGCTGGGGGCCGTAGGCTGGCCCTGCCCCGCTGCGCCGGAGGTGGACCTCTACCAGGGCAGTTTCTCTCTGAGGCTGCGCGCTAAGGCGGTGGGCGGTCCCAGGCAGGCCCAGAAGCTGGGCAGCCTCTGCCGGGTTCCGGGAAAAGGAGCTCCTGCTGCCACTGCTCTTCCGGAGCCTGCAGCATGGGGCCCCTGCCGCGCACCGTGGAGCTCTTCTATGACGTGCTGTCCCCCTACTCCTGGCTGGGCTTCGAGGTGACGCTGGGAGGGGTCGCCTCGGCAGTGTCTGGGGAGTGAGGGCGGAGGGAAGAGTGAGCGCAGGGCTCCGGGACAGAGGTCTCGTGTAACTCCTGGCGCCGCCCAAGGGGTTAAGGCAAGCAGGGAGAGCTCCGGGGCTGAAGGTCACTTTGTGCTTTTAAACGGAATAGAGTCGCTGGCTCCAACCCGAGCCTTTATATCCCGACTGCAGTTTCCCACGGTGGTGGAAAGAGGGGCGGCTCCAAACATTCAGGGAGAAATGCAGAACACGGCCACCTCTTAGCCCAACGATGGCAGTTTTGGGGAAAACTGGCCACAGGAGCGAAGATCCTGGAATAGATTTCTAGTAGTGAGGAGAGTTTTGCCAATTTCAAACCAAACAATGTAGGGTGTCCGCATAACCCCTGCTCTGCACTTAGCGCCTCCCTTCCCTTTCCCTCGGCTCTTTCACTTTTCCATCTTGCACACTGGCAATCGTTCTTGACCTCTGCCCGCAGATCCTGTGCCGGTATCAGAATATCTGGAACATCAACCTGCAGTTGCGGCCCAGCCTCATAACAGGGATCATGAAAGACAGTGGTAGGAAGGGAGGGTCGGGGCAGGGGTGATCTCAGTGGCCCAAGAGAGCCGACCCCAGCGGGTCCTTATATTGGCACTGGCAGCCAGAAAGCTGCCCTCTGCCCCGTCTCTACTAAAAATACAAAATTAGCCGGGCGTGGTAGTGCATGCCTGTATACCACAGCTACTCGGGAGGCTGAGGCGGGAGAATCGCTTGAACCCAGGAGGCGGAGGTTGCGGTGAGCTGAGATCGCACCATTGCACTCCAGCCTGGGCAACAAGAGCGAAACAACAAGAGAAAAAAAAGGAAGCTGCCCTCTGCCCAAAACCCACGTCGAGGTCCCCAAACCTGGGACCCTTAGGTCTTTTCTCACTTAGCGTGCCCAACCTTCTCCTGGCAGGAAACAAGCCTCCAGGTCTGCTTCCCCGCAAAGGACTATACATGGCAAATGACTTAAAGCTCCTGAGACACCATCTCCAGATTCCCATCCACTTCCCCAAGGATTTCTTGTCTGTGATGCTTGAAAAAGGTGAAGAGAGTGGGATGTAGACAGGGTATCCAGTGAAAAACACAGAAGTCGGAGATTGAGGGATTGATAGGATGGAGGGGCTGCGGGAGACTAAAGCAAGTGAAGCCTGCCTTGGGAAACCTCAGGATCAGCCTTGAGCGAGCTGAAGGTTGCCGGGCATGAAAGGGAAGAAGAGCAGGCAAATAGGTCATGGGAACCTTGGGTGAGAGGCTGAGGGCGGAGGAGCTCTGGGGGATGTCAGAAGCAAGGAAGAGCTAGTCCTCCACCAGGAAAGCAGCAAGAGGAGCCCTGCCTCTGGGTGCCTCTGCCCCACAGGAAGTTTGTCTGCCATGCGTTTCCTCACCGCCGTGAACTTGGAGCATCCAGAGATGCTGGAGAAAGCGTCCCGGGAGCTGTGGATGCGCGTCTGGTCAAGGGTGAGTGTGGGGCTCTGGGAATCCTCTGGGAGGACCTTGGATGACTTTCTGACCTTCCCCAGGCACGTTTTCAGGGTCATGATCCTGCCCCCGCCCGGGGGATCTACTGTCCTCCCAGTCACACCCCTCTCCCCGCACCGCCTTCCTGCTGTCTTCTCTTCTTCCCAGAATGAAGACATCACCGAGCCGCAGAGCATCCTGGCGGTGAGTGTCCTGGCTCCACCCCAACTGCACTCATAGAGAATCTGAGAACAGTTGGCGTTTGGGGGTAAAGAAGACAATAGGTCTCTTATTGCATGGAAAAGGTTATAATTACTGGGGAAGAAAGGATGTCTGTGATTCAGGGCACAAACTACTGAAAAGTTGGAACTAAGGATCCTCAAAAGGATATCTCAAGGTTGAAAGGGGAAGTGCAAAAGGGACAATATATGGGAAGAATTTATTTGCTGAAAGATGTCAGTGAGAGAAAGATGCTCAGTGTTGGAACCCCTGGATGGGGAGGGATATAGTATTCACAAGTCTCCACAAACTCCAACACAAACCTCACCAACACATCCAGAGTGGAAGGCAGGAGACTTGTTCCAAGAGGCTTTAAAAAGACGAAAAGAGATAACTAATGCCAGGGTTATATAGGAGCCTGAGTGAGAACAAATGGAAATAGCTCAAAACATTGACCAGTGAGCCATGGATGGGGGTATAAAAGTAAGTTTGTCTTCAGGATTAAATTAGGAAATTCAAAACAGTATTATTCCTCTGGTTTACAAAAAAAAATAGTTGAGACCTATTCAAATTTAATATATAAAGTGGCAAATCACACAAAAGTTAAACGTATAAGGAATGGCAAATATATCTTCTACAGTCTATACTCCTGCAAAGTACATGTGTAATTTTTAGCTTGCTTTTTTACTTCATATTTAATCATTTTCCATGCTTTTTTTTTTTTTTTTTTTTTTTTTGAGACACGGTCTGGCTCTGTCGCCCAGGCTGGAGTGCAGTGGTGTGACCTCGACCCACTGTACCCTTTGCCTCCTGGACTCAAGCAATCTTCCCACCTCAGTCTCCTGAGTAGCTGGGACTACAGGCACACACTACCATGTCTGGCTAACTTTTTTATTTTTTGTAGAGAAGGGGTTTCACTGTGTTGCCCAGGCTGGTCTCAAACTCCTGTGCTCAAGAGATCTGTCTGCCTCCACCTCCCAAAGTGCTGTGTTTACAGGAATGAGCCACTGTGCCCAGCCTCCATGGAATTCTTAACTCTGAAAGTATAGTTCTTTGTTTCTATAGAGGTTCCACTGAGTGGACTTATTTTTGTTTTGCTTAACCATTTTTCTGTGGTTAAACATTTTGTGTAGGACATAATTCTCTAATTTAACCAAGTCAAAGATAGTGTCTCATTAGGACAGGCTACATGAATTCCTGGGTCCCACTTCTGATCTAGGAAGTCAAGTTGCAGTGGTTGTCAATCTTGGCTGTGAATTAAAATCACCTGGAGCACCTTGGCGCTAACCCTTTCCCCTGGAATTGTGATGTAATTGTTCTTGTTCTTTTTTTTCTTTCTTTCTTTTTTTTTTTTTTTTTTTTTTTTTTGAGACAGTGTCTTGCTTTGTCACCCAGGCTGGGGTGCAGTGGCATGATCATGGCTCACTGCAGACTCAACCTCTTGGGCTCAAGTGATCTCGCATCTCAGCCTTACGAGTAGCTGGGACTTCAAGCATGTGCCACCATGCCTAATTTTTTAAAAATTTTTTGTAGAGATGGGGGTTTCACTTTGCTGCCCAGGCTGGTCTCGAACTCCTGGGCTGAAGCAATCTCCTGCCTCAGTCTCCCAAAGTGCTAGAATTACAGGCATGAGCCACAGTGCTTGGATCTAGTTCTAAGGGATGACCTCACGTGGAGATTTTTTAAAGCTCCTCAGGAGTTTCAGATGGGCAGCCAAAGTTAAGAACCATCTATCCCAAACTATACCAACAAACCACAAACTGAAGCCTTTATCTTTGTCTTGAAGCCAGGTAGGTGGCTGCAGCCATGTGCCTTGTTACAAAGTTCTCAGGAAGTTCCACTGGAATTACAGCCTAGCTCTTGATTCAAAAAAAGCATGAGATACTTAGGAACTGTGAGAGGTAGGAAGGAAAGAGCCCTGGACTTGAATTCTAGAGACCTGGATTCTAGTGTTGGCTCTGCTACCAACATGCTCTGTAACTCTGAGCAAGTAATGTATCACCTCTGGATTCAGGCTCTTCATTTGTGAAATAAAGAGGTCTATCTAGCTGCTCTCTAAGATGTCCGCTGGTGTTAATTTCTGTGATTGACTCTGTGCCATCTACCTTTTCTCCTTTTCCACCCATCTCAAGATTTGGGATAAAGGAAATAGTTCCTCTTGGCAAGGACAGATCTCCACTTGTGGGTGGGTAAGGGCATTGCCAGCAAAACTTGGGGGCAGAAAATAAAAAGACCAGAGTTTTCCTCTGAGATCCCCATCCAATATCATGCAGACACAGTTGTATTCCCTACTATATTCCCTTAGGCTGCAGAGAAGGCTGGTATGTCTGCAGAACAAGCCCAGGGACTTCTGGAAAAGATCGCAACGCCAAAGGTGAAGAACCAGCTCAAGGAGACCACTGAGGCAGCCTGCAGATACGGAGTGAGCAGCTCTTTATGTGTGTTCCCAGCACCCATCCTGAAGATGGAGACTTGAGAATCTCTAAGTTTGAGTCCTTATGCTCCTGTACAAAAGCCCCCTTTCCAAGTGTTCTCCTCAGTGCTCTTAAACAACCCTCATCTTCTTCCTTCTTTTCCTTGGGCTCAGGGAAAGGAAGGGAAGGAGATGCACAGTGAGAGAAAAGAGAGCATCTTAGAAACAGGAAGGCACCTGGGGCCACAGAGCCTCTTAGACCTCTTTGCTTCTGTGAACTCAGAAAAGTACTGACTCAAAGGTTTCAACCCCTGCCTAATACCTGCTCCTTTGCCTTCCTCCTTGCATTGTAACTGCTTTCTCCAGGCCTTTGGGCTGCCCATCACCGTGGCCCATGTGGATGGCCAAACCCACATGTTATTTGGCTCTGACCGGATGGAGCTGCTGGCGCACCTGCTGGGTAAGTAAGTTAAAGAATCAACCCTGAGCCAGGTGCAGTGGCTCACGCCTGTAATCCCAGCACTTTGGTAGGCTGAGGCGAGCAGAGCACGAGTTCAGGAGATTAAGACCATCCTGGCCAACATGGTGAAACCCCGTCTCTACTAAAAATATAAAAATTAGCTGGGACTACAGCTGCCTCAGTGGGAGGCTGAGGCAGGAGAATCACTTGAACCTGGGAGGCGGAGGTTGCAGTGAGCCGAGATCGCGCCACTGCACTCCAGCCTGGGTGACAAAGCAAGACTCCGTCTCAAAAAATAAAAAGATTCAACCCTGAGCTGCCTTTGACCCCAGCTCCACACCCACTATATCAGTTGACCAGAAGGAGGGGCTCAGAGCAAAAAAATATTCTTGGCACTTCCAGTAACAAAGCGTTATGCAGTCAGTGCTGTTCAAGGTTGAGTGGGCAGGGGCTGTCTTCAACCCCATAAAAGAAAAGGAAGCCTTCTATACCTTGAAGCCAAGCAAAAGTCTTTCTAGAAAACCCCTGGGACCTTGTGGGACCAACTCCTGCTGCCAGAACACCTGAGAACAGTGTGCAGAGTCTGTTGTTTTCTTCATCCAGGAGAGAAGTGGATGGGCCCTATACCTCCAGCCGTGAATGCCAGACTTTAAGATTGCCCGGAGGAAGCAAACTCTTCGTATAAAAAAAGCAGGCCATCTGCTTAACCCTTGGCTCCACCATAAGGCACTGGGACTCGGATTTCTCTATCTGATAGAGGTATTTTCTGTGGCCCTGGGAGCTGTCTGTCTTTCCCCTACCCCCAAGGATGCCAGGAAGACGTCCACCATTAGCCATGTGGCAACCTTTACTTCTATGCCTCACAAGTGCCTTTCAGAGAGCCCCAATTCTGCTTTCCCACAAAATAAACCTAATGCCATCAGGCAAAACATTTCTGTGTCTGTATCTGCCCTGGTATATTCTCATTCCTGGGGTCACATCCTGCCTACTCTAGGGGTAGGTGAAGGAGAGCTGTTTCAGTATTTCCAGCCAGACCAGCCATGCAGCCCACCTTGAGCAGCTTGTGCGGTGGAAGAAGTGAGAATAGTCCCCCGTTCTCTCACACAGAAACTCCCCTGGTCTCTCTATCAGCAACAGAAAACCAAGCCAGATGGACTTTGCAACTAATCAAGTTTGGGATTTACTGTCTTCTGACCAACCACAGTGACTGAGATGGGGCTGGGACCAGAAGCCCAGTGGGAGTGAACAGCCGAGGGAACCAGAGTCTGGCTGAGCTTGTGGCCAGATATTTAAACTGGGTCCAGCCACACCTGCAAAACCAGGGCAAGGCAGTACCGGGAAACTGGCTGGAGTTGCTGCGGTTTGGGGAAGTTGCACACCCTTTCATAGATACCTCCCTTAACCCTCAGTGCAGATTCTGAGAAAACTCCAAGGCTTCTCTGCCTAACCTAGTATAACCCCTGTTCCCTACTACATACATATAACTTTTCCATTCCCCCAGTAATTGACCCAAAGTCCCTGCCTCTAGCTGTGCCCATTGTGCAATGATCAGAATCCCTTGTTTCAATAGTATTTTGACTTCTTTAAGAATACTCTGTATTTGGAAGCTGAAACCTCACTTGGATCCATTGTTGGGAACCAAGTACGGAGCCTTACATAGCCCGGAGGAGTTTCAGGAGCAATGCCACTTTCCCTTCCATCCCTCCCTCTGGGTCTGGCTCTTCCCATAGTCCATTTTCCCCTTTTATCTCCCATTAATTTCTGTCTTCCTCTCTCACCTTTTCCATGTCTCTAGCATCCTCCAGGATTTAAAATCATCTTTACCCAACTTATCTGTGAAGTAATGGCAAAAGAACATCTCCAAATTAAGTACTCCTTTTCTTCAAAGGAGTTTCATGGGATGTACAGCTAGTATAAAATAAAAATATGGGAAGATGTCCAATCTTAAAAACCATAAGGGCAAATTAAGACAAAACTAAGCTGCCCAGAGCAGGGTGAGTGGAACCAGTTTTATGAATAAAGATGCTTGTCTCAGCACTATATGTGGATATCAAAAATTGTGAACAACTTGAACACCTATCAGGAGGAGAATACTTTAATCAATTATGGCACATTCAGGAGATAATGTTTTACAGTCATCAAAAATTGTATATGAGGGCCAGCACGGTGGCTCACACCTGTAATCCCAGCACTTTGGGAGGCCAAGGCAGGCGGATCACCTGAGGTCAGGAGTTCGAGACCAGACTGGCTAACATGGTAAAACCCTGTTTCTACTAAAAATACAAAAAAGTAACCGGGTGTGGTGGCACGTGCCTGTAATCCCAGCTACTCGGGAGGCTGAGGCAGGAGAATCGCTTGAACCCGGGAGGCAGAGGTTGTGGTGAGCTGAGATTGCACTATTGCACTCCAGCTTGGGCAACAAGAGCGAAACTCTGTCTCAAAAAAAAATTGTATTTCTGAAGAATTGTTAAGAACATTGGAAATTCTTGAGATATAATATTGATTGGAAAAAGATGAAACTATATGGTATGATCTCAATATGTCCTGATGAATAAAAACATAATACAGAGGACATTATTCTGAGATAAAATACATCAAAATCTTTCCATTTTATTTGTATACTTTTACAATTTTTGATTTTTTAAAATGTATTCTGATACACAAAATAATAAAAATGAAAAATAAAAAATTTGGCCGGGCGCAGTGGCTCATGCCTGTAATCCCAGCACTTTGGGAGACTGAGGCAGGTGGATCACTTGAGGTCAGCAGTTTGAGACCAGCCTGACCATCATGGTGAAACCCCATCTCTACTAAAAATACAAAAATTAAGCTGTGTGTGATGGTGCACACCTGCAATCCCAGGTACTCAGGAGGCTTATGCGGGAGAATCGCTTGAACCTGGGAGGCGGAGGTTGCAGTGAGCCGAGATCGGGTCACTGCACTCCAGCCTGGGCGACAGAGTGAGATTCCATCTCAAAAAAAAAAAATTGTAGATTCACATTGCAGTACAACTGTGCATCTTGCCCATTGATTTCTAAATGTATTAACTACTTAAATTAATCCTGAATCTTTTCCCAGGCTTAAGTGGGATAATGTTTTATTGTAGATGCATATTTCCTGGCTCTACCCAGTCTTTCTTTGAAGACTTTATCATCCTATTTTCTGAATCCAGTGGCTGACTTTAATCTTCTCTGGAGGAACTAGATAATTTCTAGACTAATGCTTACACTCATGATCCAGATTGTAATTTCTGAACTCCTTCTTCCAAATAGAATCAAAACAAGAAAGGGGAAAGCCTCTCAAAGCAACTGTGCGTTAATAATGAAACACTCTTTTTTTCTAATCCAAGGAGGGTTTCATACTTTTTCTTAGTTTCTTGCCCTCTTCCCTTCTGATCAATAATTGTAATAGGAAATTTGCAATTGTGCCAATACTCAGATTCAATACTGAACTACTTTCTTGCATTGTAATTCAAATTCCAAGGTTAACAACTAGCTGTATGTTTCCAAAACAATCTTATTGTATATGTATTTTCTTAGGTGAAGTTTCCAGAAATGATTTTTTTTTTTTGCAGAGCCAAACACACATGGTAATTTAAAAAAATAATGCACGTATGTGGTAAAAACAGTAAAAGCAAGGTATCAAGTAAAAAGTGAAGAGTCCTCCCTTTCTCATTCCCATTCCTACTCTCTAATTTTTTATATATCCATTTTGTAAGCTATAATACAGAGATTCCATATACTCTTCACATACTTTCCCCAGTGGTAACCTCTTGCATAACTATAGGACAATAACACACTATAGGACAAAAATCAAGAAATTGACATTGATACAATCCATCAACCTTATTCAGAGTTCACCAGTTTAACACATGCTTATTGTGTGTCTGTATTTAGTTCTATATAATTTTATCACATGTATGCTGATGACCACCACCACAGCCAAGATACAAAACATTTTCAGTGTAAAGATTTCTCATGCTACCCTTTTATAGCCACAGCTACCTCCCTCCCTCCCTGTACTTCCCTAACCCTTGGCAGTCACTAATCTGATCTTTATGTCTTGTCATTTCAAAAATGCTACATAAATGGAATCAGATTTGATTGTTTTCATTCAGCACAATCCCTTTGAGATCTATCCAAGGTTTTGACATGTATCGAGAGTTTATTCCTTTTTATTGCTGAATAGTATTAATATTCTATAGTATGGATGTAACATAGTGTGTTTAAACATTCGCCTGTTGAAGGACACTTGGGTTGTTTCCAGTTTCAGGTTCTTACAAATAAAGCTACTCTGTGTGTTCATGTACAGGTTTTTATTTTCATTTCTCTGGGTAAATGCTTAGGAACACAACCACTGGGTCCCATGGTAAGTCCATGCTTAGTTTTAGAAGAAACTGTCAAGGCTGGGTGCATGATGGCTCCCATCTGTAATCCCAGCACTTTGGGAGAACAAGGCAGAAGGATGACTTGAGCCCAGGAATTCAAGACCAGCCAGGGCAACATGGCGAAACCCCATCTCCAAAAAAAGAAAAAAGAAAAAGCCAGACATGGTGATGTGTGCCTGCAGTCCCAGCTAATTGGGAGGCTACAGTGGGAGGATCCCTTGAGCCTGTGAGGCGGAGGTTGAAGTCAGCTATGATCACGCCACTGCACTCCAGCTTGGGCAACAGAGCCAGACCCTGTCTCAAAAAAACAAAAACAAACAAAAAAAAGGAAAGAAGAAGGAAGGAAGGGAAAGGAAAGAGAGAGGGAGGGAAGGAAGGAAGGGAGGGAGGGAGGGAGGAAGGGAAAAGAAAAGAAAAAAAGAGAAGAAAAGAAACTGCCATACTGTTTTCCAGAGTAGCTGGTTTCACTTTTCCACCAGCAACGCATGAGTGATCCAGTTTGTCCACAGCCTCACCAGCATTTAGTGTTACTACTGTTTCTTACTTTAATCATTCTGATAGGTGGGTAGTGATAGCTCACTGTGATTTTTAATTTGCATCTCCCCAATGACTAATGAACATCTTTTCATGTGCTACTTGCCATCTGTACATGGTCGTCAGTAAAATGTCTGTTCATGTCTTTTGCCTACTTTCTAACTAGACTCCTTTGAAAATTTCTCATATTGTTTTTAACAATAGATTTTAAAAGAATTTACAGAGTAAGAATACATTTTTGAGACAATGGGGAAAATGATACGGAGTGAAAGGTGATATTAAAGAATTAATGTTAATTTCATTATGTGATAATAGCTGAGTGGCTGTGCACAAAAAAAAAAAAAACTTTTCATTGGTTGTAATTCATTTTGAAATATTTAGGATAGGGCCAGGCACGCTAGCTCACACCTGTAATCCCAGCACTCTGGGAGGCCGACGTAGACAGATCACGAGGTCAAGAGATTGAGACCATCCTGGCCAACATGGTGAAACCTCATTTCTACTAAAAATACAAAAGTTAGCTGGGCATGGTGGCACGCACCTGTAGTCCCAGCTACTTGGGAGGCTGAGGCAGGAGAATCGCTTGAACCCGGGAGGCGGAGGTTGCAGTGAGCCAAGATCGCAGCATTGCATGCACTCCAGCCTGGCAACAGAGCAAGACTCCGTCTCAAAAAAAAAAAAAAAAAAAAAAATTAGGATAGAAATCACATGATGCTTTTTAAAATGTGGCAGGTCAGAAGGAATAGATGAAACAAGAGTGACAAGATGTTAATTATCGTTAAAGCCGAGTGATGGATACATGGGGAGTTATTTATACTATATTATGTGTATTGAGATATTTCCATAATAAAAATGTTTTTAACAAAGAATGTAAACCCACGGATTGGGAGAAAATATTTTTAAACCATACATCTGATAAGAGGTTAATATCCAAAATATAAAAGAAACTCAATAGCAAGAAAACAAATCACCCAACTGAAAAATGATTACAGGACGTGAACAGACATTTCTCAAATGAAGACATACAAGTGGCCAACAGGTTTATGAGAAATGTTCAACAACTAATCATCAGGGAAATGCAAATCAAAATTACAATGAGATAGCACCTCACATCTTGTTATAATGACTATTATTAAAAAGCTGAACGATAACTGTTAGTGACGACGTGGAGAAAAGGGTTGGCAGGAATAGGAATTAGTACAGCCATTGTGGGCAATAGTATGGAGGTTCCTCTAAAAGCTAAAAAGGGATCTACCATATGATCCAGCAATCCCACTTCTGAGTATATATCCAAAAGAAATGAAATCAGCGTATCAAAGAGATATCTTGCTCTTATTCACGATAGCCAAAATATGAAGTCAACCTAAGTGTCCATCAACAAATGAATGGTTAGGCTGGGCATGGTGGCTCAGGCCTGTAACCCCAACACTTTGGGAAGCCTAGGTGGGTGGATTGCTTGAGCCCAGGAGTTCGAGACCAACCTGGGCAACATGTCAAAACCCCATCTCTATTTTATTTTAATTAAATTTTAAATAAATAACCCAAAATGAATGGTTAAAAAATGTGATATGTATAATACACAGTCATGCATTGCTTAATGATGGGGATATGTTCTGAGAGATGCATTATTAGTTAATTTTGTAATTGTGTGAACATCATGGAGTATACAGAACATACACAAACCTAGAAGGTATAGCCTACCACACAAATAGGCTATGTGGTATTGCCTATTGCTCCTGGGCTATAAACCTGTACAGCCTGTTACTGCACTGAGTACTGCAGGCAATTGTAACACAAATCACTAGGCAATGCGAATTTTTCAGCTCCATTATAATCTTAAGGGACCACCATCCTATATGTAGTCTGGTGGAAATATTGTTATGTGGCGCATGACTGTATACACAGAAACACACACACACACACACACACACACACACACACACAATGGAATATTATTTAGTCTTTAAAAAGGAAGAAATTCTGTCATTTGCTACTACATAGAGGAATCTGAAATAAAATAAGCCAGGCATGGAAAGACAAATACCGCATGATCTCACTTACATGTGAAATCTAAAAAAGTTGAACTTAACAGAAGTAGAGAGTAGAACAGTGATTACCAGAGGCTGGGGGTGCGGGGTGGGCAATGGGGAGATGTTGACCAAAGAGTACAAAGTTTCTATTAGGAGGAATCAATTCTTAATATATATTGTACAGTATGGTGACCATGATTAATAATCATGTATCGTATATTTCAAAATTGCTACAAGAATAGATGTTAAATGTTCTCACTATATAAAAATGACCAGTAAATGAGGAGATATGTTAATTAGCTTGATGTAATATTCCACAATGTGTGTATATATATATATAAAACATCACACCATATCCTATACACATATACAATTATTGTCAATTTAAAATAAAATTTTAAATTTAAAAAAGTATTACATCAATGCTGTAAAACAAGAGAGACAGAGAATGTATTGAGATAATAATTCTGTGATATTCCATGTTTCATCCTATCCCCACAGTTCTAAGGACACAAAGCTGGTTTCATGGTCTTGAAACCTATGCATTCACACAGGGCCTCAAAATGGTTTAATGTTCTGCTGTCATTGTCTTGAAATTCTTAATAATTTCTGAATACACAGCCCTGCATATTGGTTTTTCATAAATTATGTGGCTATAGCTGACCCTGTAAGCATACAATATATGCTGATTAAATGCCTCTAAAATAAAGGAGCAACTCAGAGATATTGTGGGTTTGGTTCCAGACCATTACAATAAGGTGAATATCGCTATAAAGTGAGTCACACAACTTTTTGGTGCATATAAAAGTTATATTTACACAATACTAATGTTTATTAAGTGTGCAACAGTATGTCTAAAAAAAGTACATTTCTTAGTTTAAAAATATTTAGTTGCTAAAAAATGCTGATGATCATCTGAGCCTTCAGTGAATCATAATCTCTTTGCTAGTGGAGGGTCTTGCCTCAGTGTGGATGGCTGCTGACTGATCAGTGTGGTGGATGCTGAAGGATGAAATAGCTGTGGCAATTTGTTCACAGGGTCTCACTCTGTCACCCAGGTGGGAGTGCAGTGGCCTGAACACAGCTCACTGTGGCCTCGACCTCTTGGGCTCAAGCAATTTTCCCACTTCAGCCTCCCAAGTAGCTGGGACTACAGGTGCTTACCACCATGCCCAGCTGATTTTTGTATTTCTTGTAGAGACAGAGCTTTACGATGTTGCCCATGCTGGTCTCCAACTCTTGGGCTCAAGTGATCCTCCCACCTTGGCCTCCGAAAGTGCTGGGACTACAGGCATGAGCCACCATGCCTGGCACAAATGTCTTAATGGCATCTAGAAAAGTGAATCCTTTTGGGAAGGTTTTCAATTTACTGTGCCCAGATCCATCAGAGGAATCACCATCTATGGCAGCTATAGCTTTACAATATACTTTAGGCCAGGTGCAGTGGCTCACGCATGTAATCCCAGCAGTTTGGGAGGTTGAGGCAGGTAGATCACTTGAGGTCAGGAGTTTGAGACCAGCCTGGCCATCATGATGAAACCCCGTCTCTACTAAAACTACAAAAATTAGCCAGGTGTTGTGGCACGTGCCTGTAATCCCAGCTACTTAGGAGGCTGAGGCAGAAGAATCACTTGAACCCAGGAGGCAGAGGTTGCATGAGCCGAGATCGCACCACTGCACTCCAGCCTGGGCGATAGAGTGAGACTCTGTCTCAAAATATATATATATATATATTTATATTATATATATATATATATATATATATATAGATCATACATATTATAGATACATAAATATATATATACTTTAAAAAATATAGGCCAGTTGCAGCGGCTCACACCTGTAATCCTAGCACTTTGGGAGGTTAAGGCAGGCAGATAGATGAAGTCAGGAGTTTGAGACCAGCCTGGCCAACGCGGCAAAAGCTCATCTCTACTAAAAATACAAAAATTAGAAAATTAGCTGGGTGTGGTGGCAAGCACCTGTAATCCCAGCTACTTGGGAGGCCGAGGCATGAGAATCGCTTGAACCCAGGAGGTGGAGGTTGCAGTGGGCCAAGGTTGCACCACTGCACTCCAGCCTGGGAGACACAGTGAGACTCCATCTCAAAAAATATATATAATAGATGGGAAAAAAATATTCTTGCCTATAGGATTGACTGGGAAGATATATGAGGGAACTTTCTGGGTGATAGTAATGTTTTGTATCCTGATAGGAGTTTGAATTACACAAATGTATGTATATACCAAAACTCACGGAATGACCTACCTAAAAATCTGTGTTTTTCACTGTAGGCAAATTTTACTTCAAGGGAAAAAAATTAACTATAAGCAAATATTGAACTCATTACTTCTAAAATAAGTTGCAAAATAAAATCAGAAGAGTATTGACGTCTGCAACTTACTTTAAAATGAATCAAAAAATAAGATGCATTGATGGATGGATAAAGGGATGAGTAGATAGAAAACTAGTATAATGTTAATGCTAAAATCTAGGTGGTGAGTACACAGGTGTTCACTGTAAAATTCTTATATATATGTGTATATATGTGCGTATAGTTATATGTATATACATATATACACATATATATACACACATATATACATATATATATATATATTTTTTTTTTTTTTTGAGACAGGGTCTTACTCTGTCACTCAGGCTGGTGTGCAGTGGCCCAGTCTTGGCTCACTGCAACCTCTGCTACCTGAGCTCAAGCGATTCTCCAGCCTTGGCCTCCCATGTAGCTGGGACTATAGGCGTGAGCCACCAACACCTGGCTAATTTTTGTATTTTTTCTAGAGACGGGGTTCCACCATGTTGCCCAGGCTGGTCTCGAACTCCTGAGCTCAAAGCGATCTGCCCACCTTAGTCTCCCAAAGTGCTGGGATTACAGGCATGAGCCACCATGCCTGGCCCCTTTTCTGTATGCTTTTAGTAATTCATAACAAAACGGTCTACACATATTGATCTACATATGTTGATAAGGCACAATCTCCAACATATATTGTTAGGTGGAAAAAGCAAAATATAAAGCATTATCTATGGTATGCTCCCAAATGTATAAAGAAAGAGAGCCTGTATATATTATGTTTGCATATTTATGGTCTCTCTCTGGGGAGGGGGTACCCAGAAATAGTTGGGAAAGAGATTGCCTCATGGGAACGGGACTGAGAGACTGAGGTTTGGGGATATAAAAAAGACTTACTCTTTATTATAATTTTTTCCCTGTTGAATTTTATACTAAAAGTGTAGATCATTTTTTAATTAACTAAAATAACTATATTTTAGTAATCCATATATTTAATTTTTATGTTTGTTTGTTTGTTTTTTGACGAAGTCTCGCTCTGTTGCCCAGGCTGGAGTACAGTGGCACGATCTCAGCTCAATGCAACCTCTGCCTCCCGGGTTCAAGTGATTCTCCTGCCTCAGCCTCCCAAGTAGCTGGGACTACAGGTGCGTGCCACCATGCCCAGCTAATTTTTGTATTTTTAGTAGAGACAGGGTTTCACTATGTTGGCCAGGCTGGTCTCGAACTCCTGACCTCATGATCCACCTGCCTTGGCCTCCCAAAATGCTGGGATTACAGGCGTGAGCCACCATGCCCGGCACATACATTAATACTTTTTCAGATACTGTCTTCTTCTTCTTTTTTTTAAAGACAGGATCTTGCCTTGTCACCCAGGCTGGGGTGTAGTGGCACAGTCGTAGTTTTCTGCAACCTCGAACTCTTGGGCTCAGACAATCCTCCCCCATCAGCCTCCCAAAGAGCTAGGATTACAGGCAGGCAACACTGCACCTGGCTAATTTTTTAATGTTTTTTTGTGTGTAGAGACAGGGTCTCACTATGTTGCCCAGGCTGTCAGATACTGTCTTTAATTGTTATTTAATTATTTCATATGCATCTCTTATCTCTCTACCCATATCAGAAAATCCTGGAGACCACAGTCAAATATGTTACCTCTCCTGGATAGATGCCCTTAGAAGTTAGCACAGGGCTATGTACAATGTAGTTACAAACAAATGCTCCATGGTGAAATCAGGTCCCAGTGACAGGATGGTACCCCTCGCTGGTCCCACACACAGTTGTGCACATTACAGTCAGACCCAGACTCACTTTGGCTGTAGTTCCCCAAGCTGGAGGAGCAGTGTGGGAAAGGGGTGATATACGTGGGTTTATTTTCACCAATTTACAGATTAGTAACCGAAGCTCAGAAAGGTTAAGTAACTTGCCCAAGGTCACACTGCTAGTAAGTGGTAGAAATGAGATTTGAAAACCAGGGTTGGCCAAAACACATGTGCTTAAACTGCACGGCCTCCTGTTTGCTAGTATTTACAGGCATATCCATGTGGGACTCTGCTGTCACTATCTGTAGACATTTCTAACAAACACAATGCTCTTTTTGTTGTTGTTGCTTAGCAACAACTACACTCAATTTCTCAAATTCCAGAAGGTTTTTGTGGCTTAATGCCGAGTATCTGAGCTAGACTGACTGCCTCAACCCCATTGTTCACTCAGTTCTTGTTTAGCGAGCTTTGTACAATATTAAAACTAGTTGATGGGGTAAGTGCATGTATTTATCCTTACATACTGGAGGATTTATTATTTTTTGAAAGCATTTCCATCTAGAAAATATCAATGTTGCTCACCTATGTCATGATAAACCATTTATCCACCTTCCTTACACATTTTGGAGAAGCTGTGACTAAGGCAATTTCTGAAGGGGAAAACACACCCAGCTGAATTAAAAGGTCAAGGTTCTGAGTTTCCTTCTAACTAAAGAAATCGTGTACTTTCTCTGAGCTTGTTTCCTCTGTAAAATGAAAGTGATAATCAGGCAGCCCAAATGATTGTTAATAAGGATCAAATGAGATCGTGTATGTGGGTCCAATCAATTGATTCTACACAAAGGTATGTATCTATTGTCACTGATATCTTTTTAGAAGTCACCAGCAGTGTGTTGTATGCTTATTCAGTTTAAACTGATCTATTTTTTAGTTGTCTTAATCAGATGATAAAAGGTAAGCCTTCCAATACAGAGCTTGCAATCTTCATTTCCTTATCCTGCCTTATATGTCAATAACCTTAATTTACCTTCTGATCATCTCCTTGGCTGCCCGTGCTGTCTGAAAATCAGCCTTTTCTTAAAATGGCAAATAGTGGGGAAAAGTAGCATCTAACCACTCCTCCAGAGAAGGGCAGAATAATGATTCAGAATGCCTCTAGTGTTTTGTTAAATTATCATTTGAGAGCAGCCCAAGAGAGCATTTAGAGTGGGATGGTGTAGTGCTTAAGAGCCAGGATTCTGGGTTCAGACCATGGGTTCAAATCCTGACCCCACCCTTAATTAGCTACCCACATACCTCAAGTTTCTTACCTCATCTATAAAATGGACATAATCACAGTAACTACCTCTTAGTATAGCATACGTATTTTAAATCACTTAATTTGTGTAAAGTATTTAACACAGTGAGGAGTATGCACAAAACATTCTACACATGTTGATACTATAAAGCACTCCCAGATTCAGAAACACAAAAATCACAGAAATACAAAGCCACAGAGACAAGCACACAGTGGGAGGCAATAAGCTTGACTTCTCCCTTGTTCTCCTTGCCCTTCCACTTCCCTTCACCGTCAACCACCCAAATGAGCTGGGAAGAGTGGGCAAGGAGAAGTCATTCCATCTCCAGTAGGGTTTGTCAAAGGCAGGCAAGTAGAAAGTGGATGACAATTGAATTAAGTGATGCATTCCTGTTTTGCTAAGGATATTAAGTTGACGAAGAAATAAAGGAAAGCAAAACCTTTGGGAAGCAATTTGGCCATATGCATTCGGGACAATAAAAACTTTCCTATTGCTTGTCTCTTGATAATGACATTTCTTAAAATTCATCCTGAGGAAATAATCCAAAACAAAAGGAAAACTATACATAAGATGTTTATTGCATTAGTTTTTAAACAGTTTTCTTAAGGTGTGAAAGGAAAATAAATCTTGGGATCCCAAACTTACTAAGCCAGAGGGAAAAGTCAAGCTGGGAACTGGGTCATGCAAACCTGCCTCCCATTTTGGTTTCTTTGGTTTTTTGTTGTGTTTTGTTTTTGTTTTTGTTTTTGTGTTTTGAGACCAAGTCTCACTCTGTCACCCAGGCTGGAGTGCAGTGGCACAATCTCGGCTCACTGCAACCTCTGTCTCCCGGGTTCAAGCAATTCTCCTGCCTCAGCCTCCCGAGTAGCTGGGATTACAGGCACGCGCCACTACACCGGCTAATTTTTATAATTTTAGTAGAGATGGGGTTTCATCACATTAGCCAGGCTGGTCTCAAACTCCTGACCTCGTGATCCTGATCTGCCCACCTCGGCCTCCCAAAGTGCTGGGATTACAGGCATGAGCCACTGCACCCAGCCCCATTTTGGTTTCCGAATAAGATGGCTACAAAGATGAAAAGCTACACACCTCCCTCACACTTTGCCTACAAGGAAATTCTTTATGGTAACCAAGATCTTTACCCTAAAGCATTTCAGCTAAGGTTCACCATGGCAATGTAAATTGATAGCTTATCTTCACAGGTGGGGGAACACAGGACAGAAATGAAAGTCATCCCTCTGCCCACTGAGACAAATGCATATCTGATTGTTTCCTCTGCCCTATTATCTACATTATCTTATGTAAAAATGCAGATTCACTGAGCCAGACAAAGGCATTAAATATTGAAGCCACCAAAATCATCTTTAAAAAAAGGCATAGACTTGTCTCCCGGGTGCCCTTCCTTAACTTTGGCAAATCTCCTAAAATAATTGAGACTTGCCTCAGTCATTTTCCTTGATTGACAAAGGTATAATTCATCCTTTTAAAGTGTACAATGCAGTGGGGTTTTTTAAAGAATTATTCAGAGTTGTGCAAGCATCACCATTATATAATTTTAGAAATTTTCACCACCCCAATATGAAACTCATTTGCAGTTACTCTCCATTTCTTCCTCTGCCTCCCCACCCCTAGCAAATTCTAATCTACTTTCTGTCTCTTGTATTATTATTATTATTATTATTATTATTATTATATTAATTTTTGAGACAGGGTCTGGAATGCAGACAGGCTGGAATGCAATGGCATGATCACGGCTCACTGAAGCCTCGACCTCCATGACTCAAGCAATCCACCCACCTCAGCCTCCTGTGTACCTGGAACTATAGGCGTGTGCCGCCACCTCCAGCTAATTTTTGTATTTTTTTGTGGCATGATCACAGCTCACTGCAGCCTCAACCTCCAGGGCTCAAGCGGTCCTCCCACTTCAGCCTCCTGAGTAGCTGGAACTATAGGCGTGCGCCACCATACCCAGCTAATTTTTGTATTTTTTTTTTTTTGGAGAGACATGGTTTCGTCATGTTGCCCAGGCTGGTCTCAAACTCCTGTGCTCAAGCAATCCGCCCACCTCAGCCTCCCAAAGTGTTGGGATTACAGGCATGAGCCACTGCGCCCAGCCTGCATTATTATTATTATTATTTTTTAATTATTTTATTTTTTGAGACAGAGTTTCACTCTTGTTGCCCAGGCTGGAGTGCAATGGCGCAACCTCGGTTCACCACAACCTTCGCCTCCCGGGTCCCAGTTCAAGCAATTCTCCTGCCTCAGCCGCCCGAGTAGCTGGGATTACAGGCACACACCTCCATGCCCAGCTCCTTTTTGTATTTTTAGTAGAGATGGGGTTTCATCATGTTGGCCAGGCTGGTCTCGAACTCCTGACCTCGCGATAGTCCGCCTCGGCCTCCCAAAGTACTGGGATTACAGGCGTGAGCCACCGCGCCCGGCAACCTGCATTATTTTAATGGCCAAAAATATTGAGTGAAATAGGCTCAGTGTTATTGAGCAACGTATCATGAGGGTATATTAATCAAATTATGGCATATCGATTCAATGAAATATTACATGGCTGTTTGAAATTACTACAATAAGGTCTTTATCAGGGTGAAATATATACAATATAAAGTATAAAACTTTTTAAAGATACAAAGTGGTTAGTATATTCTGGTTTGCATGTGGACAGTCTGGAAGAAATATATAAACGTTTTAAATGGCCGTGTTAGGATAATGAGAAGATAGACAATTTTTTTTTCTTTAGCTTTTAAATATTGTCATGTTTTTTCTTTTAACAAATGCAATTTTTAAAAATTGATTTTACATTACTGGAATTGAGAATGTATGAACGGGCACAGCCAGCCACCAGTCTAGCCTCTCCAGTTGGGATCCAGTTCTTGTCTATCGTACTCTCCTTCCGGCAACCAAGAGACTTAAGCTACAAAGGTCCGCCTCTCCCAGACTCTCCCCTTACACCTCAGGCCCATACCTTTTGGCCCCGTGCCTCTTAGCCTACACCTTCCCATTCCCACAACTCACTCCTTAACAAACCCCCTTTCCTATCACACACACCAATGACCCTTGGCCAATTTCCTTCTATTCATATGTTAACTGTAGACTGCAGTCCTGATTCCAGCTGTACTTTCCCCTTATGAGCAGAACAGTGAGGAAATTGGCTGAAACAGAACAACAATCAGCCCCCCTCACTCCTGTGCCTACTTTGCATAGAGACACACCTCATTTAGACTCCCACAGCCTTCCTGTTAATGTCTCCTTCCTCTCTCTGCTATCGATCTGGGGCTCTGGGACAGAGAATCTTCAATATCCCACCAGTGCCCACACTTATTACCACTACAGACACAGTTATTCTCATTCCCATACTCTCTCTCTCTCTCTCTCACACACACACACACACACACACCCTCTCCTATGCTTCCCCACCCCAGCTGTCCCTGGGGAGCCTGGATTGGATTTGTGCCCACGGTCTGCAGCTTCCCTCGGTCTGTCTGCTGGTCACCCTCTGAAGGAACGGGGCCCAGTTTTGTTCACCCTCTGGCTCAAGGACCAAGTATGCTTCTACTCACTCTCTACCTCCAAGCACCTACCCTACTCCGACTTAACTGCCTGACCCACAACTAAAAAGAACAGCTCTTTGATCTTCACAGGTGTGGTGAGGCCTGGTGAGAGGGGAGCCTTCTAGTTAGTGACCTACCACGTTTCAGGAACCATGTTAGTTTCCAGGATTCAGAGATGATTAAAACTAATCACGCACCTTGAGAAACTCACAGTGGAAGGAAAATCAGTAAGCAGAAAAATGCTACATAACCAGGTAAATGCTGGGACAAATTTAGGAAGGAACGATGTGGATACACTGGAGCAGGCTCCAAAGCAGCATCACCTCGGAGGAGGATCTTGAAGACTCAAGAGTTAACTGGGTCAAGAAATATACACACTAACACTTCTGACAGGTCTGCAGAATACAGGGAGTCCATAAAAATAGCACTTGGGTAATGGAAGCAGGACACACCATTCCATGCCCACAGCATTACTTTCTGTGTGCAGTGCACTGTGTGATGATCTACAGAGATTAAATAAGCCGAGGTCTCCGCTTCCAGTCACTTGGGAGAGACGCACAAGGTAAATTACCCAAATAGAAGGCAAACTGCCCAGGGCTGTAATTAACATACAATATGCGCCGAGAGGGAAAGGTTAATGCTAACTCCGGTCCTAAGTACAAAGATCATTGGGAGTCAGGGGTGCACTCTCATTAGGGTACAGCATGGGTGGGTGGAGAGAGTAAAAACCAGAACAAATCAAGGTTCAGCAGTTGGAAGTCAGCCTTAGGGAGAAAAGGGGCGGAGACTGACTGGGCCAGAACAGGGATTGGGACAGAAAAAGAGGGTGGGGCCAGTGGGCTCCACCTACCCGCTCCGGCCCTTCCCACCACCCCCCACCCCATCTACTTTCTACAGTCTGTGGAGACAGGTGAGCGACGAACTTCTGAGACAGGTGTGGGTGCGAGGGTCGGGAGGGTCATGGGATTGGGACCGAGGTGTGAGGAGGGAATCTGCAATTCCTTGCTACACAGAGCGCTGGCAACTTCTGACAGGCTGTTTCTGGGGTATGGGCTGCCTCGGGTTGTTGCTGTTACAAGGAAAGAAAAGAGTTCCCCTGCCCACCGCCTCCCAGCCACTGGGCTACCTCCTGGCAGGAAATTTGCAAACTGAGTTTAACAAGTTAGGATCAGCAGAGGGTAGAGGAGGGCCCTGGCAGATGTGGGGTCTAGAAGAGGACAGGAGTTATCAGGGCCTCCGGCCATTGTGCTGGGCCTTTGCCTGTACAATTGTTTCTCAAGCAGTTGTGTCCCTGTGGCTTTGGTGCGCCTGTGTGCACTTTCTCCCTCCACCTGGAGCATGGGCTAACACCGGAGGAAAGGAAAAGACAGAGTCAGACAGGGTAAGTGGGGCTCCCTCCCCTCTTCTCTCTAACGGGGCTGGATTGAGGGCCTCTGGCTGGGGAGGTGGGGGTGGAGATCCAGTAGGAGCAATAACAGAGGAAGGGCAGGGCCTGCCCCATCACCTGAATTCCAGAGATGCCAGTGTGCACTGAAGCCCCAGGCAGGGCGTGCCCAGGACCGGATCCTGGATGGTGGTAAGGGACAAAGCTGGAAGGGAGACTACAGGGAAGGAGAAAGGAAAGAAGGCAGAGCCATGACACAGTCAACTTACAGAATGGCTGGGAGTCAAAGCTCCTGGGCTGGTTTCCTGGCTATTCCACACACTCCAAGACATAGAGAGAATTTCGGAACTGGAGGGGACTCTACAGATGATTTATTTGAGATTGAAGAACCTAGAAACCAAACAAAGAAATATCATATGGTTACTTTGGTATCTGACACAGCCATGACACCAATTGCTAGTGTAGACACAATAGCTGTGTGTCTTTTTGCAGGAGCCTGGGGAGGGGCCATGGTGCCAATGCACTTACTGGGGAGACTGGAGAAGCCGCTTCTCCTCCTGTGCTGCGCCTCCTTCCTACTGGGGCTGGCTTTGCTGGGCATAAAGACGGACATCACCCCCGTTGCTTATTTCTTTCTCACATTGGGTGGCTTCTTCTTGTTTGCCTATCTCCTGGTCCGGTTTCTGGAATGGGGGCTTCGGTCCCAGCTCCAATCAATGCAGACTGAGAGCCCAGGGCCCTCAGGCAATGCACGGTGAGTTAAGGGTGGGCATCGTAAGAGGAATACACCTTGGGCCCATCCTCCCTCTCTCCCTGTAGTCTCTGAGGCAGAGAGTCTCTGGTTTCCTGTCATTGGCATCAGCGGGAGGAGGGGTCAGAGGCCAACAGAGGATCTTTTGCCCACAGCAGACAAAAAAAAGGGAAAAAGGGCTTCTTTCATGGAAGCCACCAATGGCCTTATTTCTCTTCCCTCAGGGACAATGAAGCCTTTGAAGTGCCAGTCTATGAAGAGGCCGTGGTGGGACTAGAATCCCAGTGCCGCCCCCAAGAGTTGGACCAACCACCCCCCTACAGCACTGTTGTGATACCCCCAGCACCTGAGGAGGAACAACCTAGCCATCCAGAGGGGTCCAGGAGAGCCAAACTGGAACAGAGGCGAATGGCCTCAGAGGGGTCCATGGCCCAGGAAGGAAGCCCTGGAAGAGCTCCAATCAACCTTCGGCTTCGGGGACCACGGGCTGTGTCCACTGCTCCTGATCTGCAGAGCTTGGCGGCAGTCCCCACATTAGAGCCTCTGACTCCACCCCCTGCCTATGATGTCTGCTTTGGTCACCCTGATGATGATAGTGTTTTTTATGAGGACAACTGGGCACCCCCTTAAATGACTCTCCCAAGATTTCTCTTCTCTCCACACCAGACCTCGTTCATTTGACTAACATTTTCCAGCGCCTACTATGTGTCAGAAACAAGTGTTTCTGCCTGGACATCATAAATGGGGACTTGGACCCTGAGGAGAGTCAGGCCACGGTAAGCCCTTCCCAGCTGAGATATGGGTGGCATAATTTGAGTCTTCTGGCAACATTTGGTGACCTACCCCATATCCAATATTTCCAGCGTTAGATTGAGGATGAGGTAGGGAGGTGATCCAGAGAAGGCGGAGAAGGAAGAAGTAACCTCTGAGTGGCGGCTATTGCTTCTGTTCCAGGTGCTGTTCGAGCTGTTAGAACCCTTAGGCTTGACAGCTTTGTGAGTTATTATTGAAAAATGAGGATTCCAAGAGTCAGAGGAGTTTGATAATGTGCACGAGGGCACACTGCTAGTAAATAACATTAAAATAACTGGAATGAACTCCTGATCCCAAAGCCTATTGTGTTTTCAACACAAGGTAATAGGAAGCCAAGCAACTTGCATGTCTCCCAATCCCTGTCTAGGGACAGCTGCTGGTGCAGGATGGAAGACTTCCTATAAACAGAATGGGCGACCAATTGTGTCTACAGAGGGGGTGGGCTGAGCATGGGCACGCATGTCCCCAGCCTCCTGGACGAGCAAAGTCAGTCAAAGCGCTGGTGATCCCTGCTCCGCGTGCGTAGCAGTGTCTGTGCCTCTCCTGCCCAGGGGCTAGAGAGCAGTCTCCAGTGCAGGGTCCCCATCCTATCTGAAAACAGTGGAGTCAGTGACCCCAGGTGGAGGGACTTCCAGTTTTAACAATGGGTTGGTATGAAGGCCAGAAGGAGTGAAACATGTGAACTTTCTGGCGAGGAGACTCCCTCTTGAATCATCCATATGTAGCCCCGGGGTCACTTGCGAAGAGTCTCTAACAGCTTCTGCCTCACTCCTAAGCTCTGACCGCTAGGCTTTCACCCCAGCCGCCGGTCCTGATTCCTGAGATCCCAATATTGAGCACCAGGTTTCCTGGAATTGTGTGCTGCGGCTGTGATGTAGGTTTCGGTCGCTGGAAGCTGCTAAACCATAGCTGACGCCCCCTCCTAAGCCAGCCTTCCTTCCCCGCGCGGGCATCTGTCCAGGGCCTTGTCGCGCTCTCAGTCTCCTTCGCAGCCTGGCCCCAACCGTTCAACTTCAATAAAGCAAAACTCCAGCCACGCCCGTCTCCGTGAAGTTATCGCCATAGGCCGGCCAGGGGGCGCGAGAGGCACCGGGGTGATTTCCGCGGGAATCGATAACCAATCGGATTCCCAGGCCGAACGGAGCACACCCGCCCGCCCTCGCTCTTTCCCCGCCCTTTGCCCCGCCCCGCTCCTTCCCCTCCTTTTGTCTGTCCGCCGAGCACCCCACTTCACCCCATTGGACCGCGCGGCCGCCGCTAGAGCTCTGCGCCTGCGCACGCACCGGGCCGGGGACTGGGTGGCCTGGTGTGTGGGCGCGGCAGGGCGCAGGCGCAGGCGCAGTGTGCGTCCGCGTCTGAGGGGAGGGATGTGGGGGAAGCGACGGCCCCCGGTTTGTTTGGGCTGTGGGCGGTGCGCAGCGGAGAGCCCGGGAAAAGCGGGAAATGGCGGCGCCGAGCGCGGGGTCTTGGTCCACCTTCCAGCACAAGGAGCTGATGGCCGCTGACAGGGGACGCAGGTAAGTAGGGAACGGTCTTAGGGCTCCTTAGGGGAGCCCAGGGAAGGGGAGCGTGGCCCCCAGGCGTGCGGCCCTGCAGCCCCCTCCCCTCGGAGCCCCGGAAAGCAGCCGTGTCCGCGCTTCCTGCCAAGGGTGGGACGCCCGCCCGAGCCGCTCCGAGCCTGACTCCGCGCAAGGGCCCGCGGGCGGACCTCTTGGCCTTGTCTCTCGTGGGAAAAGACTGCCCCAGCCTCCCTTTGTTCAACCCACGAGGGTTCTAAAGGGGAGGTCTTTGCAGTCCTGCCCGCTCTTGGGTTCTCTTGAAGATTCTTCATCCTTTCCTCTGGCTCCCTTATGAGGGAAACTATAAAAAGACCATACTCTGTCTCCTTAAAAATCGACGAGACCTTCTGCAGACCTCGGTGCTCTGCCTGATGTGCATTTGATTTGTATCGATTGTATCATGATCTGCATGGCTTTGCATAGAATGACCAGATTTTCAAAGAAGTCAATACAGGGTTTGGAAATTGAGTACTTTTGGCAGAACAAGGGGGTTCCTGTGGCTCCGAGTGTCCATGCCTCTGCCCCGGTCATTCCATTTCATGGCAGTCATCACCCAGGAGAACATTGTAATGCCTCCTGCTCGAGACTGAAGATTAAGGTCTTCGCAAAGGGAACCTGCAGAAGGACACAGAATTAAGACGTAGGAACTCCGTGGTGCCCTTCGCCCCTCCTCCCCTTCCAGTTGTGTCCTGAAATTCTAAATGATTGGAAACTTTTATAATGTTCACGTTTAAGACTCTCATACTACAGAGTAGAGGAAGGAGCGGGTGTGCAGAGGGGGTGATGCTTCAGATTAAAACTAAAGAGTTGATTGAAAATTCAAGTCTGGAACTCGAGAGAGTTAAGAACTATAAGTCAGTAAGTTGCAAGTATGGGTGAGATTGTCTAGGGAAAGGCTCTTTGAAGGGGCGTCCCTAATGGAATATCAATATTAAGGGCAGGCCAAAGGCCCTCTAAAGAAAACAGGAACTGGGTAGGCAGAGAGAAGACTCCCAAAGAATGCTGTCATGGAAACCAGAGGAAGAGAACGATTTAAGGAGCGAATACTACTGGTAAACTAATGGAAGAAATCTGCTGCACCACTGGTTAGTATCCCAGCTGCAGTGTTATATGTGATCGTTATTACTGCTTTGACGTATTCGAAAGTGATTCATTCTTAAATAGGTTTTTTTATTTGTATAGCTCTTTTTCTTGTAGCCAGTTTTTCCTGAAAGTCTTGGGTAATGGAAATATTACAGTAAAAAGAAGAAAAAATGGAGTTTCAGACTCATTTTTCCAAACCTCAGATTCATTGGCTGCTTCCAACCCACTTCATCTGTTTTAGGATCCCACCTGCTATCTTAGTTCTCCCAGTTCTTCCAGGACCCAGCTCTTCCCTCTTCTAACTATAAATCTCTCACCCAATAGCATCTGCAAGCCAAGTGCATCCATTCCATAGATGTGTGGTATTTCACTGACTCTAAGATACACATTTTTTCCCTCCCTTTTTTTTTTTTTTTTTTTTTTTGGACGGAGTCTTTGCTGTGTCACCCAGGCTGGAGTGCAGTGGAATGATCTCAGCTCACTGCAACCTCCATCTCCAAGGTTCAAGCGATTCTCCTGTCTCAGCCTCCCGAGTAGCTAGGACTACAGGCATGCAGCACCACACTCGGCTAATTTTTTGTATTTTTAGTAGAGACAGGGTTTCACCATGTTGGCCAGGCTGGTCTTGAACTCCTGACCTCAGGTGATCTGCCCACCTTAGCCTCCCAAAGTGCAGGGATTACAGGCATGAGCCACCGTGCCCGGCCTCCCCTCATGTTTTAACACCTTAGAAATCAGAATGCATTTTAGAGTAGGTTTTTAAGTTATAAATGGAAGTTATTGTATTTTCACTGCTATCAGGTGCCACCCTTCCTGCTGTTACATATGTGGAAAATGTGACGGGGCAGGCTAGAGAACTCTGGATTTATGTAAACTAGGCATGTAGATGACATATTGGCAATAGGATTATTTTAGTTTATAAGCAGAAGCTGATCTCTTTGCAAGCCTGTAGCAAAATTAGCTGGAGGTGACAGCACATGCCTGTAGTCCCAACTACTTGGGAGGCTGAGGCAGGTGGATCGCTTGAGTCCAGGAGTTCTGGGCTATAGTGTGCTATGCCAGTCACGTGTCCACATTAAGTTCAGCATCAGTGTGGTGATGTCCTGGGAGTCAGGGTCCACCAGGTTGCCTAAGGAAGGGTGAACCCGCCCAGGTCAAAAATGGAGCAAGTCAAAACTCCTGTGCTGCTCTGTAATGGGATCATACCTGTGAATAGCCACTGCACTCCAGCCTGGGTGGCACAGTGAGACTCTTTTAAAGTAAATAGATAAATACCTATCCACTGTGACTTTCTGTCATACTTTCTGCTTATCCACATCTTAACAGGATTCGCCATTTTGTCACTGGAACTTAAAAGTTTTAAAAAACATGTAATTATATGTTTATATCACTAGTGAAAGAGAGTTAGTGTCTGCCTCATTTATTTTCTGTTAAAGCCATTGGCTTGAGTTTTTACCATAGTGTTTTAACCCTCATCTAAGATCATTATAAACTTACATCACTTTCACCAGCTTAGATAATGTGAGATGTTTTCTGAAATAATTCTCTTTATTAAAATTGGTCTATCAGAGAAGTATTCCTTCTCATAAATATGTGTACTTGGGGGTATTGTTTTGCTTAAGACAGATATTTCCCTCCTCTAGTCAGACCATTCATCTCAGATGATCTCAGCTGAACATAAACCATAAGGAATTAGACATTATTTTCTTATGATCAATGTGTTCCTGCTTAGTACATCTTTGCTTTAACCAGATTTAAGAAATATGCATAATCTTGGTTATTGTAAGTCTTATTCTTTTTGTTCTTCCTATTCATGCCTCTTCCACTCCACTCTTCTGTGTCAAATTGTGACTTGACAGCCTTTCCTTCTACCGTTTATCTGTAGGATATTGGGAGTGTGTGGCATGCATCCTCATCATCAGGAAACTCTAAAAAAGAACCGAGTGGTGCTAGCCAAACAGCTGTTGTTGAGCGAATTGTTAGAACATCTTCTGGAGAAGGACATCATCACCTTGGAAATGAGGGAGCTCATCCAGGTATCTGGAGGCAAAAGAGAGAAGATAAATTGATCATGGGGTGGGAATAGAGCATGACAAAATATGGAAAGGGTGTCGTATCTTTCTTCCTTTTTTTTTTTTTTTTTTTTGAGACAGAGTCTCTGTCTCCCAGGCTGGAGTACAATGGCGCGATCTTGGCTCACTGCAGCCTCTGCCTCCCAGGTTCAAGTGATTCTCCTGCCTCAGCCTCCCAAGTAGCTGGGACTACAGGCAGGTGCCACCATGCCTGGCTAATTTTTTGGATTTTTAGTAGAGACAGGGTTTCACTGTGTTAGCCAGGAGGGTGTCGATCTCCTGACCTCATGATCCACCTGCCTCGGCCTCCCAAAGTGCTGGGATTACAGGTGTGAGCCACCACACCCAGCTGGATGTTGTACCTTTCTAAAGAAATGGAAATGCCCTTCTACCGTAGAGCATTTGAGAGAAATGATATATAACTCAAGAATAACAGAAAGGACTTCACCCATACATACACTTTTCCTGTAAAAAGAATTCTTGGATGAGGACACTACTAGGAAGCTCATGTGGAGAAATAGAATTATAGCTAGAGAAGTAAATATGATTTCATGTTTTATTCTTGTGTCTTAGGCCAAAGTGGGCAGTTTCAGCCAGAATGTGGAACTCCTCAACTTGCTGCCTAAGAGGGGTCCCCAAGCTTTTGATGCCTTCTGTGAAGCACTGAGGGAGACCAAGCAAGGCCACCTGGAGGATATGTTGCTCACCACCCTTTCTGGGCTTCAGCATGTACTCCCACCGGTATGAAGCTTTAGTAATATGGGGTGTTGGGAAGGGTTAGTTTGACTGGAAAGGAATTTGTAAGTCAGAGTGAGGGAGACTAGATTTTGTTGTATTTGGACCGGACCACTTCCCTAAGGTCTGTCATCATGAGTTTTGATTTCTTACAGTTGAGCTGTGACTACGACTTGAGTCTCCCTTTTCCGGTGTGTGAGTCCTGTCCCCTTTACAAGAAGCTCCGCCTGTCGACAGGTGAGAATTGATGGACTAAAAGGGGTCCCAGGCCAGGTGCCACGGCTTACGCCTATAATCCCAGCACTTTGCGGGGCCAAGGCGGGTGGATCACCTGAGGTCAGGAGTTCGAGACCAGCCTGGCCAACATGGTGAAACCCCGTCTCTACTAAAAATATAAAAACTAGCTGGGCATGGTGGTGGGTGCCTGTAATCCCAGCTACTCGGGAAGCTGGGGCAGGAGAATTGCTAGAACCCAGGAGACGGAGGTTGCAGTGAGCCAACACGGTGCCACCGCACTCCAGCCTTGCCAACAGAGTGAGACTCAGTCTCAAAAAATAAAATAAAATAAAATAAAAAGGAGGGGGGTGTCCCAGATTGACTTCCCCTTTCTTGTCTGGTATCTGGCTTTGTCCTAACATGAGCCCTTTTTTTTGTTTTTTTTTTTTTTTGTTGTGTTTTTTTTCAGAAATAGGGTCTTGTTCTGTCACCCAGGCTGGAATGCAGTGACACCACCATAGCTCACTGCAGCGTTGAACTCCTGGGTTGAAGGGCTCCTCCTGCCTCAGCCTCCCAAGTACCTGGGATTACAGGTGCATGCCACCACACCTAGCTCATTTTTAAATTTTTTGTAGAGAAGGAGTCTCACTTTGTTACCCAGGCTGGTGTCAAACTTCTGGCCTCAAATGATCCTTCCGCCTTGGCCTCCCAAAGTGCTGGGATTATAGGCGTAAGCCACCATGCCCAGCTGAGACATAGTTTATATTGGGAACAGTTGTCAGTAAATTTGTTAAGGGCTAGTAGGACAGTTTATGCAGGAGTTTGTGGTTTTTTGTTTTTTTTTTTTCTTGTGATGGAGTCTTGCTCTGTCGTCCAGGCTGTAGTGCAATGGTGCAGTCTCGGCTCACTGCAAACTCTGCCTCCTGGGTTCAAGTGATTCTCCTGCCTCAGCCTCCTGAGTAGCTAGGATTACAGGTGCGTGCCACCATACCCAGCTAATTTTTTGTGTTTTTAGTAAGAGATGGGGTTTCACCATCTCCTGACCTCGTGATCTGCCTGCCTCGGCCTCCCAAAGTGTTGGGATTACAGGCATGAGTCACTGCGCCCGGCCCAGGCAAGGTGTTATTAATAGTTGGTCCATTTCCCTTCCACCCCAGATAACAGTTTTTGTGATAATTGGGCCTTTGAGTAGCATGTATGGGCAGGAAGTTCATGCTCAATTGGCCTCTAAAAAGCTGAATAAGAAAAGACTACATTTGGGGCCACCAGCCTGCTGATGGAGCATCCTAGTGATTGGAACGAGGCTTTTATCAGCTAGCCCATTCGGTCATTCAGCCAGTTGAGCATATGCTTCATGCAGGCTATGTGCAGAGAATCCTTTAGTGAGCTAAAACTAAGAGTCTCTGCCCTCATGAAGCTTACAGGTTTGGGTAGTGAGTGAGACCAATATTTATCACAACCCAGTTGCAAGAGATGTCTGAAGTTACAATGACATATTAAGATTGATGGTTAAGTTATATACTAGTTTTTTGGTTTTCTGTCTATACCACAGATACTGTGGAACACTCCCTAGACAATAAAGATGGTCCTGTCTGCCTTCAGGTGAAGCCTTGCACTCCTGAATTTTATCAAACACACTTCCAGCTGGTGAGTTTTTGCATAATGACAAGAGGAAGAGAGTTGGGAAATTAGACACCCTTCCTGGGAACCTGAACTTAGTTTGCATGTACATTTCCTTTCTGCCTTATTAGTCAGAAAGTTGTTACTGGTTAAATGCCTTCTGTGAGCATTTGTCTATTTTTACCTGCTGGAGGTTAAGAAGAAAAATACGATGTCTTTGTTTTCTTGAAATGTCTAATCTAGCCGAGGAATCATCTGTTATCAAGACGCTCATGGTCTAACTGGCCTCTCCTCCACAGGCATATAGGTTGCAGTCTCGGCCTCGTGGCCTAGCACTGGTGTTGAGCAATGTGCACTTCACTGGAGAGAAAGAACTGGAATTTCGCTCTGGAGGGGATGTGGACCACAGTACTCTAGTCACCCTCTTCAAGCTTTTGGGCTATGACGTCCATGTTCTATGTGACCAGACTGCACAGGTACCTGAGGTGGGAAAAATTGACATGTAAATTAGAGGACTGAACAACACTTTGGGACCAGAGACATCGTTTGTTCCTGTGCCTGCTGGGATATGTCTTAAAAGTTGGTTTATTCTACTTACATTTTTACTCACTCTGTTCTGCCTCTCACCTTGCATTCTAGTAAGAAAGAATTAGGGCCGGCCAGCCATTTTAGTGTTGACATCTCAGGTTGTGGTTTCATAAAGTAATAATAGTCCACAGTTGGTGTCTCACTTTTTTTTTTTTTTTTAAAGACAGAGTTTAGCTCTGTCACCCAGGCTGGAGTGCAATGGCACGATCTCGGCTCACTGCAACCTCTGCCTACCAGGTTCAAGCGATTCTCCTGCCTCAGCTTCCTGAGTAGCTGGAACTGCAGGCGCATGCAACCATACCTGGCTTATTGTTGTATTTTTAGTAGAGACGGGGTTTTGCCATGTTGGCCAGGCTGGTCTCAAACTCCTGACCTCAGGTGATCCGTCCCCCTCGGCCTCCCAAAGTGCTGGGATTATAGGCATGAGCTACGGCACCTGGCTGGGAAAGTATTCTTAACATTTGTGTAATCACAAGTCATAGGGTAGATTGTTTGTGGACCAGATTTCTAGAAATTGTAAACATTTTCATTATGGGCTGTTCGTCATTAACCTCAGTTACTGTACTGCACAACTGACTTTGTGACCTTTAGGGTTTCTATTTTGCAATCAATAATGGCCTATTTGTAGATTCATATTCACTCTTTATTTTGATTCCAGAATAGTAGAACTTTCTTCAACTTGCTTTGAGGTTGTCAGTGGTGAAATTAAAATTGCTAGGAGATTCACTTTGATCTGTTGGGATAGAGGATCTTTGTTTTCCATTCAGCATTGTCTGTAGTCTTCATTTCTCTTTCTTAGCTGCCCTCCTTCTGTGAGAGTAATTATGTATTTACTATATTTTTGGCAAGGCCAGTTTCATCCACAGGTACCTGGGTGTTGTCCTTTACATGCTATTTTTGCCAGCTTCCCCCTTGTAGCATATGCAATGTAGTTAAATCCACCCTTGCTTCAAAGCCATGGCAGCAACAGCTGCTTCAGTCATCAAGTATTCAGGTAGTTTATATGCTTTCCTGAGAAGTCTGCTGGGCATAAAGGGGCAAAGGGCAGGGTACCAGCCATAATTCCTACAGAAGGTCACTTAACAAAATGTGCAGTGTGTGTGTTTTCTTAGAGGTTTTGGTCTAGCCATGTCTTTTACTAGAAATCTATTATGTCATGGTTTTTCAAGTTGTATGCAGCTGATAAAGGATCTTACATGTCTAATAGTTAAAGATAAAATACTGAGTCACTAAGTCAACTATATATACTGCTGTTTTCTCAGAGACTGTCAGATTTGGTGAGTTTATGAGCTCACTTCATAAATAGCATTTCCATTTATGGTAAGCCTGATGCATATTCAGTGACCTATTGGATTCTAATTCTTTGGTTGAATTGCTCTGTAACTGGAATTGCAGTAGAGTTGAACTTCAAGCACCTTATAATGGGGGACTATGTGAGCTGCCACAGATTTTAAAGATCAGATGAGGGAGTTTTGACATCAGCATAAAAGGAAGTGTGTCCTCTTATATTCCTAACGACCAAACAAGATTAGAGAAAAAATCTTCTGTCATAGCTAAGAAGAAGAAGCGCCTAGGTAGATATGATCAGAAGGATAAGTGGAGGAGGCAGAACTTAAGCTGGCCTTGAAGGATAGAAGTTACTGAAGCAGAGAGGAGTGGTGAAGCCACCCTAGGCAGGGAGAACAGTATGTGGACAAGAAATGTGTGTGTTATAAACCAGGTAGTTGCAATGGGTGTCATAATTTGGTACACTGGGCATCTGCACAGAATGCTCTCTTCCTGGTGGGATCTCCCTAGAGAGTCAACTCGTTTATCATATAGCTATTTGGCAAGCAAAGAAACAGAACCAAAAAAAAAAAAAAGATCCTTTTTTCTTTCCCTATCAAATCTTTCTTACTTAAGAGAGGAATTCCATTTAAAAACAGGAAATAGTATAATTAGTCTTAGAGACTCCTCTTCCCCTGATAGTGCTGCAGTGAACATGGGTATTCTCACTGCCCAGATGTTTTCACTTTTCTCTTTGTTATTAAGTTTTTATTGCATCTACTTCATGAGGTTACTAGTTCTAGAATTATGATTTACCCTATGTTAGGAAACGTACTCTTCAAAGTGGAAATTTCCTTTTACCATGTGGTATTGTTTTTTTAGCTTGCATTTGGGTCACAAACTGCTTTGAAAATGTAAGGACAAGCTATGGGTTATCCCTGGAAAATGCAGCTGCCCATATAATTTAGCATATAATTTCAGAGGGTTCACAAGTTACTCTCTTCACATGTCCCCCAACCCCTAGCCAAAAATACACTTAGGAGTTAAGAACCCTGCTATTTATAGAAGTACTGTAATTTTATCAAAAACAAATCTGCAGATCCTATTTTAAGCTATGCTACTTGTAGAAAAATTCCTCCAAATGTCTAATCCCCATTTATTGAATGGTTTAGTCTTACTAAGTTTGGTTACAAAGTGCGTGTATTCTTTTTTTGGACATTGTTTTCTATTTACTGACCTAATCTCACTAAATTCAAAATGCTCGTGATTCGGTGCCCAGGTATATAATTTTTGTTTTCTTTTTTTTTATTTTGAGATGGAGTTTCACTTTTGTTGCCCAGGCTAGAGTGCAATGGCGCGATCTGGGCTCATTGCAACCTCTGCCTCCCAGGTTCAAGCAATTCTCCTGTCTCAGCCTCCTGAGTAGCTGGGATTACAGGCGCATGCCACCACGCCCGGCTAATTTTTGTATTTTTAGTAGAGACAGGGTTTCATCACATTGGTCAGGCTGGTCTCAAACTCCTGACCTCAGGTGATCCACCCGCCTCGGCCTCCCGAAGTGCTGGGATTACAGGCGTGAGCCACCGCGCCCGGCCTTTGTTTTCTTCTTTGAGCAAAATTAACTTCTTTAACTATTAAATGTTAAATTCTATTAGCATCAGCTCCAGAGGAACATTCACAGTTATGTATTCTCTTGAAATTATATATTCTTGAAAGAATTTTTTGATTATCTGTCATTACCTTAAGATTTCTATTATTATGGTTTGCTTCTACTTAGAAAATACAGATACTTTTCAACAACACCAGTCTCTTTATTTCTAGTTATATTGCAGACTTTCAAATATTTTATGTAATTGCATCTCAATTATCTACAAACAGAAGTATTCCGAACAGATCAATTAGTAGCTCTCAAACTTTAACATATCACAGTGTCCTGGAGGGCTTGTTAAAACACATTTTGCTGGAGCCCAAGATTTCACGTTTCTTCCAAGTTCCTGGGTGATGCTGCTGTTGCTGCTTTAGGGGCCACTCTGAGAACTACTGCAATATGTTATATTATAGAAGTGTGCTTTTTATTTTGGCAGTGTGTGTGATTAAATATATGTGTGTTTTAACTCTTCCACCCAGATAACTTACTTATTTTCATTACATTTTATTCAAGTTTATAATAAAATGAACTTGTTTTCTTTCTGCCCATCTCAGAAGACCCAGACATCGTGAATTATAGAGGGAGGCATAGGTTTAAACATGTGTGCCCAATTATTATGCTCTTTAGGTACACAGTATAACCTTCTGATGGATGGACCAAATGCTTAAGGTAGTGCTCTTCATGTATCGCAACTTAGTGCAAGATAAACAAGATTCTCCAGGCATGGTGGCACATGCCTATGGTCCCAGCTACTCTAGAGGCTGAGGCAAGAAGATTCCTTGAGCCCAGGAGTTCTAGGCTGTAGTGTGCTATGCTGATCAGGTGTCCAAACTAAGTTCATCATCAATATGGTAACCTCCTGGGAGTGGCGGACCACCAGGTTGCCTAAGGAGGGGTGTACCAGCCCAGGTCAGAAATGGAGCAGGTGAAAACTCCTGTGCTGATCAGTAGTGATCTTACACCTGTAAATAGTCACTGCACTCAAGCCTGGGCAATATAGCAAGATCCTGTCTAAAAAAAAAAAAGATAAACAGGAAAACAGTTCTTAAGTTGGACTACAACATTGACCAGTAATAGATTTCTTTGAGAAAAATACTCTTTATTCGACATGCACATTGTAATGGCACATTTTTTGCAATGTGTCCCAGACACAGTGATCGGTTTTTGGTTTTTTTTTTGAGACAGGGTCTCTCTCTGTCACCCAGGCTACAGTGCAGTGGTGCAGTCACAGCTCACTGCAGCCTCAACTTCCTAGGCTCCAGTGATCCCTCCACCGTAGCCTTTAGAGTAGCTGGGACTATAAGCATGCACCACCATGCCTGGCTAATTTTTTTTTTTAAAGATGGAGTCTTGCTAGGTTGTCCAGGCCAAGTCCTTTGTCATAATATCTCATTTTTATCTTCACAAACTTAGAGAAAATATCCTCATAATTTTTTTTTATAAAGTGAAAAGTGAGGTCTCAAGGGTCTGAGTAAGCTGTTCCAACTCATGAAGCCAAGGTTCAAACCTAGATTAATCTGAACCCAGGACCTGTGTATGTAATTACTGCCCTGTACAGAATCCTCCTTCATAGCGTGCTCTTTCTGAAACAAAGCATTTTATACAGTCATCATCATTATCTCTTGGACACTTAGAATCTTAGAAGACAACATACAAGTATTGCTATTCTCTACTATCATGATGCTGTCACAGAACAGTTTATTTTCGTGTAGCTGAATGTGCATGTTACTTATTCATAGCTACACTTTGAGTCACCCTTGTGCCATTTATATACAAGGGCAGTTGCTCTAATGAAGGATCTGGTTATGAACAGGGAATTAATCAGAGTTGACCAGCTCATGATTAGCTTCTTTAGTAACTTGCTTTAATCCAGGAGCTGTTTGCCTATCTCAGTGAGTCTGAATCTGTATTCAGAATATTGTGTCTGAACTCATATGCATTTTTCTGGTGAGTCCATAGCTTTCTTTAGTCTCTCAAAAGGTCTCTTCTTTTATCATTGACCACAGGAATATACATAAAGCGTTTTATCTTCTAATAGCTTAGGGTTTCAAAAAGAAACCAAACTTTGATGCTTATGTTGGTGCTGACCTTAGTGCACAACACTAAACATTCCTTTCTTTTAGGAAATGCAAGAGAAACTGCAGAATTTTGCACAGTTACCTGCACACCGAGTCACGGACTCCTGCATCGTGGCACTCCTCTCGCATGGTGTGGAGGGCGCCATCTATGGTGTGGATGGGAAACTGCTCCAGGTGCGGATACCCTGGTGGAAGCCAACTGTTGAAACCAGGCTGCTTTACCTCCTGCCTGCTGTCTGTCAAGTGATGGCTACTGTTGCATGTGTAGGACTTAGGAGGCCCCGCTGAATGCTTAACCTCTCTTCTTCCTTCTTTCTTTCTGGCAGCTCCAAGAGGTTTTTCAGCTCTTTGACAACGCCAACTGCCCAAGCCTACAGAACAAACCAAAAATGTTCTTCATCCAGGCCTGCCGTGGAGGTGAGTGCCCTAGCAGACCAGCACCTGGGTGGTGGCTCCTGGGCAGCCTCCCACCAGCTCTCACTTTCCTGTTTGCTCCTCTCAGGTGCTATTGGATCCCTTGGGCACCTCCTTCTGTTCACTGCTGCCACCGCCTCTCTTGCTCTGTAAGTGTCTCCCAATGCATGGGGTGTGCTGGGACTTGGGCAGCCCATGGCTCTCAGGCTGGTCAGCTCTCCGTGCACCACCATATCCTGTTTTCAGGTCTCTTATCCCGTGTCTTTGCCTTCCTTTCTGAGAACTCTTACTCTTTTCTGTGCTTCATTAACTCTGGTGCCCTTTTTTTGGTTACTCATTCCAGTTACGGATTTTTGATCTGTCTTTTTCCTGTCCTTCTTATTTTATCTCCTTTCTTTCACTCTTTGTTCTTTTCACTTGTTCCATATACTTCCCTGTTTACCTACACTTCCATGCTTGCCTCCTTTCTTCTTTCTTCTTACCATTCTTGGGTCATGCAGGATAGCAGAACAGAATCCGTGTTGGCCTTTGACTCTTCCTTTTCCGTGAGCTGCTGCTGCCCCTCTTTCTCTCATGCAGTCTGTTTTACTCCTTTAAGAGCCAGGACTGCAGGACGAGGATTAAAAGACACATAGGTGTGCTTCTCATCCTGGAGGAAAATAATAGTAATTAAGAGCCCTAACTTTGGAGTCAAATTCTGACTTCACCATTTACTAGTAACGTGAAGTTAAAGAAGTTAAATGGCATCCCTCCATCTCAGTTTCCTCAATATAAAATGAAAATAGTCCTTGTACCTACTTCATAAGGTGCTTGTGATGGTTAAATGAGATTATGCATTTAAGGGCTTACATAGCTCAGTACCTGGCTCACAGCACATCCACAAAATATGCCAGCTGTAACTCTTAAAACACGATCAGTGCCGTAAAGGGCTTATAGTTTGCTTTAAAGGTCACTTTGTCCAAACATTCAAATAATTACTTTTTTAATCTCTCATGTGGCCAAATGTAAATAGCTAATATTATTGTCATCCTGATCTAGTATTACCGCAGAATATAGTCTGCTGAGGCCCTGCAACATGACTCAGACTACGGCAGTTACTACCGCAAAAGCAGAAGGAAATGTGGCCTCTCTAAGGAGCAGACCAGTTACTCAGGAAAATAAAGTAAATATACATGAAGTAGCTTAAGACTAGTTCACAGGCCTCATGTAAGCAAAGGTGAAATTAGCAAGGTACAAACTGTACTTAGGAAGGAGTATGCAGTAAGAGTAGATCATTTTAAGTGAGGGTAGTTTAAAGAGATTTTTTAGATAAGATAAGGCTTAATTTGTACCTGGAGTAATTTGATTTACATAGTTATAGAGTAGTATCTAGAGTCTGTCGTAGGAAAGAAACAATACAATATGATAAGTACACTGAGAGGCAGAGGGCATGTTGTGTCTCCCCTCCTCCCAAACAGATGCTCGGATCTGATTTTAAAATAGCATCTGTGTGAGTATGTGAGATGTGGCTGGTCACAATGAAGTGGGTTCACCTCCTTACAAACCTTTAGTCATAACTGAGGTTTTGGACATCAGCAGGTAAAAGTAAGGAACAGTTGGGAGCTTAAGTAAGAAATAATGTGATGAATTGTTTTTCCAGCAAGGTTGCCATGGAGGGGGCTGCACTAAGGAAAGAGGTTATGGGTCAGCAACTTTACTTTTCATTCCCTGCTCTATCCCCAGGCCCAGGGCACTGCCTGATGCATGGTAGCACTTATAAATGTTCAATGAATGGATGAAAATTAATCTGCCTGAAAAACTGTAGGTATTATGTAAAAAACAAATATGAGGATATTGTGACAAAAGAACCAGTGACATTTATTGATTGATGGATCTGTGATATAAAGGTGAGAGAGGAATTCTCCTTTCTCTTTAGCTTGGCCTGTTTCCTTTAGGCGTCTTTACTAACAAAACGACGTTAAATTGTGATTTTCTCATCCTATATCCAGGGATTTAATACACTATTGGATCTGGATAAGGAGTAATTGCTCTTTTCTGGAGTAATCTGGATCTTTTGCTCTGTCTCTCTAACTTTTCTGAAATTAAATCCTTCAAGGAATGACCAGTAGCCAATTGTTCCATTGAAAATTTGAGTTCACCTGTCTTCCTGCTGTATTTGGTTAATATAATTAATGTCTAGAAAAAGCTCCACCCCCCTGCCCCAGTCAGCTTCTAAACTGGAGTGTAAGCTCCATGACGGCAGGAATTTTCTCTTCACTCTATCCCTAGGCCTTAAAGTAAGACAGTGCCCAACACATGGCAGTTGCTTGACACATTTTTATTAAACCTGTGCTTTGGTCCTTTTCCCCCAATTCTTGAAGCTTCCCTTCTTTCCTAGGCTCCCTCGACATTGCATGGATCAGGAAGTACTGTAAAAGAGCATACTCTTACTTTTGATGTGTTGACCTGAGAGTCCTCCCCATCTGTCTTGCCTACTGACAGCACCCCTGCCCACACCCAAAATAAAACAACATCATCAAAAATAAGAGTCTGTCTTGGGATACATAAGGCTTGTATCAAGAGCAAGGATCTGCTCAGGGTATGTTGAGAAATTACTGCTAAAATTGAATAAGGATGATCTTTTTAAATTTTCTGGGAGAAAACAGTCAAGTTCTCCCCACTTTAAGTTTTTCCTCTTAAAATTTTCATAAGGCCAGGTGCAGTGACTCATGCCTATAATCCCAACACTTTGGGAGGCCGAGGCAGAAGGATCACTTGAAGCCAGGAGTTCAAGACAAGCCTGGTCAACGTAGCAAGACCCCATCTCTATTAAAAAAAGAAAAAAAAAGATTTAAAAAGTTATTTTAAAAAATAAATTAAAAATTTTTTTTCTTAAATCTTGGATGCTTGCTATAATTTATCTTATGAAATTAATAAACATAGTGCTTCGAAGATATCAAAACCACCTTGGAAACAACTGATCATACTTAGTTTTATTATTTTTTGATACATAGTTCGAGGTTGTGATTTTTATATAGCATACATATGGTAACCGTATTTGTTATTTATTACCTTGTTTTTTCTTGTTTATGTAATTAAATATATCAATATTTTATTATGTATTGCAATAAAAAGCACTGTGACTCCCAGGCATATTGTTAATTGAACAAGTGAGTTGTGGACTTAGATGATTTTCAGTTCCATTTACAAGGAGTATTTGATTTGGCATTTTCCCTGTCTTACACAGAATGGGAACTGCTCCAACCGCATAGATGTGCATGTGCTTGAGCGTGGTGCCCGGTGTGTATGAGGCATCCCCTGAGTAACAGATGCATGCTGAGAGAGTAATAATTTTTTTTTTTTTTTTTTAGTTTATCAGCCATAGGTTGGAGGCAACAGCTGGAAATGGCTCTTCCCCTTCAAGGTTGTAGGGAACGTGGGCTTGCCTGTGACAGGCCCAAGAGAGATAGGAAGAAGTAACATCATTGTCCATTCTGTCTGCCTTTGTTACAGATGAGACTGATCGTGGGGTTGACCAACAAGATGGAAAGAACCACGCAGGATCCCCTGGGTGCGAGGAGAGTGATGCCGGTAAAGAAAAGTTGCCGAAGATGAGACTGCCCACGCGCTCAGACATGATATGCGGCTATGCCTGCCTCAAAGGTACTTTGAGTTCCAAAAGAGTTGAGTCATACCTCATTTTGTTGCACTTTGCTTTATTGTGCTTTGCAGGTACAGGTTGAGTATCCCTTATCTGAAGTGTTGGAACCAGAAGTGTTTCAGATTTTGGATTTTTTTGTTTTTTTGGATTTTGGAATATTTGCGTTATACTTACTAGTTGAGTATCCCGTATCCAAATATTCTAAATTTAAAACACTCCCATGAGCACCTTCTTTGAGCATCATATTGGCACTTGGAAAGTTTCAGATTTTGAAGCATTTCAGATTTTTTGGATTTGGGATGCTCAGCTGCTTTTTACAAATTGAAGGTTTGTGGCAATCCTTTGAGCATCTGTCAGCACCATTTTTCTATTGGCATGCCTCTGTTAGCATTTTTCAGCAATAAAGTATGTTTTAATTACAGCATATGCATGTTTTAGACATAATGTTGTTGCACACTTAATAGACTGTAGGATAGTAACCATAACTTCCGTATACACTGGGAGACCTGAAAATTTGTATGACTTGCTTTATTGCCATATTCACTTTCTTAAGCTGGTCTGGAAACAGACCTACGGTATCTCCAAAGTATGCCAATAATCCAAAAGAGTACCCTCCTAGACTTAGATTCTTCATGCTGGGTTCTCTGACTAGGGAGGGTGCAGGTGTCATGGCCGAGTCTAGTTTGGGAAGTGCAGCTGTGTGATGGCATTCACACTGTGATTAATGCCCTTTTGGTTGCAGGGACTGCCGCCATGCGGAACACCAAACGAGGTTCCTGGTACATCGAGGCTCTTGCTCAAGTGTTTTCTGAGCGGGCTTGTGATATGCACGTGGCCGACATGCTGGTTAAGGTGAGCCAGCGGGCTCCGTGACCCCTGTGTGTCTCCACAGTGCTCTACTTTCCTCCTCTCTTGAATGCTCTTTCATAGTCCGTCTCCCCTTCCCGTTTGCTGCTCTCCTGAAGCCCGAGATTCTCAGACTTGGGCCTATTGGTTCTGCCCCTCCAGGTGAACGCACTTATCAAGGATCGGGAAGGTTATGCTCCTGGCACAGAATTCCACCGGTGCAAGGAGATGTCTGAATACTGCAGCACTCTGTGCCGCCACCTCTACCTGTTCCCAGGACACCCTCCCACATGATGTCACCTCCCCATCATCCACGCCAAGTGGAAGCCACTGGACCACAGGAGGTGTGATAGAGCCTTTGATCTTCAGGATGCACGGTTTCTGTTCTGCCCCCTCAGGGATGTGGGAATCTCCCAGACTTGTTTCCTGTGCCCATCATCTCTGCCTTTGAGTGTGGGACTCCAGGCCAGCTCCTTTTCTGTGAAGCCCTTTGCCTGTAGAGCCAGCCTTGGTTGGACCTATTGCCAGGAATGTTTCAGCTGCAGTTGAAGAGCCTGACAAGTGAAGTTGTAAACACAGTGTGGTTATGGGGAGAGGGCATATAAATTCCCCATATTTGTGTTCAGTTCCAGCTTTTGTAGATGGCACTTTAGTGATTGCTTTTATTACATTAGTTAAGATGTCTGAGAGACCATCTCCTATCTTTTATTTCATTCATATCCTCCGCCCTTTTTGTCCTAGAGTGAGAGTTTGGAAGGTGTCCAAATTTAATGTAGACATTATCTTTTGGCTCTGAAGAAGCAAACATGACTAGAGACGCACCTTGCTGCAGTGTCCAGAAGCGGCCTGTGCGTTCCCTTCAGTACTGCAGCGCCACCCAGTGGAAGGACACTCTTGGCTCGTTTGGGCTCAAGGCACCGCAGCCTGTCAGCCAACATTGCCTTGCATTTGTACCTTATTGATCTTTGCCCATGGAAGTCTCAAAGATCTTTCGTTGGTTGTTTCTCTGAGCTTTGTTACTGAAATGAGCCTCGTGGGGAGCATCAGAGAAGGCCAGGAAGAATGGTGTGTTTCCCTAGACTCTGTAACCACCTCTCTGTCTTTTTCCTTCCTGAGAAACGTCCATCTCTCTCCCTTACTATTCCCACTTTCATTCAATCAACCTGCACTTCATATCTAGATTTCTAGAAAAGCTTCCTAGCTTATCTCCCTGCTTCATATCTCTCCCTTCTTTACCTTCATTTCATCCTGTTGGCTGCTGCCACCAAATCTGTCTAGAATCCTGCTTTACAGGATCATGTAAATGCTCAAAGATGTAATGTAGTTCTTTGTTCCTGCTTTCTCTTTCAGTATTAAACTCTCCTTTGATATTATGTGGCTTTTATTTCAGTGCCATACATGTTATTGTTTTCAACCTAGAAACCTTTATCCCTGCTTATCTGAAACTTCCCAACTTCCCTGTTCTTTAAGACTTTTTTTTTTTTTTTTTTTTTTTTTGAGACAGAGTCTCGCTCTGTCGCCCAGGCTGGAGGGCAGTGGCACGATCTCAGCTCACTGCAAGCTCCAACTCCCGGGTTCACGCCATTCTCCTGCCTCAGCCTTCCAAGTAGCTGGGACTACAGGTGCCCGCCACCGTGCCCGGCTAATTTTTTTGTATTTTTAGTAGAGACAGGGTTTCACCATGTTAGCCGGGATGGTCTTGATCTCCTGACCTCATGATCCACCCACCTCAGCCTCCCAAAGTGTTGGGATTACAGGCGTGAGCCACTGCGCCCGGGCAAGACCTTTTTTTAAAAAAAAAAAAAAAAAAACTTCCATTCTTTCTTCCTCCAGTCTGTTCTCACATAACAGAGTAGTTTTGGTTTTTAATTTTTTTTGGTTGTTTGCTGTTTTTTGTTTTTTAAGGTGAGTTCTCACTATGTTTCTCAGACTGGTCTCGAACTCCTGGCCTCAAGCCATCTTCCCGCCTCAGCCTCTCAAATAGCTGGGCTTACAGGCATGAGCCACCACACCTGGCCAGGATTTGGTTGTTTAAATATAAATCTGATCACCCCCCTGCTTAGAACCCTTCTGCTTTCTATTACCCCTCATTTAAAATGTAAACTCTTCACCTTGGTTTATGAGAACTGGTTCTTGCCTTCCCCTTGAACCTCATTAAATGGTGATTTCTTGCTAAGCTCCAGCCCGAGTGGTCTCCTCTCAGCTTCTAATTTTGTGCTCTTTCCTGCCCTTTTCCTGGGCCTTCTCAGCTCTCCACCCCCACCACTCTTGACTCAGGTGGTGTCCTTCTTCCTCAAGTCTTGACAATTCCCGGGCCCTTCAGTCCCTGAGCAGTCTACTTCTGTGTCTGTCACCACATCTTGTCTTTTCCCCTCATTGCATTTATTGCAGTTTATATATATGCTACTTTTACTTGTTCATTTCTGTCTCCCCTACCAGGCTGTAAATGAGGGCAGAAACCTTGTTTGTTTTATTCACCATCATGTACCAAGTGCTTGGCACATAGTGGGCCTTCATTAAATGTTTGTTGAATAAAAGAGGGAAGAAGGCAAGCCAACCTTAGCTACAATCCTACCTTTTGATAAAATGTTCCTTTTGACAATATACACGGATTATTATTTGTACTTTGTTTTTCCATGTGTTTTGCTTTTATCCACTGGCATTTTTAGCTCCTTGAAGACATATCATGTGTGAGATAACTTCCTTCACATCTCCCATGGTCCCTAGCAAAATGCTAGGCCTGTAGTAGTCAAGGTGCTCAATAAATATTTGTTTGGGTGGTTTGTGAGCCTTGCTGCCAAGTCCTGCCTTTGGGTCGACATAGTATGGAAGTATTTGAGAGAGAGAACCTTTCCACTCCCACTGCCAGGATTTTGTATTGCCATCGGGTGCCAAATAAATGCTCATATTTATTACTGATGTGTGCTCAATATCTGTTTCTGTAGATACTCAGTCCTCTGAAGCCCACAGATTTCGTTTCCTTAGCCCCTTACACTGCAGCATTCCTTACCACCTCACAAGGCATACCCAGACCTGAAAACCCTTCTTATTTTGCTGCTGTGATCCTGTAAATATATGCAGGTGTGGGCCCATCTCAGTTTGCGTAGTCCTGGGATTTCTCACAGATGAAATGGAAGTTATTAGCAAACAGTGCTGGTTCTTGATTATTTAGACTATGAGATGTAGGCTGCCATAACAGATTGGGCTGGAATAGAAGGATGGGAGAGTGAAGATAGTAAAATTCCATTTCTTACCTGGTTGCATTTAAGGTCTTCTAGAGTGGGCATAGATTGTAAGAGAATTCTAGTGCAGCATAGAAGAGATCAAAGCAATGAATTTGTGTAAGTTGGGATATTTTGGGGGTGCATTGTATCTAAAGGATATGCCTGAGAGGTAAGTGCAGGTGCAGATGGGCCATGGAATTTGGCAAGAGATGGAATGTTCTGTAGGAACTTTGTACAGAAGTTTTGGTAGGAAACAAAACTTTTTTTTTTAAATACGGGATTTCACCATGTTGGCCAGGCTGGTCTCTAACTCCTGGCCTCAAGTGATCAGCCCGCTTCGGCCTCCCAAAGTGCTAGGATTATAGGTATGAGCCACCTATAACAAACCAGAAACAAAACTTTTTTGTTTGGTAGGAAACAGCTGTGGGAGCTGGAAATATTGTTGAGTCATACAGAGAAGGGTATGGCAGTCTAGGAAGAGCAGAAGGGGATTGAGGTGAGCTGAAGCACCTCGGCAGATAGAGCAGAATTTGGTACAGAACACTGGAGACAAAAGGGCATGAAAAATGGACTGAAACTGGTTGGTTGTACTGCAAGAAAAACAACCATGGGATAGCCTCAAGGGAAGGATACAAAATCTAGGACAGGCGAAGAAATTATGGAAATAGTGGAAGTAAGATAAATACCCATTTTCAGGATAGGAAGCATTTTCAGTGGTGTGATATGTTTGAGAATTACAGAGCAGTATCTCTGAACTGGATTCCATGTCCTCCCCGCCCCCCAACCCCCTTGCCCTTGAATAAGGGTATGAGGTTGAATTTCACAGCTCTGCTCCCTTCTGCTTACCTCTGCCAGAGGATTCTCTTCTAAAATTATTCCCCTCCCAGAGCTGGGGGCTGCCCTCTGCTGCCCTCCTCCATCCTGTTTCCTCTAATAGGGAAAAGGAAAACAGGAAGAAGGAAAAACTGTAATATCAGACCAAAGCTGATTTTTTTTTAATTTTTAAAATTTTATTCTATAAAATAGAGATGAGGTCTCACTATGTTGTTCACACTGGTTTCAAACATCTGGGTTCAAGTGATCCTCCTACCTCGGCCTCCCAGAGTACTGGGATCACAGACATGAGCCACCACACCCAACCAAAGCTGTGATATTAAGAATGGTGCCAGACTGGCCGGGCGCAGTGGCTCATGCCTGTAATCCCAGCACTTTGGGAAGCTGAGGCAGGTGGATCACCTGGGCTCAAGAGTTTGGGACCAGCCTGGGCAAAATGGCAAAACCCCGTCTCTAAAAAATAAAGAATGAGGCCAGGCACAGTAACACATACGTATAGTACCAGCTACTCAAGAGGCTAAGGAGAGAGGATTGCTTGAGCCCAGGAGTTGAAAACCAGCCTAGGCAACATAGTGAGACCCCCATCTTTAAAAAAAAAAAAAAAAAAACACACACACAACACAAGAGGAAAGACGTCTAATCTGAGAAGGAGGAAGACATTAATAATAGCTACAACTGTTTGAGTCCTTGGTATGTTGTAGGCATTGAGAGGAGCTTTCCATTTCATCTTCCCCATGCTTCTGTGAAGGAGTCATTTTCCCTTTTGTTTTTGAAACAATTTTGCTGTTGTTGCCCAGGCTGGAGTACAATGGCGTGATCTCAGCTCACTGCAACGTCTGCCTCCCAGGTTCAAGCGATTCTCCTGTCTCAGCCTCCCGAGTAGCTGTGATTACAGGCACACGCCACCACACCCAGCTAATTTTTGTATTTTTAGTAGAGATGGGATTTCACCATGTTGCCCAGGCTGGTCTTGAACTCCTGAGCTCAGGTGATTCACCCACCTCAGCCTCCCAAAGTGCTGGGATTATAGGCGTGAGTGAGCCACCGCGCCTGGCCACAAATGTAGCTTTAACGGTATGGACTCTAGAATTCAGTAGATCTGATTTTGAATGCCGGCTCTGCCTTTGAAGATATTGGAGACCTTGATCAAGGTAGCTAACACAGCCCCAATTTCCCTTATTTGAAAATGAGGAAAATTGTGTCTACCTTCCAATGTCCCTATGAGGATTAAATGTGATGATGCATGTAAATCACATGGTGTTAATGCATAAAAAATGCTTGATAAATGTTAACTCACAGAATGAGCTTCAGTTTAATATGAGTGAACAGTTCTTACTATGAATCAAACACTATAGCACATTTTTGTTTTGTTTTGAGATGGGGTCTCACTCTGTCGTGAGGCTGGAGTGCAGTGGTGTGATCTCGGCTCACTGCAATCTCCGTCTCCCGGGTTCAAGTGATTCTCCTACCTCAGCCTCCCGAGTAGCTGGGATTACAGGCGCACGCCACCACGCCCAGCTAATTTTTGTATTTTAAGCACAGACGGGATTTCACCATGTTGGCCAGGATGGTCTCAATCTCTTGACCTCGTTATCCACCCACCTTGGCCTCCCAAAGTGCTGAGATTACAGGTGTGAGCCACCGCACCCAGCCTATAGCATGTTTTTTTGCATGTGTTATTTTATCTTCTTAACCCTCTAGTTACTTCCTTTCTGAGGAAACTGAGGTCAGGATGTGAAACCAAAGCTGTCAGTTTGAGCGTATGCTAACAGCCTTGCTTCTGTGACTTATTCTGGCATGAAGGATTTTTTTCTTCCTTTTTTTGGGCTGTAAGATTCCTCCCATTGGGCTGTGGGAATGAAACTGAGACCCAAACCTTATTCCATCTTAAGTCCTAATTAGGTAGGAGTTTGGGGGAAAATGTATCATGTTTGAAAAGCCAGAAGGGGGAGAAGGAGACCTGTCGAATACTACAGGGAAAGCCTGACGTGCAGGGGATGGGAAAGGACTAAGGATGCTTAAAGAATAAGGAGGCTGGCTGGGCGTGGTGGCTCACGCCTGTAATCCCAGCACTTTGGGAGTCCGAGGCGGGCGGATCATGAGGTCAGGAGATCTAGACCATCCTGACTAACACGGTGAAACCCCATCTCTACTAAAACATACAAAAAATTAGCTGGGCGTGGTGGCGGGCGCCTGTAGTCCCAGCTACTCCGGAGGCTGAGGCAGGAGAATGGCGTGAACCCGGGAGGCGGAGCTTGCAGTGAGCCGAGATCGCGCCACTGCACTCCAGCCTGGGCGACAGAGCGAGACTCCGTCTCAAAAAAAAAAAATAAAAAAGAATAAGGAGGCAAGCCACAATAAAGAGGAGAGGAGACATGACCGCCAGTGGCATACAATACAAAGTGTCTTCAGAGGAAGTTGTAGCTTAGCTGAAATTTCAGAAAGTAGGTGGCCACGGGTTCCATGGCTGCCTGGATATGCAGAGGGAAAGTGATGACTGAAAACACCTTTAAAGAACATAAGGGTTTTACTGCCCACTATGCTGGGGAGGCCAGACTGGAAGACGTGAGAGTCTGAAAACAAGGGTGTAACCCAGAAAGAAAATTCTTTCACCTATACCCAACACAAAACTTCTCCTCCATGTATCTTGCATGGCAACTTTTTACGATTTTCCTTCAAATAGCAATTCTATAAGCCTATGGGCTTTTAAACTTTTTGTATAATGGACCCTAGGATGATCTATTTAAAACCCCAAAAGAGGCCGGGTGCAGTGGCTTACACCTGTAATCCCAACACTTTGGGAGGCCAAAGCGGGCAGATTACCTGAGGTCAGGAGTTCAAGACCAGCCTGGCCAACATGGTGAGAAACCCATCTCTACAAAAATACAAAAATTAGCCGGGCATGACCGTAAGTGCCTGTAATCCCAGCTACTCGGGAGGCTGAGGTGACAGAATCGCTCAAACCCGGGAGACGGAGGTTGCAGTGAGCAGAGATCGCGCCATTGCACTCCAGCCTGGGTGACAGTGAGACACCATCTCAAAAAATAAATAAATAAAATAAATAAAACCCGAAAGAATATATATCATTTATGCATGCTTATGAATTTGCTTCCACATTCAGGAGCCTTACAGGAATCCCTAGAAGCCCATCTTTGTGCCTCCAAATAAGAACCTAAGCTACTAAGCCCAGCGGGATGATGGAGTGAGGAGTGGGCATGGTTTACATTTTCTTTTCTTGTTCTCTTGCAGGGATTTAAACCCATGGGATTTAAACTATTCCTAATTTCAAACACAGGATATTTACTCTCAAACCCTTGCCCACCAGCACTGGCAGTCTGTACATGTCTTTGACCCTCCTAATTTCAGAATCTGGTTTTAAGAATCGCAGTTGGTGCTTTCCTTCTAGACCACACGCTTCCACTCAGCTTGGCTGGATGTGAGCACTTCCCTACTCCACTGGTCTCTGCCTTCAAATCTCAGAGTCCATGACTAGGCTGCTCTGTTTTAGGGCCCTGTCTTTCTCAGAAATAGTAAGAAAGTCATAATTGTATCTCATATCTTGCTGCTTATATTTATCAAGTTTCTACAGCAACTGATCACTTTCAGGAAAGCTATACTCCTCAAATGGGAGAATCTTGTTTCTGAAGTCCTCCAAGGAATGCAGTGTTACCTTGGCACTCTATTTTTTTGTGTGTGCAACAATGTCTTTTATTATGTATGCGGTTTTAAAATTATTTCTTGAATCTCTCCATACACAGGCAAAAAATAAGTGTGCTACTTAACATACTGGAACTTGCCTAACTTAATCATTGCCCAGAGAAGGGAAAATTATCACCAAAATGTGCTTAACCAGGAGGCCAATGCATCTGCCAACCTCCAAGAACATGGAGATGAACTTGACAGACAGACTGTCCACCATCTGAACCTTTATTCACCACCATTTGATAACCCTTATTCAGGCCCAAATCAGCAGCACATTTCTTGCCAACAATCATTAAGTGTCCAAGAAGACTTTCGTCATTATCTTCTGCTGCAGAAATCTGGGATATATGTTTTTTCGATATCAACAGAAAACGTGTTGGTGCTTGAGGGGAAGTGTCATGGAAAGCAAGGCACTGGTCATCCTCAAAAATGATTTTGGCTGGGATTTCCTTGCAGATGATCTTCCCGAAGACAGTGTTGCCACCAGGCCGAGCGACCTGAGCCTTGGCGATCTCACCTGCCATCTCTGCCTGTCTCCCACACAGCAGGCAGGGTAGAGGCTCAGAAGGAGGGAGGAACCCACAGATTCTATTTTCTTTGTTAAGAAAGTAATCCTTTCTGCTCATACCAATCCCATAGATGTCTATCCTTATTTTCTGCCTGCAGAAAAGGTGGGTATCATCACAGAATGTTTAGTCTCTCAATTCATCACACATTTGTAATTTTTTGGAGAGATTATAGGCCTTGAGGTTTGTAGGATTGTTGTTAGAGCAGGTGTTTTGTTTTTTTTTTTTTTTAGCTACATTGGTGTATAATTGACAACTAGAAATTATACATATTTAATTACTACTTGAGACCGTGATTACAGCAGTTACTACTGTTACCACTTGAAACCATCATTATGACCGAACAAAGGGACGAATGTAGAAATGAAAACTTAAGACAAAAGAAACTGTTTTAAGGAAAGGCAACATGAAGAAGAAGAGAGCTCCCTGCTTCTAGTGAGCAAAGGCAGCTCCCCTGCCGAGCTTCTCAGCCCTTCATATTTACTGGGTAACAAGAACAAGAAGGAGGTAACGATTGGTCAGCTGCTGAATTGATCACAGGTTCATATTGTTACTGACAAGCTTCAATTGTACCTAATCATAAGAAACATTTGTGCGGCCTCCAACAATGTACAACTTGATGTGTTGATATATGTGTACATTGTGAATGATCATCACAATCAAGCCGGTTAACATATCCATCACCTCACATAGTTGCTTTGGGGGTGCAGGGAGGTGAGAACATTCAAGATCTACCCTCTTAGCAAATTTCAAGTATGTGGTATTACTACCTATAGTTACCATGCACATTAGATCTCCAGGACTTTCTCATCTTGTATAAGTGAACCTTGTATCCTTTGACCAAATTTCCCCATTCTCCCACCCCCTACTCCAGCCCAGCCCCTGGCAACTACCCTCTACTTTCTGCTTCTATGAGTTTGACTATTTTAGATTCCACATACAAGTGCAATCATGCAGTATTTTTCTTTCTGTGTCTGCAATGTTTGACTTAGCGTAATGTCCTCCAAGTTCATCCATGTTGTCACAAGTGGCAGGATTTTCTTCTTTGTCAGGGTTGAATAGTATTCCATTATATATATTTATATACACATGACATTATTCATCTGTTAGTGGACACTTAGGTTGTTTCCATTTCTAGGCTATTGTGAATAATGCTGTAATGAACATGGGAGTGCAGATACCTCTTTGAGATACTGATTTCCTTTCCCTTGGATGTATGGGAGTTGCTGAGTCATATGGCAGTTCTGTTTTTACCTTTTGAGGAACTTTTATACTGTTTTTCATAATGACTATACCAGTTTACATTCCCACCAACAGTGCACAAGGGTTCCCTTTTCTCTGCATTCTCACTAACATTTATCTCATCTTTTTATTTAATTTTTTTTTGAGACATAATCTCACTCTGTAGACCAGGATGGATTGCAGTGGTGCCTTCCCAGCTCACTGCAGCCTCCACCTCCCGGGCTTCAGTGATCCTCCTGTCTCAGCCTCCCAAGTAGCTGGGACTACAGGCGTGCACCACCACACATGGCTGATTTTTATAATTTTTATAGAGACAGGGTCTCCCCATGTTGCCAGGTTGGTCTCGAACTGCTGGGCTTAAGCATTCCACCCGCCTTGGTCACCCACATTGCTGGGATTATAAGCATGAACCATAATATCCATAGCCATAATAATGGCTATCTCTTGCTTTTTTGATAATAGCCATCCTAACAGGTATGAGGCGATATTGCATTATGATTTTGGTTTCCTGATGATTAATGATGTTGAGGCCCTAGAAAAAGTACTTTTAATGATATTGGCTTCCCTCCTGCTTTGGGTGGTTCCATTTAGCCTAGGTCAAAATCACATTGTAGACCAGATGTTTGGTGTCCCTACCCTGCAGTCCCTGAACTTGGACTGTCCTGGGACAGACCCCACTTGGTAATGCATCCTAAACTTTACTTTGGCTCAGTTCATATCTTTTCTCCTACAGTGAAGAGTTCATAGGGAAGACATGTCATAGGAAAATTGGTTTTATAACGTGATGCCAGGAAGAAAAGTTTGTCCTTGGCCAAAAAAGTATTTATTGACCTGAAAAGGGAAGAATAGCAGAGAGCACTTCCCCATCATCTTTCATGTTTGTCGGGCTTGTCATGAGAAGCCCTCACCCCTTTCCCACCTCTCCCTTCCCTGTGCCTCTTTCTACTTTCGATTCTCCCCTGTTATCTCCCTTGTTATCTATCTGATGGAGCCAGTGTGGGCACTCCACAGTCCAAATGGAAGCTCAGTCCCTCCGGGTTGGCAGTGTGGCTGACACCTAACAGTCTGGGAAGTGGGAGAAATTCTAGAACCCAAGGCTATTACCGACCCTCGACTTCCCACTTCCCATAAGTGTTCCACACCCAGTGAGTGATAAGGATGGGATCAGGGGATGCCCCCAAGCTGTTATTAGCAGCCTCTGGCAGACAGAAGGGCAAAGAGCTAGAGAAGAACGCTGGACATGGGATGGGCTGGCAGAGCTGGCCAGACAGAACCCTGGGTGGACACAGAGTTGGGAACAAGCTGGCCAGGAGATGTGGCAGAGAGGCACCAGTTACTTTCCCAGGTGAGTTAATGTGCCAGTGTTTCCAGAACTTCGAGTCGCTTCATCTTTATCCAGCACCCACCCCTCACCTTCCGCATCCTGAAGAAGAGAGATGGGCAACTGGAGGGCTTCCATGCAGATCCGGCTCTACACATAGGTTTGAGAGCATACTCAGCAGTTTCTCATCCTGGTCCAGGCGATATTTATAGAGGGACCAGTGACATGGAGCTGGAAGCCTACTACTGGTGACTAAGAAGGGGGACAATGCCACTGGCTCAGCAGAGGGAATTCCCTGTGGGGCTGTCCCTCAGGTTCTCATCCCAACCCCCACCCCCACACTGCACTCACACCTGCTTCGACCCCAAGCAGATCAGATGTGGCAGTGGGGGGTCATGTGACGGAGAGGGGTCTATAAATAGCTGGAGGTGGGCATGCTGCCCCAGACGCCTTGGGGACAGCAAGAGCAGAGGCTTAAGGAGCTACACTGGGGGAAGGACAGGGGCAAGCAGGCCAAGGCCTGGCCGGGGCTCGGGGGGAGGGAATATGGAGCAATCCCGGTCACAGCAGCGTGGGGGTGAACAAAGCTGGTGGGGTAGTGACCCCCAGTACCAGTATATGCCCTTTGAACACTGCACCAGCTACGGACTGCCCTCTGAGAATGGGGGCCTCCAGCACAGGCTCCGGAAGGATGCAGGCCCCCGCCACAACGTCCACCCCACACAGGTAAAGTGCTCTAAGGGGAGAGGGGAGCCATGGATGAGGGGAGACAGTGGTGCCAGAGACTGGTGAAAATGAGGAATTGGGTGAAAAGAGGGAGCAGTGTTACATTTTTTTAACTTAAAAAACAAGTACGTGGTGATGTGTTCAAAATATGAAAATCTTTGAAAGTCTGGGCTCACTTAAGTATGCACTTAGAGAGATATGCATGCACTTTCATACAACCTTTACCAACAGAGTACCCAAATCATATGGGGAAACAGCAGAGCCTCACATGCATGAATAGCTCGTGCTTACATAACCTACGTGGAGTGGATTGCGTAGGAGCCCACACTGCAGTGTGCTGGGAGCTGTCTCCCACACCCTCACCCACAGGTAGACACTGCCAGATTTCTGCCTCTGGGACCCTCTGCAGAATACACACAAACATGAATCTTTCTGCAGAAGGCAGAAGAAAGGAATTGGGCAAGTGTAGAAAACAGACTGAATTGCTTATCAGTGATCAAAGATCTACCAACGTCAAAATGAGCAGAGATGTACAAGCTTTTAGGTCGCAAGATGATCAAGTAAGAACCTATTAAGTGTTAGGCACCTGGAAAAGGGCAGAGATGTGATCCCAGCAACAGAAGCATGCAGGCTAATTAGGAGTGTCTATGGATGAGCAGCCTCCCGCTGTGGGATTGGTGGGATATGAACACCTAGGAAAGGGGGAATGGGGATGGGCACAACTAAAGGAAAGGTTGTGAAATTGTCATGGAAAAAGATAGGTCATGGTTAATAAGTAAGTGTGCCTCTCCCTCCAAAGAATGCAGAGAATAACAGAGGATAGAATTTGTCTAGAGGGCAGTTGGCCAGAACTTTTTTTTTTTTTTTTTTTTTTGAGATGGAGTCTCGCTCTGTCTCCCAGGCTGGAGTGCAGTGGTGCTATCTTGGCTCACTGCGACCTCCGCCTCCCGGGTTCAAGCAATTCTCTTTCCTCAGCCTCCTGAGTAGCTGGGATTACAAGCACCTGCCACCATACCTGGCAAATTTTTGTACTTTCAGTAGAGACGGGGTTTTGCCATGTTGGCCAGGCTGTCTCGAACTCCTGACCTCAGGTAATTCACCCGCCTTGGCCTCCCAAAGTGCTGGAATTACAGGTGTTAACCACTGTGCCCAGTCTGGTCAGAACTTAAAAGGCTTTTTTTTCTTTCTTTTTTTTTTTTTTAACAGGGAGCCTTCAGTTCCTTTAGGTTTAAGGCTGGGAAGCTGAGGCATGAGCTATGCAGGGGATCTCAGCACTGGGGGTCAAAAGGATCTGCTCTCAGTCCCTGACCAACCCCCAGGAGTATTTGCAAAGGCAGCGCTAGGGACCCAGTAGGGAAGAGGGACATACAGGTCAGTGTAGGCTGGAATCGAGCATTGGGAAGGTTTCTTGGAGACAGCGGGGTCTGACTAGGCCTTTGAACACTGTGTGGGATCAGCAGGAGGGAAGACCCCTCCCCCTGGCCCTGTGTTCTCACTCGTGTACATGGTTGTATCTGGGTGGGATGGCAACTTGAGTAACAGTGCCATTATGGCACTTCCTGATGACAGTTCTCGTGTTGGGAAGCTATGGTTAGTTTGGGGAGTAGAATTGGCCTGTTTTCTACAGGTCTCAAAAGTAAACAAGAGTTTGGATTAGTTTTTCTTTGTTTAATTTTTATTATGGAAGACTTACACAAAAATGGAATGGTATAGTGAAGCCCCAAGTACCCACCAGTTGTCAATATTTTGTCACTATTGTTCCATCTATTCTTCCCTTCCCCACCCTCACCACTCTACACACCATGGAATACTTTTTTTTTGTTTTTTGTTTTTTGTTTTTTGTTTTTGAGATGGAGTTTCGCTCTTGTTGCCCAGGCTGGAATGCAATGGCGCGATCTCAGCTCACCGCAATCTCCGCCTCCCTGGTTCAAGCAATTCTCCTGCCTCCGCCTCCCAGGTAGCTGAGATTACAGGCATGCGCCACCATGCCTGGCTAATTTTTGTATTTTTAGTAGAGACGAGGTTTCTCCATGTTGGTCAGGCTGGTCTTGATCTCCTGACCTCAGGTAACCTGCCCATCTCAGGCTCCTAAAGTGCTGGGGTTACAGGGGTGAGCCACTGAGCCTTGCTTCCACCTTGGAATACTTTTTAACAAATCCCAGACATTGTATCACTTGTAGACTTGAGTTTTGACTTCTCCCTTGCCCTCCCCTCACCCTGCCCTGCATGGGACCAGCCAGAACAGATCTGGCCCTTTAAGTGTTTTCCCAGCCCAGGTATGATGATATGAAGCAACCCCCTTCCTTGTCTCCACTGGCCTGGGGCCTTGAGGAGCTGAGACAGCCTCAGCTGTCTGACTTCCACTGGGAAGTATGTTCTCTCTCTGGGTCCCACGCAGGGTTTGGAAGGAAACACTGCCTCCCTCGGTCACTGACCCAGAAGACAAACAGCCATGAGCAGGGCAATTCATGTGCGTGCTTGTTCAGGACTGCGGTGTAAAATGCTGCTCATATTGTGAAATCAGATCTCTTCTACTCAGGCTCTCCCAGAATCCAGCAACATGGCCTGGCCTGACCCTGGCCCCAGAGGACAGTTAGTGTAGTGGGAGTGGGGCAGGCTAAAAGTGGTTGGAGCTCTTGTATACCCCACACAGACACACGTGCTCTGCCTCAGGATGGAAGCGGAGGGCCACCAGACCTGGGGGAGCTGCTCTGTCCTCTTCACATGTGGGGCAGGTAGGGGTCTAATTATCTAGCTGTGGGAAGAAGTAGATGGACCTGCCTTTTCGGGCTAGTTCTTGTGTGTGCATACAAGCACTGGGAGATGAAGTGGATGGTCTTGAAGCTTGATAGAGGACCTGAGGTGCCTCAGGTAAGGCTAGACACACCAAGGCAAAGTGCAACCAAGACTGCCCTGCTAGTTAGCCCAGTCTGTCCTCACCCTGTTCATGTTAGGAGAAAAGTCAATGCAAGTGGTCTGGGGAAATTGTGGGACATACAGAAAGCGCAGTGACACAAAACACCTGATTGATATGGCCACCTGGGTTCAGCACAGTTCTGTACCTCTGCTTCAAAGCAAAAACTGGCCTCCTTGATAAAGGCTACCCTGGATCAAGGTGAGTACAGGTTGGAGAATGGGTGTAGAGAAGGTAGGATGAATGAACAAGGGAAAGGGTGGGAAGTGTGGGAATGGAGGGTGGAGAGTAGAGGGCAGGGATGACCACAAAGTCACCCTGCATGCAGTCAACACCCAGAATTCAAAAAGCTGTTGTTCTTTTCTTCTGTGAGTCTGTCTGCTGGCCTCTGTCTATTATTTTTTTAGTCTTCCACAAGGCAGACACTGATCATTCTCTCTCTGTCCAGATTTATGGCCATCACAAAGAACAATTCTCAGACAGGGAGCAGGACATAGGGATGCCCAAGAAGACAGGCTCCAGTTCTACCGTGGACAGCAAGGATGAGGATCACTATTCTAAATGTCAAGGTGATGGGGACTGAGGAATAAAGAAATCTGGAGTAGAAACAGGTACAGGGATTAGGAGAATAACTTGGGCATCCCATTGCACGTACGTACTCCCTGCCCTGCTACAAAAACTCTCCTCTAATTGTTTTTAAGAGACAGGGTCTCACTCTGTCATTCAGACTGAAGTGCAGTGGAGTGATCATAGCTCACTGCAGCCTAGAACTCCTGGGCTCAAGTGATCCTCCTGCCTCAGCCTCTCCAGTAGCTGAGACTATAGGCACATGCCACCATGCCCAGCTAATTTTAAAACTTTTTTTGTAAGGATGCTGAGGCTGGTCTTGAACTCCTGGCATCAAGCAATCCTCCCGCCTTAGCCTCCCAAATTCCTGGGATTAGAGGCGTGAGCCACCATGCTTGGCCCCTCTAAGTATTAAGGAAAAGGCACCTCTCTTCACCTCCTTCGCACTTTGCCTATTCCCTGTTATTCCTCCCACAACTCCAAGAAATGAGTTTTAGGAAGGAATTCAAGTATTCATGGGGAACTGGGCTTTGGTGCCTTTTGCAGGGGCCGGAGCAGCAATCAGCAGAGGGGTAATGAGAAACTCAGTGCATAAGACATACGGACCCTGGGGGCCCAAGGCTTCCCCTCCCATCTTGGGTATAGCACCCAAAGTAAAGTAGTGACTCGTTAGCTGCTTTTCTCTCTCTCTCTCTCTCTCTCTCTCTCTCTCTGTCTCTACATATATATATTTTTGTTTGTTTGTTTGTTTGTTGTTTGTTTGTTTGTTTTTTCCCTCATCTCTTCCTAGATTGTATCCACCGCCTGGGACAGGTGGTGAGAAGAAAATTAGGGGAAGACGGGATCTTTCTGGTGCTTCTGGGACTGCTGATGGCTCTGGTCAGCTGGAGCATGGACTACGTCAGTGCCAAAAGCCTTCAGGGTAGGTTTAACCTGGACCTTTGCCCACAGCCGTTTCTGGAGTTTCTACCTAGGGTAAGCAGGGTGTGTTATCGGAAGCGAATGTTAAGCAGGGTGTGTTATGGGAAGCGAATATTGCGCAGAGAGGGATCAGGTGGGACTCCAGGCCCAGAAAAGACCAGACCCAGGCCTGCTCCACTTCTCACGCCCCTCCACTCACTGCCACCCAAGCAGTGGATGCCCCTCTAATAGGGTGGCCAACTTGCCCCAGTTCCCCAGGGACTTTCCCAGTTTCAGCACTGAACATCCCGAATCCCAGGAAGCCCCTTGGTTCTGGGCACACCGGGTGGTTGGTCACACCCAGGCCTCCAGACCCTGTACTCCAGTGGGATTCGTGACACAGCCACCAACTGGAACAGGCCATGTCGCCTCCATAACTCAGGCTTCCCATGTGTCAAATGAGAGCAGCACCATCTCAGAAGGGGCACACAGAAGGAGCACGGCCTGAGAACATGCCGGGTACACGTCCTGGTGCCGTGGACACGGCTGCTCAGCCATGTTCTGCCTAACCCCAGGCATGTGTCTCCGCAGCCTACAAGTGGTCCTACGCGCAGATGCAGCCCAGCCTTCCTCTGCAGTTCCTGGTCTGGGTCACCTTCCCACTAGTCCTCATCCTCTTCAGCGCCCTCTTCTGCCACCTCATCTCTCCCCAGGCTGTTGGTGAGAACTTGCCACCAGACTCGGCCTGAGCTGGGTGGCCTGAGAGGGGCCCTGTCTGTCTCCCCCATCATCCAGCCCCACCCACAGCCCTGTGCTGCCTTGCCCCATCCTCCCCACCACTGCCTCTTCAGCCCTCTCCAATTCCCATTCCCATATTCTGGACATTCATCTCCCTTTTCACCTTCACCTTGACCCTGCACATAATCTTTCAACGCTTTTAGGCTCTGGAATCCCCGAAATGAAGACAATACTTCGTGGGGTTGTCCTGAAGGAATACCTCACAATGAAAGCCTTTGTGGCCAAGGTTGTCGCCCTGACTGCGGGCCTGGGCAGTGGCATCCCCGTGGGGAAAGAGGTAGGCCTGGCATGACTGAAGCCAGAGCTGGGAGGGGCCCTCAGGAGCCAGGGTGGCACCAACTCTAGAGGGAGCTCTGGGAGTGGAAGTGGATCAGGGGACAGGACCAAGGCCAGGGCCAGGGGACACTAGGAAGGGGAAATGCTTTGGAAGTTCCTCCAACTGAGGTCCAATGACAAAAACCACACAGCTTGGGGAGCTTGGAGCAGGCTCTTAGCCTGGACACCCCTGACATTTGGGGCTGGAAAACTCTGTGCTGTGGGGAGGCTGTTCTGTGCAGTGGAGGGGACTTAGCAGCATTGCTGGCCTCTGACCCTTCCTAGATGCCCAGCTGCATCGCCCAGTTGTGACACCAGCATGTCCTCAGACATTGCCATATGGACCCTGGAGGACAAAATCTCCCCTGGTTGAGAACACTGTCTTAGAGATCATCCAGACCAATTCTCTTGCTTGAATCTGAGAAAACTAGGACTGAGAAAGAGGCTGTGCTATTTTCAAGGTTGCTCGGTGGGTTGCAGCCTCCTTCCGTTCTCTGCTGGTGTTCATCTTTGCCCCCTACTGCCATATTCCACCCAGCAGCCAGAGGCATCTTTTAAAAATGGGATCAGTCTCATCTGACCCCTGGTCAAAAACTTCTTAAGGCTTTCCATGCCTCTTAAAACAAAATTGAAAGTTTTGTTGTTGTTGTTGTTGAGACAGTGTCTAGCTCGCTTGCCCAAGCTGGAGTGCAGTGGTGCGATCTTGGCTCACTGCAACCTCCACCTCCCAGGTTCAAGCGATTCTCCCACCTCAGCTTCCCGAGTAGCTGGGACTGCAGGCACACGCCACCACATCTGGTAATTTTTGTATTTTTAGTGGAGATAGGGTTTCACCATATTGGTCAGGCTGGTCTCAAACTCCTGACCTCGGGTGATCACCTGCCTTGGCCTTGCAAAGTGCTGGGATTACAGGCGTGCGCCACCGCGCCCGGCCTTATCAGAACTTCTTGCGTGGCCTTCGAGACCGTGGACTCTGGTTCCTCCTCTCTGCAGGCCTGTGCCCCTGCTTTCCTGTGTTTGGCTCACAAGTTTCCTTTCTGTCCCTCAGTCACTCTGCCCTGGGCCCCTCAGGGCGCCTGTGTGCTGTTTTCTCAGCCTGGAACATTCTTCCTCCTGACATCTGCGCGGCTCCCTCCCTCCCATCATTCAAAGCTCTACTTTAGGCAGGCTCCTCAGGCCCTTTCCTCTAAACACGTGCCCTCCCACCCTCCTCCACCCTGGCTCTCTGGAGAGGAGAAACACACTGGTTTCTCCTCTTCTTCCTCTCTGGGATGAGGCCTCGTGAGGGCAGGACCTCTGTGTAACTCCCGTATTTCCAGCCCCTGGCACAGTGCCTGGAGTAAGGAATATTATTAGTCCAGTGAGTGCTGCAGAGCCTCCATCTGGCCTCTGACCCCCGCCCCCTCGCTCCCCCTCTCCCAGGGCCCCTTCGTCCACATTGCCAGCATCTGTGCTGCTGTCCTCAGCAAATTCATGTCTGTGTTCTGCGGGGTATATGAGGTAAGGTTGAGACAGTGAAATGAGCTGGGGCCAGGTGGTAGAAGGAGTCCGGCTGTGTGTCCAGGGTGTTGGGAGGGCTGCCTCTGCTCTGGGCTGGCTGTGGTGCTGAAGCAGCATCGCACTAATCCACGCTCCCTTCCTCGTCTCCCTGTCTGCCTACCCTGGCCACGTGATGCCTCTGTTTAGCCTGTGCCTGTCCTCCAAATGTCCACCCCTCTTTCACCTGTGGCCCCACATGGAGGTCTGGTCTGTCGTCTGCTCCCATGCTCTCCCTGCTAGTCCATACCACCCCCTCTGTGTTAGTTTCCCTCCACGTTTCCCTCGTGTGCTCCCCCATCCCTTTGTAGCTCCCAATCCCTCACCCTACCTCTTACATACGTCCCGCCTGCCCCACCCCTCCACCCCCTTGTCCCGCGTGCTTCTCTGTTGCAGACCGTGCCTGGGCAGCTTGACCTCCTGGTGTCGGCCTGTGCAGTGGGCGTGGGATGCTGCTTTGCAGCCCCTGTCGGAGGCAAGTTGCACTTCCTCCCTATCCCGGTTGCCTAAGCAAGACTTAGAAGGGGGTTTTGGGTGGCTGCCACAAGCTTTGGAGTGGGCATCCAGGGAATGACTGTGGATCACAGCCCCTGCGGTCCAGATACCTATATTTTTTCAGCAAAGGGCTGTGTATTATTTTGAGACTGCTTGCTGTTTGGTGCAGGATTTATTAGTACTGCTTTCTGGAGTTCTTGCTGTCTCTTTTCTGCTTATCATTTATTGATTTACGTGCCTGGCATATATTTGCCTAACTTTTATTTCATTTTCTACCTTCTATTTCATTTTGACACTGTGCTATGAGGTTAATTCCTTTTTGCCAAACTCACTGAGTTTCTCTTGGCCTGGGAATCACAGGGGACATGGGACCACAAGGACTCCTTTTGACTTAGGCCTCTCATTCTGCCTTATTCCCCATCCCTGCTTGTTCTGTCCTCTGCCTGCCCACCTCCCTCTCTTCCACCTGTTTCTCTGTCTGTCTCTCCCCTAGTAGCAGCCATACTACTACTCTGATATCCTGACGGTGGGCTGTGCTGTGGGAGTCGGCTGTTGTTTTGGGACACCACTTGGAGGCAAGTGATTGACCCCCTCCCCCATCAATCGGCTTGCCTGGCCTGGCTCCCAAAACAGTTTTAATCAGTATCCACAAGTGCTGGTATTACCAGGTTACTTACGAGAATAGCTGACTTTTAGTAAGCCTTTGCTATGTGCCAGGCAATGTTTAAAGCACTTACTTTTATTCCTGGCCAAAGCCATATGAGACAGATATTACAGAGGAGGAAGAGGAGAGAACTGAGTTACAGAGAGGGACAGTGACTTGAGCAAGTTCATTCTGTTAGTAAGGTACAAGCCAGGAATTAAAACCAAGGCAGTCTCCGTGGCTCCCCTACTTATTTTCAAACCTGTTTGTATTGTTGGATGTTTTTGCCCTACACCGATGACATCTCTAACAGGGGACTCTATGAACTTCCTCCTTCAAGGGAAAAATCCACATTTTGTTGTGCTTTATTAATTGCATGGGAATTCAGGTAGACCTTATTTAGATTAATGGTAAGCTTTTAGTGTGGAATAGTTAGGAGAGTTTCAAAGGATAAATGTCCCTTGATAGCAATTTAAAGTTAAGTTTAGCTCTTTCTCCAAGTATAAGGCAAATAGCGATCTCTCAGATTATTTTCCTTATCATGGATGATTAACAAATGGATGTAGTCGGAGAAAGCAGTCGTATCTGTTTATTGACTCATCAAAATCAATTATAGCTAGATTAGCAGGGCAGGATTATATAGATCATTCACTGGATTCATTGATGATAAAAAGGACACCAAGTTGATATGTGAAGAAACAAAATTGCAGGAAGGGCATATGCTTCTTAAATGACCCACTGTTAGAGGTTTCTTTTCAGTTATGGAAATGTTAAGCAATCTTTTCATAGAATCTTCCAGGGAACTAAAATGACTTGGTGCAGGAATGATAAGTGGAGAAGAGTTTAAAGTTAATGCAAATGCATGATCTAACTTATGCAAACACTGTGGCAAAGCACACAGACTAAGGAACCCAAGTTAGCAAGCACATCAGCTAGCATCCTGTTTACATTTCTGTCCTCAGCTCTACTCATTAAAATCACTAATCCTTGTCAGTGGAGGATAGTGTATTTGGATTTTTGCACATGTTAAACGTTCACACTTACATTTATACCCACTTTTGCCTTTATTTACTCGTTAGCCTTTCAAATCCAGGAGGTTTAAATAATATTTTTAGACTGGGAGACTTCTGTTGTTTTGTTTTAATCAGCCAGATTCTCTTAACATGAAGAGAATTTGCATTTTCCTCGTAAAATTGGAATTTCTGAGAAGAATCAGAAAAGTTCTTCTTGGTCCTGTGTCAAGTATGGGAGAGGTAAAGATCACAGAGAAGTTACAGGCAACAGTTCTGAAACCACTGTGGTAGAAAAAGGAAGAAAAAATTCACAGATAAAACATTGCTGTTGACACAAGAAATTGTTAAGTACTTAAAAATTAAGGTGCCATGTTTACGCTGTTTGTATTATGTGGTAAATGACAAAGGTATTTGCAGGTGGCATTACTTGTTTTTTTTGTTTGTTTGTTTGTTTGTTTGTTTAGATGGAGTCTTGCTCTGTCACCCAGGCTGGAGTGCAGTGGCACCATCTTGGCTCACTGCAACCTCTGTCTCCTGGGTTCAAGCAATTCTCATGCCTCAGTCTCCCAAGTAGCTGGGATTACAGGCCTGCGCCATCACGCCTGGCTAATTTTTTGTATTTTTAGTAGAGACAGGGTTTAACCATGTTGGCCAGGCTGCTCTCAACCTCCTGACCTCAAGTGATCCGCCCACCTTGGCCTATTACTTGATTTTTAAAAAAGAATACCGAATAATTCTGAAAGGAAAATTAGTATCAAAATGAGGTATTCATTATGGAGTCAGCTCTTAATTTCTTACACTAATGAAATAAATGGAATTCAGCATTCTACTGAAATGACAAGCATCTTGCTCCCATTCTGTACCAGGCCCTGTGTTGGATCTTGCACACTCAGGGTGCTCCTAGTTGAGAGGCTGGACAGGCAGGCAAACCTATTGTCATAGCTCACTCGAAAAAGTGGCCCAATGGCAGCTGGGGTAAAGTGCAGTGGGGACCTTATGCTAACCTGCCTACAAGAGCCCATGAAGCTTCACAAAAGAGGTGGTGTTTGACATGAGGCTTGAATAATAAGTAGGACTGGCAAGGAGGATGGTGGGCAAGGTATTCTGGACAGAGGAAACAGCATTGCAAAGTCAAGATGGGGGCAGTAGCTGAGTATTACCAGGGGATACAGAGGAAGGAATAATAGCAAATGAGGCTGGACAAGTAAAGGGGGGCTGAATTATGAAGACTCTCATGGCTATGTATAAGAATATGGAATTTATTCTCTAGACTAGGATTTGCACGAATGTGTTTCATGGTTTACTAGATCTAATGTGTAAAAATGGTTCTATAAACCAGTTGGAAAATGCTTGGTTAAAGAGAGTTTTTTTTAAACTAAAAAAGTTATCAGTGGCCAGGCACAGTGGCTCATGCCCATAATCCCAGCACTTTGGGAGGCCAAGGCAGGCGGATCATGAGGTCAGGAGTTCAAGAACAGCCTGGCCAATATGGTGAAACCCCATCTCTATTAAGAATACAAAAATTAGCTGGGTGTGGTGGCAGGCACTTGTAGTCCCAGCTACTTGGGAGGCTAAGGTGGAAGAATCACTTGAACCTGGGAGGTGGAGGTTGTAGCAAGCTGAGATCGCGCGTCACTGCACTCCAGTCCGGGCAACAGAGTGAGACTCCATCTTAAAAAAAAAAAAAAAGAAAAGTTACCAGAACATTTGATATGCTGACACACATTGGGAATATCCAAAATGTGTCTCTAATGCAGCATTTCCCACAGAACCCTGTCTCGTGGGCATGGGATTTGTAGTATCTCACAGACCTGACTTCGGGAAATACTGTCGGGGTGAATTAAAGTCATGAAATACTTGTGCACAAGGAAGTGATATGGCCAGCTTTGAGTGTCCACCCAATCCCTTTGTCAGATGTGTGCAGGACAAAATTGGTCTGGGGATTAACAGGATTAATCCAAGATTAACAAGAAGACGATTGTCATAGTCCTGATGCTAGGTAGTAAGAGACTGCACTGGACAGAGGCAGAAGAGAAAGAGAAGAATGGTAGAAAGTAAAATTGATATAACCTGGTGATTAATTTTATTTTTTTCTTTTTGAGAGAGGGCCTTGCTCTGTGGCCCAGGCTGGAGTGCAGTGGCGCAATTTTGGCTCACTGCAACCTCTGTCTCCTGGGTTCAAGCAATTCTCCCACCTCAGCCTCCCAGCAGCTGGGACTACATGCGCACGCCACTATGCCTGGCTAATTTTTGTATTTTTTAGTAGAAGTGAGGTTTTTCCATGTTGGCCAGGCTGGTCTCAAACTCCCGGCCTCAAGTGATCTACCCACCTCGGCCTCCCAAAGTGCTGGGGTTACAGGCATGGGCCACCTGCCTAGCATCCCGGTGATTAATTTTGTGTGGGGTAAAAGAGAGGAGGGATCTAGGCTAACACCCAGATTTCCTACAAGGGCAATTGGGTCGATAGTGGTGTTAGTAACCAAGACTGGGTATATGGGAAGTGAAACAGATCTGGTGGGGGGAGCTAGCTGATACATTTCACTTTGAGTGTATTGAATTTGATGTTCCTGTGACATATCTAGGTGAGACCATTTTTGCAGCGGGGTTGACGAGTCTGAAGCTCAGGAACATGGCTTTGCTAATCAGCAGCATATAGGTGTAGTTGTGGCATGAGCATACATGAAATTGAGAGAGAAAGTGTGTCTATGAGTAGGAGGAGCAGGAGACCAAGGACAAAGGCTGGGGTTGGGCAGAGGGACAGGAGCAGCAGAGAAGGTAGAGAGGGAATCCAGGGTGGGAGAAGAGAGCAATGTTCCAGAACCTGAGCAGAGAGCTTCCGAAAGCTGTTTTTGTTTTTAATGCTTTGTTTCCTCTTAGCTGCACATTTTATGTCTGGCTCAGGCTAATATTAAAATTAGCTCTCATTCCGGAGCATACAGTGACAGACTGCTAGGGAAAGTGTCCCAGAACCACGTCGTAGGAAAGAAAACCTAGCCCAGGATTTCAAAAAATTGTTGTAAAATATTCATCAGTTGGATAGTTTACACCCAGGCAAATCAAAGCTGACTGCTTTTGTTACTGGTATAGAAAAGGAGAGAGACTCACTCTACCTGGTTCCTGCTGTGTCAAATCCTCCTTTTAGGCCCCAGAGGCAGCTGCTTACCTGATGTGATGTGAAGAGCAGGGCAGAAGGGGTGATTGGCCAAGCAAGCTCTGTCTGCCCCACATTGCCCATTGCCTTTCTCTGTTTCCTGAAATTCTGTTCTCTTCTGTTCTCTTCTTTCCTCATCCTGTCCTTTCCTCTCCTCCCCTGCTCATCCAGAGAATAGACATTCAGCCCTGATTATTCACCAGGCACTGTACTAGGTGCTGGTTTTCAAGGAATTTTCTTTCTTTCTTTTTTTTTTTTTTCAAGATGGAGTCTTGCTCTGTCACCCAGGCTGGAGTATAGAGGTGCGATCTCGGCTCACTGCAACCTGCGTCTCCCGGGTTCAAGCAATTCTCCTGCCTTAGCCTCCCAAGTAGCTGGGATTACAGGCGCCTGCCACAGCGCCTGACTAATTTTTGTATTTTTAGTAGAGTTAGGGTTTCACCATGTTGGCCAGGCTGGCCTCGAACTCCTGACTTCATGATCCCCCTGCCTCGGCCTCCCAAAGTGCTGGGATTACAAGCGTGAGCCACCACGCCTGGCCTCCCAGGAATTTTCAATCCTAGGGGATCTCTGAAATGTAAAGAAATATCTGGATCTGAAAGTGGTAGTGCTATAATAACCCAAAATTCTGAGAGCGCAGGCTGAAGGACGGATGGTTTCGACCTGAAGAGGAGGATTGGGGATGGCTTCCCAGGGAAGGGGACTTGGGACTGACCACTGGAAATCCTCTGCCAAACTGTAGCAGCTGCTGCATTTGGGAGTAACCATTAGGCCACCCTCCCCCTGGTGCAAATGACCTGATGTAACTAGTCGACTGTCACCTGTAGAAGAGAAGGTGGTGGTCCTGGGGGATTCAAGAGATGTGGCCTTTGAATATAGCACAGGGAGAAGAAAATTACTAGGATGCGAGGTGCTGCCTGAAGAGGGCGTTCACCCTGTTCACATGGAGAGAAAGGGGACAAACCTGCCTAGTTCAAGGTTTCCTGAGGCCAGGCCTCATCTCCATTCATCCAATTATGTGCGTGGTTGCATTTCCCTGGTTCCTTTTCCTCGTTTTTGATAAAGATGAGGCTTAGCCAGGTTTTAGGTAATTTTGTCATCAATTTTTACTTTGCATCAGATTAAAGTCCACCCCCCCTTATTCTTAATATGTTGAAATATTTTTTTCTTTGCCTCTCTTGAGTGTTGCTTTTTACGCCCTCACTCGCATTCCTTACTTTGTCCCTACCAACCCTTGCTCTTTTTCTGTAGATCTACCCCCTCAATTTCTGCTCCAGCACCTACGCTCAGAAACAGTACTACTTAGAACTACTACTTAGCTTTCCTTTTGCCTCACCCACCTTTCTTAAGCATGATTGTTTTTCTCTTCTTCTAGCCTCTTGGTTTTTCCCCTTGCGTTGGTCCTTTTAAGTCGGGTTTTTAGTATTAGTTTATTATTATTATTATTTGTATGACTCCTCTACCTTCTTTTCTTGAACTATCGAGGATGGTCAGCTCCTGCAAAGCCCCCTCCTATTTTTGTTCTGTCTTCCTTATAAGGTTGCCCCAGGGTACATGGTATATGTAGAACGGTAGGAAAGTCCAGAGGAGGGTGTTAAGGAGAGTCCCTGTAAATCCTGAGCTCTGCTTGGCAACTCTACTGAGGAACTGCTCTGGAACTTTCTCTCTCTTAACTTCTCTGCAGATTTTTTTCAACTACCTTTTAGTCCCTGTGGGTATCTGACAGTTGTGAACCCCATTCAACCCTACATTCTAAGGGATGCAGAGGGCACGGACACTTGGTCCTCATGTTTTGGAGGTTGAAGGCCCATTCGTTTTCAATCTTCTCTGTGTTGGACCCATCCCTTGTCTGAAATAAAAATAAAAAACTCCTAGCCTGAGCAGTTGTGTGGTTTTGAGCATGGGAATCCAAGAGATCATTACTTTCCACTACTGCTTCCACCCAGATTCATGTTTCAGCAAAAGCTCCTTAGGTCCAAGCAGTGGGGAGTGTGGGGGAGCACTTTCACTGCTGGCTGCCCCCAACCACACTTCTGTGCCCCTGCAGGAGTGCTATTTAGCATCGAGGTCACCTCCACCTACTTTGCTGTTCGGAACTACTGGAGAGGATTCTTTGCAGCCACGTTCAGCGCCTTTGTGTTTCGAGTGCTGGCAGTGTGGAACAAGGATGCTGGTAACCAAGGAGGCCTTGGGTGGAGGCCATGTGAAATAGAAAAGCTGGGAATGGGGTGCAGAGGAAAACTCTGTGGGGCAGTTCAGAAAAGGAATAATGGGCGGCATCATTTGTGGGGTGGGACCAAGGCCCAAGGGTGTATGACAAAGATATAGGTCATGGAGTGGGAGAGTATATCCATGGAGGAGTGTGCGTAGAAAAAAGGAAAATACATTCAAGAGGAGAAACTGGGATTGGAGGAAGGAAGGAATTAATCCTGAAAACTGCCCACCTCTGTTTCCCTGTTGGGTTTCTACGAAGCTCCCATCGTAATACTGGCCTTTCCATCCTACAGTCACCATCACTGCTCTGTTCAGAACCAATTTCCGAATGGATTTCCCCTTTGACCTGAAGGAACTACCAGCTTTTGCTGCCATCGGGTCAGTGGGGTTACCTGCTCTGTGTGTGGTGAGCAGGGTGTGGAGTGAGGCTGTAGATTGGAAGGGACCCAAGCTAGAAAGAAGGTGCGGTTGGCACAGATAGAGTACATTGCTGGGGGGATGTGGGCAGATAGGAAAGGCAGAAGCCTGGTATTTGTTTCCCTGCAGTAGTTATGTCCAAGAGATGAGGATTTCATGTCTGTAAGATTCCAACTCTATAAATTACACCCTCAGGATTTGCTGTGGGCTCCTGGGAGCTGTATTTGTGTATCTGCATCGCCAAGTCATGCTCGGTGTCCGAAAGCACAAGGCCCTCAGCCAGTTTCTTGCTAAGCAGTGAGTCACTGCCCTTCTTTTGCCCTACCCATTTACTTTCTGGTTTCTCCAAGAGTTCCTCCCTTTTTGTCTTTGGGGAAGGCATTAAATGCCTCTGGGTGGCTTGCATTAAAATATAAGGAAGCTCTGATATTGTGGTTAGGGGGTGAATTGTGTGGTCTCCCATTTAAAGATTATTTTTGTTTTTGTTTTTTGAGACAGAGTCTCACTCCATCACCCAGGCTGGAGTGCAGTGGTGCGATCTCAGCTCACTGTAACCTCTGCCTCCTGGGTTCAAGCGATTCTCATGCCTCAGCCTCCTGAGTAGTTGGGATTACAGACATGCACCAACACGACCAGCTAATTTTTGTATTTTTAGTAGAGATGGAGTTTCACCATGTTGCCCAGGCTGGTCTCGAACTTGTGACCTCAGGGGATCTACCCTCCTTGGCCTCCCAAAGTGCTGGGATTACAGGCATGCACCACCGTGCCTGGCTAATTTTTGTATTTTTAGTAGAGATGGGGTTTCACCATGTTGGCCAGGCTGGTCTTGAACTTGTGACCTAAGGTGATCTGCCCACCTTGGCCTCCCAAAGTGCCCCATGGGATTAGAGGCATGAGCCACCGCACTCGGCCTCAAATATTGGTTTTTTGTGTGAAGAGAATCTTTTTCATTTAAAGAAATGAGACTACGGTGGACTAAAGGAAACTTCAGCTTGCCATCGTTCAGTATGGTATTTACTGTGAGTTGGCTGAATTGTGGCGGTTAACTCTGTTTCTTTTTCAGCCGCCTGCTGTATCCTGGAATTGTTACCTTTGTCATTGCCTCATTCACCTTCCCACCAGGAATGGGTCAATTCATGGCTGGAGAGGTCAGCTGTTGGTGGGGCCACATGGTAAAGAGGAAACAGCACAGATATACCTCAGGCTTCAGAGCATAAGTAGTTTTGTCCAAGGATAGACTTTCTAGATTCTCCCTGAGAAAAGGGCAAAAGAGACCCTTGAATAATGAGGCTGGGGAATAAGTTCTCTAAAAAAGGAAGCACAGGAGTTCCCTGGAGAACCCACCCTTTCTGCTTCTTCCTCTCCCAGTTGATGCCCCGCGAAGCCATCAGTACTTTGTTTGACAACAATACATGGGTGAAACACGCGGGTGATCCTGAGAGCCTGGGCCAGTCAGCTGTGTGGATTCACCCCCGGGTCAACGTTGTCATCATCATCTTTCTCTTCTTCGTCATGAAGGTACTGCTCCTGACACTAGCAACACCCTAAACCTCCATCTGTTTTCAATCTATGAACCCAGGGTTTGCATAGGGTAGGAAGGGGTAGAACTTCATTTGGTCTTCATCCAACCTAAAAATAAGTCATTTGAAAACCATAGAGTTGGCCAGGCATGGTGGCTCACACCTGTAATCCCACCACTTTGGCAGGCTGAGGCAGGTGGATCACTTGATGCCAGGAGTTGGAGACCAACATAGCCAACATAGCGAAACCCCATCTCTACCAAAAATTCAAAAAACTTAGCCAGGCATGGTGGCGCATGCCTGTAATCCCAGCTACTGGGGAGGCTGACGCAGGAGAATCACTTGAACCTGGGAAGTGGAGGTTGTAGTGAGCCAAGATCGTGCCATTGCACTCCAGCCTGGGTGACAGAGTGTGATTCTGTCTCAAAAAAAAAAAAAAAAATTATAGAGTTGTAAGTTGCTATAGAAGTAAACTAGTATCTGAGTTAATTGCTGTATTCACGTCAACTTAGTGTTGTCTGGCATAGTTATCTAACCCTTCTAATTGTTCTTCTTGTTAAATTACTAAGCTGTCACAGTAGCCAAGTAAAAAAGTACAAGATAGAGTTAAGCATTATAAATAACTGTAAAAGCCTTGGATTAATTAACCAAATTCCCCCACTTAGTAGATAATTAAGTATTTCATTCTCCATGTATCTGATGATCCATTTTTTAGGTGATTTGAGCATCTTTTTTCCCCCGGTTTTGTAGATAATCTCTTTTTTAGATCTTCAAAAGGGATAAAATATTTAAATTAATTGTATTAGTGACTACACATAATTTTTATACATGTTATTATTCTCTATTTAGGTGATGAAGCTGTGAGGATTTTGCCATTCCCAAACCATATTCTTCTAGCTTCAACTAGGCAATAAAAGATGATCTCTTTCACATCACTTCTTTTTCATATCTGCCCATCAAGGATTATGTATTTATAGACTTCTCAATTACTGCCTTGTAATAAGATATTTTTATTTCTACCCCTGGTTGTGACATCTATTACAATTGCTGATTGCTGGCCAGGTGCAGTGGCTGATGCCTATATTCCCAGCACTTTGGGAAGCCGAGAGAGGTGGGTCATCTGAGGTCAGGAGTTGGAGACTAGCCTGACCAACATGGTGAAACCCTGTCTCTACTAAAAACACAAAATTAACCAGGTGTGGTGGCACATGCCTGTAATCCCAGTTACTTGGGAGGCTGAGGCAGGAGAATTGCTTGAACCTAGGAGGCGGAGGTTGCAGTGAGCCAAGATTGTGCCATTGCACTCCAGCCTGGGCGACAAGGGCAACACTCCTCAAGAAAAAAAAAAAAATTATTGATTGCCCTTTTTTTTCTTTTGTGATGATTATCTTTTTTACTAATAGTATGTCTTGCCTAAATAACACAACACTTTCCTCTGTATATTAGAGTTCTCATTTATAAGTCTGTTCATACTGAACTTTCAAGCTTTTGAATACCTTGCTATTAACTTATTTATGATACCTTTTATAAATCTATGTTTTCCCAGGATATGAGTCACCAAGTTATATTTATATTGCAATAGCTACAGTGGGTTCATGAGTTCATTTGTTCAATAAATGTTATTAAGCATTTACTATGTGCCAAGTACATAATATTTCATCATTAACCTTTAGCTATATCTTATGCTTGCAACAGAAAAAAAATTTTTAAATATTTTAAAACGTTCTATTTTTTGCTGTTTATTTAATTTAATTTTTTAGTGATGTTAAGACTAGAGACAGCAGATACGTGAAACACCAGATTTCAACTCTGTAACATATTCCCAGGGTGTCTAGAAACTGTATTTGCAAATGATCTTCCCCATTCCACTTTAGGTGGTTTAGTTGAATCTACAGCATTCATATTTTGCACATTCACTTTATTAATTTAATCCCTTTAAAATGTCTTTCTTCAAAAGATTTTACATTTTTATCATGAAAGAAGTTTTCAGTGTCTTGTTAGGGATTTGATTTTTAGACTTTCATTATAGAGTTCATCTTCTCTAATTTATAAATCCCAACCTCCTATAATTAGTTGTTGAGTACACAAACCCATCTACAGTAACCAAGTACAAATTTTGGTGGATCTCAGAATTGGACGGTAGTCCAATGATGATAACTGTATTTTTCTGAGATTCCTCTAGACTGAGCTATACGGCAACATTGGCATCGTATGTACCTTTAAAATATCAAGATTTTGAAAAGTCCTGTAGAAACGAAATACTGTATATTTTTCAACATTTCTGCCAAACCTCATCCCAGCTCTCCAGATTCCCAAGTATATGTCTGGATTCCACTTCGCAAATTCAAGCTTATTTTGAGAAACCTACTTAGATGATATAGAGGACTCACCTGTATGCCACAATTATTAATTTCTCACTAGATTATATCCTTGATAATGTTACATCATACTGTATCAGGAAAAGAAACATATACTTCCTGGGCTATATTTCAAGCCTAACAGTTTGCAGCAGGCCTATAATATCCTATAATATTTACGAACATAAAACCATTCACTGCTACAAATCTATGATATTCCCTGGTTATCACCACTTCCCAGCATTTTCACTGTCTAATCATTGGACACAATAACCATACTCTTATTTTTTAGCTAGGTAGGATACATAGCTAAACTAAAATATAAACATGACTGAAACAATTTTTCCAGTGCCTAATTTGAAATGTAGTCTATGTGGTCTTCTAGCAGCATCTGTACAGGCAGGTAAGATTCTCAATTCAGCTGTTTTGTTTTTTTTTTTTTTTTGATTCGGAATCTCACTCTGTAGCCCAGGCTGGAGTGCAGTGGCACAATCTCGGCTCACTGCAAGCTCCGGCTCCCAGGTTCACGCCATTCTCCTGCCTCAGCCTTACCTGTAGCTGGGACTACAGGTGCCCGCCACCACGCCCAGCTAATTTTTTTGTATTTTTAGTAGAGACGGTGTTTCACCTTGTTAGCCAGGATGGTCTCGATCTCCTTGCCTCATGATCTGCCCGCCTCAGCCTCCCAAAGTGCTGGGATTACAGGCGTGAGCCACCGCACCTGGCCAATTCAGCTGTTTTATAATATTAATGAAGAGAACTTCCATCTTCCTTAATCTCATGACGTGGAAAGTGTCATTACATTATACATCAAGAGAAGAGCTTTTACAATGAGTATGAATACCATTCCAAATTCTCAGTTTGCTTTTAATAAGTCTAACATTGTTACCTAGTATCACTAAGTTCTCTGCACAGCCTGAGGCTCTGTTGAATTTTTTTTCACTCCTTTCACTTCATTCTCCCGAAGTGAATTCTTCATTTTACTCCTTCTAATGAAGGGTCTAAATATGGTGGAAACCCATAATGGGTTTCCAGTTTTCCAGTTCCCTGAAATTGAGTGTTTAAAATCGTGGTAGTTCTGTAGGTCTAGATCTGAAGAAAAAAAAAAAAAAGCTGGGTGTAATCCCAGCACTTTGGGAGGCCAAAGCAGGCGGATCACCTGAGGTCAAGAGTTTGAGACCAGCCTGGCCAACATGGCAAAACCCTGTCTCAACTAAAAATACAAAAATTACCTGGGCGTGGTGGCAGGCGCCTGTAATCCCAGCTCCTCGGGAGGCTGAGGCAGGAGAATTGCTTGAACGCGGGAGCCAGAGGTGGCAGTGAGCTGACACACCATTGCACTCCAGCCTGGGTGACAGAACAAGACTCTGTCAAAAAAAAAAAAAAAAAAAAAGAAGAAGAAGAAAAAAAAAGGAAGGAAGGAAGGGAAAGAAAGAAAGAAAGAGAAAGAAGAAAGTCTTGGGAGTTATTTGTGTTTCACATTACTTCTGGATCTTTTCTTTCACGTGCCAATAGCTAAAAAAGTTTGTTAATCTCATGTGTCAACCTTTGTGCTATAGGAGTTGATAACTTCAATGTCTTCTGATTGTAATACTGTTCTTACACATATCTTGGAGGATAATCTAAAATACATCTTCTGAAATCAGACCTATTGGTTACCTGTTATATGAATTGCTAGAGCTTTCAGATTAACCTGAGCCTACAAAATCTCTTATGGCTTTTATGTACTTATTTCAAAGAGATGGTACAGGATAGTTCAGTCCAACTGTTAAATGTCAGAATCACTTAAGAAGCTTAAATTACAAGTGCCTATAGCCCTATCTGCAGACAATCTGATGTGGTAGCTTCCAGTGGGGTCTGGTCATCTGCATTTTAAAGCAAGTTCCCCTGGATGAGCATTACTCTTTAGTGTTTTAGCAAATATTAGCTCTGAGAAGCTTTTCCTCCTTTGCATGAATACTATTTGTTCAGCCCATCTTCGTTCTTTCCTTCCTTCCTTTCTACCTACTCACCTAGCTACACCCTTCCTACATTTACTGAGCACTGTGCCAGTGCAGAGAGAAGGCAGAAAGGACAAGATGCACTCTCTGTCCTCAGGGGATTCTCAGTCTCTATTCTCTTCATTTTGCCCATTCATTTTTATAGTTCTCAACTGTTTTTGAATAGTCATATTCTGACATGAAGGAGTGTGTGTTTTGCCTCATCTCAGATCTTCTGGGATGAGACTTTCTTAGAGTCTTTGTCACTGTCTCCTGAGGTCAGCCCTGGATGAGGGGAGTTCTTTCTTTCTACGGTTCTGAAAATTAAGAAATATATTTCTCGTTAGCTTACAGTGCAATTGCGCACAGCTCTAAAATTGTGAATACTTTCATCTTGGCAGTTTGTCCTGAGCTTTAGCTGCTACCTTCTTACACCTAATAAGTTTGAGATCCATTTCTGAAATTGGTTTACTTATTTTGGAAGGGATATATAAACCTGTTGCTTTGCTTACATATGACATCTCATACTTCTATTTCTTTTACAGATATTTAAAAAGTTCCACAACTAGCCTTTTTTCCATTCTATTTCTCAATTCTTTTTTTTTTTTTTTTTTTTTTTTTTTTTTTTTTTTTGCGACAGAGTCTCGCTCTGTCGCCCAGGCTGGAGGGCAGTGGCATGATCTCAGCTCACTGCAAGCTCCAACTCCCGGGTTCACGCCATTCTCCTGCCTCAGCCTCCCAAGTAGCTGGGACTACAGGTGCCCACCACCATGCCTGGCTAATTTATTTTTTATTTTTTATTTTTTTATTTTTTAGTGGAGACAGGGTTTCACCATGTTAGCCAGAATGGTCTTGATCTCCTGACCTCGTGATCTGCCCACCTCTGCCTTCCAAAGTGCTGGGATTACAGGCGTGAGCCTCTGCACCCGGACAATTCTTTTGTACTCTTTGCCTCAAAATGCACATATTGCTTTTTGTAAAATGGTCTCAATTTCTATTGGAGTTCTAGCTTACAAAATTGGCCTTAGAGATTTTTTTTCTATCACATTGGCTGACTTATCAGGCTTTCTCAATTTACCCTTCCAGTAGCTAGCCAGGACAGATCTAAATTTTGATCCTTGTTTAAGGTGATCTGATCATTAAAGCAAGTGGCTCAGGCAGGTAAGTCTTCTCTCCAGGTTCTACTGTGAGTTTCACCATATAGATGGTTCTATGACCCCATTGAAGCTCAATTAATCACACAATAAGTCACTCAGACTTTAAATGTCTGACACTTAGAACTGGAGCTCCTTGGCCGGGCGCATCGGCTCACACCTGTAATCCCGGCACTTTGGGAGGTAGAGGCAGGCAGATTGCCTGAGGTCAGGAGTTCAAGACCAGCCGGGGCAACATGGCAAAACCCCGTCTCTACTAAAAATACAAAAAATTAGCTGGGCATGGTGGCGTGCGCCTATAGTCCCAGCTACTCAGGAGGCTGAGACAGGAAAATAGCTTGGACTTCAGAGGCGGAGGTTGCAGTGAGCCAAGATCATGGTACTGCACTCCAGCTTGGGTGCTGGGTGGCAGAGAGAGACCCTGTCTCAAAAAAAAAAAAAAAGAAAAAAAAAAAACCGGAGCGCCTTTTCAGAAATATAACCTGAGTAGGAAAAGTCTTCAAGAGTTTCAGGCTACTTTGCTGAGGCAAACTTTCTGGACTAAATGGGTACAATGGGCTGGGGCTCTTTTGGGGCAGAGAAAGATAAGTACTCCGGGGCTCCATTCCTTGTTCTAGATTGCTGAAAGGCAAATACAGGCACTCAAAGTAGAAGGGATTTGGTCTAGCCATCTAGAGGAACCTTCTGATAGTATTGTCTTTGGTGATCTCTTAGCCTGAGAGCTCTATGGCTTTTGTTTCTGGAAGAAGGGTGACAGACAAAGTGACTTTCAGAAGGATCAGCTATCCCAGGATTTCTGCAGAAAGGAGGATAGTGGGAAGGGAATTGTGTGTGCATGTCTATTGGGCAGAGTTGAAAGGGTATTCCAACGCTTCTTTCTACTCCAGTTCTGGATGTCCATCGTGGCCACCACTATGCCCATACCCTGCGGAGGCTTCATGCCTGTGTTTGTGCTAGGTAAGTTCTGATGGGAAGCCTGGGGTCTGACTGAGAGTTGCAATCTAGGATACAGGAAACATAAGGAAAGGCCCGGGATGCTGGGAGTTTATATTTGTTCTTAATGCCCAAGGAGAGATTGGTTCTGAAAACTGAGAGCAAGGAACTTGGATCTCGTAACACCTTCCTTCCTTTTATCTTCCCTCTAGGAGCTGCATTTGGAAGGCTGGTAGGAGAAATCATGGCCATGCTCTTTCCTGATGGTATTTTGTTTGATGACATCATCTACAAGATCCTACCTGGGGGCTATGCAGTAATTGGTGAGAAACATTCCCACTTCCCTGTAATCAAACATTGAGTACTTCAGATCCCCACACTTAAACTCTCCCATTGGATCTTCATTCTAGGCTACACAATACGGTTTTAATTTAGTGCTACTTAACTCAACTTTTACTCAGATAACATACCCATGGCTCTGACTCTCATTATTTCTTACTGAACTTCCGTGAGCCTTAGTTTCCTCATGTAGAAAAGGATCATAGGGATCAAATGAGATCATAAGATTCTAGGATTGTGTCTGGATGTTTGATAAGGGTTCTGTCTTTCCTTCCCAAGAATCATGGAACCAACAATGCAGGTGATTGGCTCAGGTTGCAGGTGATTGACTCAACCTGAGACGTGTTGATATTGATGGGTAGTTAAGAGCACAGGACTAAGAGCTAAGAAACATGGCTCTAGACTTCTCCTGCCACTTGTTACCAGTCACCATGAAGCAAGATAGCTGCTTCTGAGCCCTAGTTTCTTTATTCTAAAATGACTTCTGAGATAGAGCTATGCCTAACACCAATAGAATCCTGGGATTATTATGCTTCCTCCCTTCCTCAGCAAAATCCCATAGCATCTAAGGCCATGCCTTCCCTACATAGAGAAGTGCTGACCAGCTTTCTAGCTCACTTGGTACGCTGCTCCCCTGACATAGTTTCTTTCTAAAAGCCTCTTTCATCAATGAGGGTCATAGACTCTTGTTCTCCATCTTCATGACTCCCTGGTACACATGCCTCCCTTGTGAACATTTCCTTGTATGCACGTCCTGTGATTGTTTATGTTCTGAAGTATGTTATATGCAATATCCAATAGTGTCATTCCTCCCTATATTTCCCTTCTGTGATGCTTTCTTGGTTGCTCTCTCCCTTTCTTTCTCCCTTCCTTCCTTCTTTTCTCTCTTCTCCTTCTCCTTCTCTTCTCTTCTTTTATTTCCAGAGTCTTGCTCTGTTGCCCAGGAGTGCAGTGGCGCAATCTGGGTTCACTGCAACCTCTGCCTCCTGGGCTCAAGTGATTCTCCTGCCTCAGCCTCCCAAGTAGCTGGGATTACAGGCACATGCCATCATGTCTGGCTAATTTTTGTAATTTTAGTAGAGATGGGGTTTCACCATATTGGCCAGGCTGGTCTCAAACTCCTGGCCTCAAGTCATCCACCTGTCTCGGCCTCCCAGAGTGCTAGGATTACAGGCATAAGCCACCATGCCCGGCTGACTTTTTCTTGTTACATTTTCATATGTGCCTTCCTCTACATTTTCCCCATAGGATACCTCTTCCATATTTAAATAAGAAATATAATTAAAGCACAAAGGACTATTTTGGTTAGTGGAGAAACAACCAAAAATTAACAAGATAGATTCTATCTTCAGGGAGCTTATAGAATTATAAAGTTTCAGATCTACAAGCGCCTTAGAAATCATCTAAATGACCCCTTTCGCTTTATAATTGAGAGCATGGGATTCCAGAGGAATTAAGCTCTACTCATTCCATTGAGAAATAGTAAGAGCAGGATCTGACACAGGTCTCATTGCTGCATGTCCACAGTATGATTCTCGGGTTTTCATTCTATTTACTCACTAATTGTTGGCATTAATACCTAAAGCCCAAGGTAAAAAAAAAAAATGTTATAACTGAGTTGTAAAATGCTCAGTGAAGAGGCCTGATACAGTGGCTCATGCCTGTGATCTCAGCACTTTGGGAGGCCGAGGCAGGCAGATCACTTGAGGCCAGGAATTCGAGACCAGCCTGGCCAACATGACAAAACCCTGTTTCTACTAAAAATACAAAAATTAGACATGTGTGTTGGTGCATGCCTGTAGTCCTGGCTACTCGGAAGACTGAGGCAGGAGAATCACTTGAACCTGGGAGGTGGAGGTTCCCATGAACCGAGATTGTACCACTGCACTCCAGCCTAGGTGACAGAGTGAGACTCTGCCTCAAATAATAATAATTAATAATAATAATAATAATAATAATTTTAAAAAATAATAAAATAAAATGCTCAGTGAATAATCATCCAAACTTTTAAAAGCAAGGAATGGATAGGACATCACTATCTTCATATTATAAATGAAAATTTTGGCACACACAAAGATTTTGTAACTTGGTGAAGTTTATAGAATGAGATCAAAATGATGATTTTTCTAAGAGTTCAGTATTCTATTCCCTACTCTTGACAAGTCATTATGAGTATTGGCACTGACCAGGGTCATGTCTCTCATTCCGTGTTATTCCCATCCCATCCCCATATGTCCTTCATGCTAAGAACGGTAGCCCTAACCTACAGGCGTATTCCTGTGTCATTCTAGGAGCAGCAGCGCTGACTGGTGCCGTTTCCCACACAGTCTCCACAGCTGTGATTTGCTTCGAATTAACGGGTCAGATTGCTCACATCCTGCCCATGATGGTGGCTGTTATCTTGGCCAACATGGTGGCCCAGAGCCTGCAGCCCTCTCTCTATGACAGCATCATCCAGGTCAAGAAGCTACCCTACTTGCCTGACCTTGGCTGGAACCAGCTCAGGTCAGGGGCACTAGACGGAATTAGTTCAGATCTGATGGGGAGAGTGGGAGGTTCTGAGGCTGAGACTGAGCTTAGAGTTAAAGTTTGGAAACACTGTTTTAAATTATTATTATATTCTCATGCACCTAGTAGATATTGTGAGTGACTGAAAGTATGGCAAATCTTATGGGAGGAATGGAAGGGATAGGTATACGGTGGGGCTAACCCACCATGCTTTCTCCCTCCATAGCAAATATACCATCTTTGTTGAGGACATCATGGTACGTGATGTGAAGTTTGTTTCAGCTTCTTACACATATGGGGAGTTGCGAACCCTGCTCCAGACCACCACAGTCAAGACTTTACCACTGGTTGACTCAAAAGGTCAGTGGGGAGGAAGAAGTCGACTCCAGAGCTAGTGACCTGAATAAGGGTCACATAGAGGTAGAGGAGGCCCCATGGTGGGGGCTTTGTCTTTAGGGGCCATCCAATGTGCTATGTACAAGGAAGGAAAAATTAAGCCATAACACAAGCACACAAAGACAGTTAAAAATGCAATTAAAAGGTCCTGGCATGGTGGCTCATGCCTGTAATCCCAGCACTTTGGGAGGCCGAGGTGGGCAGATCACCTGAGGTCAGGAGTTCGAGACCAGCCTGACCAACATGGAGAAACCCTGTCTCTACTAAAAATACAAAATTAGCTAGGTGTGGTGGTGCATGCCTGTAATTAGAACCCGGGAGACGGAGGTTGCGATGAGCCGAGAACGTGTCATTGCACTGCAGCCTGGGCAACAAGAATGAAACTCTGTTAAAAAAAAAAAAATTTCCCACTAAATACAGTCAATTCTCATAATTCATGGTAGTTATGTTCAATTAAGTATGAAGTTCAAATACTATACTGAATAATTGCTCCTAGGAAAAATACAGGGCTGTGTTCCTGTGAGTCTCTGGTCACATTTCCATCAACCAATCAATATATGACCTTGTTGTATGTGTGTTTCTGGTAAAGACACCTTATTTCACAGATATTGTGGATTAATTAATATTGAACTTGTGCCAACAGCACTATAACCCTTGCCTGAATTAAGCTTACTTAACACACATATTTTCTCAATAAGGCTCATCACAGCCTTCTTGCACTAGGAACAGTAAACAGCACTTTGACATTATATTTGGTGGTCATTTTTAGCAGCAAAATCACCAACACAAAGCACAAAAATGCAAAAAGGATGGCACTAAATAGACTACAAAATGAACACCTGTTTACAATGTGAAAGCTGAAACAAGAAGGTACAGCACTGCTTTGTTCAACTTCAGCTGGGAACAGGGACATGGGACAACTAAAAATCTTTGTTGCTCTTTGCATGTTTGTGAATTACAGTGAAAGCACCTCTAGTATTGGTTTTGTGTTACAAATATATTTTAGTGACTAGCTGAATTCACAAATAGGGAATCCATGAATAATGACAATTAATGTAAATCCCATAGCTTCTTACGTTGTTCCATTTTGATGCTTACATAAGTCATGCTTGTTCTTTAATGCCCAACTTATGGAAGAGTTGGAACTGTTTTCTTTCTTCCTTCCTTTCTTTCTCTTTCTTTCTTTCCTTCTTTTTCTTTCTTTCTCTTTCTCTCTCTCTCCCTCCCTCTTTCCCTCTCTCTCTCTTTCTCTCTCCCTCCCTCTTTCCCTCTCTCTTTCTCTCTCTCTCTTTTCTTTTCTTTTCTCTTCTTTCTTTTCGACAGAGCCTCACTCTGTTGCCCAGGCAGGAGTGCAATGGCGCCATCTTGGCTCACTGCAACCTCTGTCTCCTGGGTTCTAAGTGATTCTCCTGCCTTAGGCTCCTGAGTAGCTGGGATTACAGGAATGCACCACCATGCCCAGCTAATTTTGTATTTTTAGTAGAGACGGGGTTTCACCATGTTGGCCAGGCTGGTCTCGAACTCCTGACCTCAGGCGATCCACCAGCCTTGGCCTCCCAAAGTGCTGGGATTACAGGCATGAGCCACTGTGCCCGGCTGGAACTGTTTCACATGGAGGAGTGAATGGTTGTTAGTAAACGATAATTTCACATTTCTCTGCCTTCACCATCATTTGACACTTCATCCTGCTTTGTATGATTTCTTATTGTGGTTTATATATCTATATCTTGTCTTCCTAACTAGGTGGGCATTCCTTGAGAATAGAGGCTATGAATTCTATATACCCAGAGTGCCTTGTTATAGGTATCTACTAGATATTAAATGAATAATTTCCTAGTGTTTGAATTAGTGTAATAAAGAAAAATCATGTAGGGCCATTTGGAGTCATTAAGATTGTTAGTTCTGATTTCCAATAATCAGAATATCCAAATTTCTCAAATTAAATTAATTCAAATATTTTCCCAAATCTCATATACATTCCACGTTCTACAGCAGAGGCTCTTTATTAGAGGAGGGGTACAGCCAACAAATGAGGGGCAAGGTTTTCATAATAATGACTGAGACCTAACAGTAAAATTCATCTCCAGAGCACTGCTGCAATGTCTTGGCCTTAAAACTTAATAAAAATGTTAACTATAGTAGCAAAATTTCTATAATCATATAAAAGACCTTCTCAGGAAAAGTAGGCATTTTGATTTATCCTAGCAGGGTTTTTTTTTTTTTTTTTTAATGAAATCTCGCTCTTGTCGCCCAGGTTGGAGTGCAGTGGTGCGATCTCAGCTCACTGCAACCTCTGCCTCCCGGGTTCAAGCGATTCTCCTGCCTCAGCCTCCCAAGTAGCTGGGATTACAGGCGCCTGCCACCACGCCCAGCTAATTTTTTTATTTTTGGTAGAGACGGGGTTTCACCATGTTGGCCAAGGCTGGTCTCGAACTCCTGACCTCAGGCGACCCGCCTGCCTCGGCCTTCCAAAGTAGTGGGATTACAGGCGTGAGCCACCGCCTGGCCCAGGTTTTTTAAATGATGAAATGTCAGATACAAAAGAAAGAGTTCCCTTGTTTCCCTTTTTCCAGGGAGAGATATAATGTTTGTATTGCTTATAGACTTCTTTCAAAGCGTGTTCACGTCTCAGCTTATTTGAATGGCTTCTCATGTTTCTTTTTATTTGGACAGCATTGATTAGCCTCCTTAATTATCAGCTCACCTATCTGAAGTCTATATAAGGCCTCATCAAAATAAGTACAAATTAGCCCAATTAGTGCTCTACCAATTGGCCCCGTACCTGCTAAATGGATGAAATAAAAGGGATTGAGTGAGGTTAATCTTGGAGGATTCTTAAAATGAGTTTCCAGGAAGCTGAGAAAGATGTGGGGACGCCGGGCAGGGTGGCGCCTCTCCTGTTCCTTCTCAGGAGTGCGGAGCGCGGTGGTGCGAGAGGGCTTGGAGGGGGCGCTCAGGCAGGGCGTGGGTTTCCCTCAGATTCAATGATCCTGCTGGGCTCGGTGGAGCGGTCGGAACTGCAGGCCCTCCTGCAGCGCCACCTGTGTCCTGAGCGCAGGCTGCGCGCAGCCCAAGAGATGGCGCGGAAGTTGTCGGAGCTGCCTTACGACGGGAAGGCGCGGCTGGCTGGGGAGGGGCTCCCCGGCGCGCCTCCAGGCCGGCCCGAGTCCTTCGCCTTTGTGGATGAGGATGAGGACGAAGACCTCTCTGGCAAGAGCGAGGTGACCGCGCCGGGAAGGGCTAGGGAGTGGGATAGATCAGGAGCAAAGGGAAAAGCGTCGTCTGGGCTGGGCTGGGCTGGGCTGGGACAGGCGTAGTTTCCCTGAAAGTAGTGGGAAGAGGGAGGGGAGAGTCTGGTAACTGAGAAAGCCAGAAATTCTGGATCAGGTACCATAGAGACCAGTGCCTCTGGGTCCAGGGACTAAAGAAGATAAGGTTGCAGATGATGGTATCCTCGACAATTCAAAGGGATATAGGAATTTCTGAACTGGGGGGAAGAATAGAGTTCGCTTTCCCAGAACATCCACCAACTGGTAAAGGCAGTGAAGGCCCAGGCAGTCTCTGCTCCCAGGCTGAGACTTCTTACTCTTCCTTACAGCTTCCTCCTTCCCTTGCTCTCCACCCCTCTACTACTGCCCCTCTGTCCCCAGAAGAGCCCAATGGGCCTCTGCCTGGCCACAAACAGCAGCCGGAAGCACCAGAGCCTGCAGGTGACGCTCTTCCCTCATGCACCCCAACTCACCCCTTGTGGGTTCTCTCTGGTCACTAGGACCTGACCTTGACCTGCATGCAATTCCTATGCGGGGTGGGGTGGGGGGTGAGGCTGGGGGATTGAGGGAGGACAGGGTTCTTATTCATCAATTCTCCTTGTTACTGTCCCAGGGAGTGGGAGCAGAGGGTGATTTAGGAGGGTAGAAGAGAGGGTGAGGTACCTGGGAAGTGCAGCTCTTTGGAGGCAAATGTTAGGCACTGGGTGGGGCCCCTGGCCGTTTCCTGTTGCTTTGTGTCCATTTCCATCCACTCACCTGTCCTCTCAGGTCAAAGACCCTCCATCTTCCAGTCCCTGCTTCACTGCTTGCTGGGCAGAGCTCGCCCCACAAAGAAGAAAACAACCCAGGTGAGAGGAGATGTGTTTGGGGATACAGGGGAAAGGGAGCCTGCCCTTGAAGAGTGAGAAACCCACGGTTCTTAAATCAGGAAGGCAGAGACCCCACCAAGGAGGAGGAGTTTAATCATATGGAAGGGATGATGAATGAAAAGGAGGCATCGGTGGTCCTGGCCAGGGAGGGATGGCTATTGTTTCATTGGGAGCCATAGCTACCATGGGAAGAAAAGGGAAAGAACTTGGACCTATGTCTTTCTTCTCTAGGATTCCACAGATTTAGTGGATAACATGTCACCTGAAGAGGTGAGTAAGGGAAATGGAAACCTGGGGTGGATTGTTCTATCAAATGAAGATATTGCTAATTTGTTTCTACCTTCTTTATTGTGTTGTCATGAAATAGAATGTGGTCTGGATGGGAAGTGTTTTGAGAGGATGGAAATAAGGATGATTATGGAGAGAGTAATGAGTGTGTGATGGGACATGGAGGTGTTCTCAGAAGGACACGTCATTTCAGAAGAGAAAAACTTTGAGCCTCCATGAGTAAATGGGGCCATGGTGCTAAGATGAGCCCCAGATCTTTTAGAGATTATGGGCTTTCTGGATCAGGCAAAGCTTTAATGGAGGTAAAATGGCACCAGGAGGCTGGCACTAAAACAGCAACATAGAAGAAGAACATCAAAACTAAAATGGGAGGCCGGGCATGGTGGCTCATGCCTGTAATTCCAGCACTTTGGGAGGCCAAGGCAGGCAGATCACCTGAGGTCAGGAGTTTGAGACCAGCCTGGCCAACGTGGTGAAACTCCATTTCTACTAAAAATACAAAAATAAGCCGGGCATGGTGGCACGCACCTGTAATCCCAGATATTTGGGAGGCTGAGGCACGAAAATCACTTGAACCCGGGAGGTGGGGGTTGCAGTGAGCAGAGACTGCACCACTGCACTCCAGCCTGGGTGACAGATCCAGACTTTGCCTCAAAAAAAAAAAAAAAAAAAAAAACTAAAATGGAGAAATCTGCTCCTGGTGGAGATTACTGTGCTGGATTGATCAGGGCCCTGAGACAGTGAACAACTGGAAAATGCTAGGCATTGCTACTGGGAAGAACTGAAAAAGGAAGAAAATAATGACCACGGTGCCTCCTGGGGACAAACAAATGCCTATTTTCCTAAACGAGGTGGTTATCAAATCTTCAAGAGAGAAAAATCAAGCATTCTGAATGTGCTTGGTTGTCAGGAGGGAACAGAATGTGGACTAGTGATTGGAAGCAGGCGGTATCAGAACATACCGAGGGGTTGTGGAGGAACATCAACAGAAAAATCCATTGGCAACTATTCCATATGGTAAAAGAATGCAGAGTTTGCTGCAAACGCCGAAAACGTAAAGCTTGTAAAGTATGAAGCTGACAAAAAAAACACGGCAGATATTATTTTTAAATGAACATCTTATTGGATATCCAGAATAAATATGTGCTGACAATGAAAAGCATTACAGGATTGGAGGAGGATGTTGTGAGTGACAAGACAGAAGAGAAACCTTCCCCACCCCCTCAAAACACACACACTTCTGATAAATGACTTGTGAAAAAGTCAAATCGATGATCACAGAGGGAAAGGAAGAACTATTCCTTCTGCCCACAAGCAGGAATCAGAAAGGCCATAATTGCAGTTAAGGAGTACTTTGTTAGGTTGCTAAAACCAATAACAATAAGTTTTGCTTTTTTTCTTTTTTTTAATTTAATGCACCAAAGAGAGAAAACCAGCTAGTTGATCAGTGTGGCTATTGAATGACCACTGGAAATAAAGTGAAGCCAGGGATTAAAAATAAGATAGACTATCATTTCTAGCTTATGTCTTTCCCAGGGAAGACTTTAAGGAGCTACCAACTCCCATGTGACCCACTGAGACATTTTAGAGGGATAAGATCTAACAGGAGTTGAAATTCAGGATGTTTTGAACACAATTTTCAGACCAGATGATACCCTTGACAATATCAAGATGTTGATATTGACCAAAAAAACAGTATGGGGGCAGTATGGGAATATTGAAAGATTCAATTATATGTTGCCAGAAGTCCCTACTAGGATTTGTTTAATTCTGCATACTCTGGAGTACACACAGAGCTCTGTTTCTAACCGGTACCGAGCTTATTCAAGTAGTGGAACACACCAGCCTCAACAGCAACGTCCTGCATCCCTTGCGCAAAAGCTGGAGATGTACCTGGAATACAAACAGCAGTCAAGGTTAGAAGCCCAGCTCCACCAATTACTGACTGTGTAATCCTGGGCAAATGACTTCAACATGCTGTGCCTCTGTTTCCTCATCTATAAAGTGAAGATAATGATAGAGTTATTAGAGAAGATTAAATGAGCTAAGACGGGTAAGTCAATTAGAATAATGCTTGGCAAAGAGGATGTACTTGATAATCATTCACTGAAAATGTTGCCGCGTTATTGTTAAGGAAAGGCAAAAACGGAACATAAGGCCACAGATGATCATAGAAAAGACCAAGAGGACGGGATGGACCAAACCATGGTTGGCAAGGTCTAGCCCCCGTCCTATACCTAAATCTTCTCTACAACACACCTGCTAAGTGGTCATCCATCCTATGCTATGTAACCTCTGTAATCCATTAGTCCGGAAGATGAGAGTATAGAGGAGTCATGATTGTAATCCAGAAATATCAGGACAGGACAGGTGGAGTGAGCATCACTACGGGCTACACACCAGATCCTAAACCTATATAATGCCCTTTGGTGATATTCTCTGAAGTTTGAGAGGTGTAGATTTGGACAAATAGGAAAATAGAGTTCTAGATCATTCAGAGGATACTGACTGAAAAGAGATTTTAGAAATTTTAGAAAAATGTAAGAGAGCCAGAGATGTAATGGATTATTTGGACTCTTGGGAATTTTGGTGTGCGTATCTAAAGTCAAGAGGATGGTTGGCCTTTGTGCCTTAATGCTTCTGTCATAGACAAAAACAAACAAACAAAAACTGGCTTTGCTCAAGTCAGCTAAGTGCCATGAGGTCCAGTATAGCTCTTCAATTTCAACAAGTACCCACTACAGTTCCCTGCATGAGAGGTGATGTGCTAGTTTCTTCACAATATACAGCAGCCGATACCACATAACACTCAAGACAAATGCAGAGGTAAGACAGATGCCAATACAGCAGGAAGTATGGCCAATGTCATTTCTGAAAAGGTGAGACCAGCTAATACTATGGGAATAAAAAAGGGGAGAAGCACATCTGATTGGGAGAGTCAGGAAATACGTACACTGCAGGGAGAGGGTAGGGCAGGTAAAGGAACTCCAGATGGTCAGAATAGCAAAGACAAAGGGGAAGGCATGTTTGAAGAGCAGAAAGCAGTCTGGTTTGATTGGAGCCCCACGTCTTATAGTAGTAGTGGAAAATAGATGGGAAAGATAGGTTGGGAATAACAAATGTTTGGGACGCCAGGGGATAGGAGAGTTGGAGCCTAGAAGAGGGAGGGGTGTTCTGGGTACCTGGGGGTTGCAGGGTAGGTTGGGGGCCTGATGAGGAAGGGCAGAGAGGCTCTGTCCCCTGGGAAGAAGGAGGAGGTCCTCTGATCTGGGGGATCTATGATCAGTTCTTGCATGTTCCCAGATTCTGGGCAGCGGCTAGGAGGGCCGTTTGGGGTCAAAATCAGGTATCTGGGGTGAAAGGAGGCTCTGTGATTTTCGTGACTTTCCTCCTCTGGCTGACAGATTGAGGCCTGGGAGCAGGAGCAGCTGAGCCAGCCTGTCTGTTTTGATTCCTGCTGTATTGACCAGTCTCCCTTCCAGCTGGTGGAGCAGACAACCCTGCACAAGGTGAGTCTTTTGCTGACTGCTCAGGGCTGTGGGGAAGGCAGGAGAGCTGTGGGGCAAGGAACATGCACTGACCTGTGCTCTTCATCCTCAGACTCATACCCTGTTTTCACTCCTTGGCCTCCACCTCGCTTACGTGACCAGCATGGGGAAGCTCAGGGGCGTCCTGGCCCTGGAGGAGGTAATCACGATGTGTCCCATTTGAGCAGCAGGAGGGAGGCTGGGCATAGGATAAGGGGATGCAGTGGGGACAGAAGGAATATTAGCATCTCAGAAGTCCCCTCAGATTCCCTTCTCTATTTCTTTCTTTTTTTTTTTTTTGAGACAGAGTTTCACTCTTGTCGCCCAGGCTGGAGTGCAGTGGCGTGATCTCAGCTCACTGCAACCTCCGCCTCCCGGGTTCAAGTGATTCTCCTGCCTCAGCCTCCCAAGTAGCTGGGATTACAGGCGCCCGCTACCACACCCGCTAATTTTTTGTATTTTTAGTAGAGACGGGGTTTTGCCATGTTGGGCAGGCTAGTCTCAAACTCCTGACCTCAGGTGATCCGCCCGCCTCGGCTTCCCAAAATGCTGCGATTCTAGGCATGAGCCACCATGCCTGGCACCCCTCTGTATTTCTTATGCAGAGATTGGAGGGGGTAGAGCAAGCAGCCAGCTGAGGTAGAGGAGACTACGAAGCCTGTTATGGCCACAGCCCTGAAGGGAATGGAATTCTCCACCCCAGATGGGGCCCACGTGATCTTCTGTAGATAGTGTGGGTTTGAGATGGGGGTTCCAGGCATGAGTCACAGTTTCTCGGGGATGCGCTTTGAGGAAAGCTGCGGAAAAAAGGCAGTGGGGGGATGTGGCTGCAGGTGGTCACTAGGAAGGAAGAGGTCACCCAAGGGTCTGAGTCTGGGCAGGTGGATCTTTTGTCATGCCCCTTTTCTTGTCCTTTTTCTGTTTTCTTTCTCTGATTGTTCCTTGTTTTCTGTTTCTCTTTCTCCCCGTTTTGCCACTCTATATCTTTCCTGTTCTTTTTTCCTTTCATTGTACCTGTTCTTTTCTGTGTCTCTCACTGCCCCCGTCTTTTTTCTTTTTCCAACTTTTTACCCTCTTTTCCTTTCCCACTGCTCTTCAGCTACAGAAGGCCATTGAGGGGCACACCAAGTCTGGGGTGCAGCTCCGCCCTCCCCTTGCCAGCTTCCGGAACACGACTTCAACTCGAAAGAGTACCGGGGCACCTCCATCTTCTGCAGAGAACTGGAACCTGCCTGAGGACAGGCCTGGGGCCACTGGAACAGGGGATGTGATTGCTGCCTCCCCAGAGACCCCTGTGCCATCTCCTTCCCCAGAGCCCCCTCTCTCCCTGGCCCCAGGCAAGGTAGAGGGCGAGTTGGAGGAGCTGGAGCTGGTGGAGAGTCCAGGGCTGGAAGAGGAGCTGGCCGACATCTTGCAGGGCCCCAGCCTGCGATCCACAGACGAGGAGGATGAGGATGAACTGATCCTTTGACCCCCTCCCACGACCTCCTCATAAAGACCGTGGAGAGGCCCAGCCTGAGGGTGAACTTGTGTGGGGCAGGGTGCGTCCTGAATGTGGCGAGGTCATGCCAATGTCGTGGCCTCTTCCAGGAATTTTTTAATGTGATAGTCTTAAAGGAGGAATCAGCATTTAGGCAGGGAGGAGCCTTGGTCAATTATTTTGACTGTTCTCCCCATTCCCAGCCAGGCAGGTGGCCCTAACCCTAGCGAAGGGCCCCTGATATTCCGTGGGGCTTCCCGAGTGTTCCTGGTGTGCAGGAAGGGAATCCCCTGCCTCTCTCTGCCTCCCCCTCCCCACCCAACAATTCCCCAGTACTCTTGTCCCAGCACTGTGCTATCTGTGCCTCAGTGTCTACAAGAGGTGGGGTGAGGGGAGGCCCAGAATGACTGTGGCCCTGCAAGTGCCATGTCGGAGGAGGGGATGGGACCATCCTATGGCCTCGGGCACTGACTACCCCAGAATGTGCCTCCAGACCAGCCACAGCCGCTTCTCTTGGAGCCCTGCGCTGGCCCACGTCTGCTCCTGCAGTCTGCCTCTGAGCCCACTGCCTGTGTCGAGGCCAGCCACAGCCACTTCTCTTGGAGCCCCGCACTGGCCCATGTGCACTCCTGCAATCTGCCTCTGACCCCACTGCCTGTCTCCAGGCCAGGCCGTGACTAGCGCAGTGAGAGGCCGCCCACATTCCCCCTCCGTTGTCCCCTGCTTCAAGCAGTGAGATGCAGAGAAAAAGACTGTCAGGGGCAGCGGCCTGGAAGAAAAGGTCGCCAAAGGCTCTGTGCAAAAGACACAAGTGCCCTGTTGCTCAACAATCACGCCCCCATGGTGTCCGCCGACTCCCTCTGGCAGAAAACTTTCTATTCCACAGCACAGCTTCCTTGTCCTCCAGTGTCCAGGTTACTCCCTAGGAAACACATCCTCCCTCTTGTTATTGACTTGTCCTGCCAAAGGTCAGCTCTACCCTGGAGCTGCTCTAGCCAGGGCCTCTCCTGCCAAGAATCAGGGCTCAGAGCAGCTAGGTCACTGGGTCACTCAGACACCAGCCCCCTCTTAGACTGGTTCTTCAGATGCCTCTCCTAGGGGTGGAGAGTTAGGAGCTGAGCGTCAAGATGGCAGGGCTCTTGAGTGCTGCCCCGCACTTGGGAGAGTCACATCTTCACCCTCCCCAAATCAGCAGCAGGAAGCCTGGCTATGCACTCCATTAGCGTGCTTTCTCTACAAAGAGAGGCCAGGTGCTGTGAGCATCCCCAAACCCTTGCTCCGTACCCAAGGTTTTTCTCCCCAGCCTGCCATCCCGTATGCCGTTCTTAATTCTACCATTGTGCCCCCGCTCCGACATTCTCCTCCTTTGCCTCCCCTGTTCCCAGTCTCCTCCATCCCCCAAATAAGACACTCACAGTCAGAGGATGCCACCACATTCTGTTTAGTGTCATTGAACACAGCCTGTAGCCTTCTCCAGCATCACATCCCTCCCACTTCCCCAGGCCAAGAGAGATGCTGAAGCCTGGGTGGGGGACTGGCAGTGGGCATTTGAGCCCATGCCCTTGTGTACATAATCTCTAATATTTATATATATTGATATAGAATTCTCTCTATAATATATGTCATAGAATCTCTCTTGGGCCTGGCGTGGGAATGTGACATTAAGAAAACATGCTAAGACTGGCCAGAAAAATGGATATTTCCCAGACCTGGAGGATGGTGTGTGGGATGTATAGGTGAGGTCGTGGAGAAGATAATAAACTCATTCCCCAAGATACCCTCTTCAACACAAGGACAAGAAGGAAGGTGTGTGGTGGGGGAGGGGACAATGGAGGGGGAGGAGTGGAAGATTTGGATTTTCATTTAATAAAGTCAATTGAAAATGAAAGTGCACCCCCCCTCCAAAAAAAGAAAATCATTTAGCAAGAGCAGTTTCATTCACAAGAATATAAAAACAGCCCTGTTCCAGGACTGCTGTAAAACGTGCTGCACAGCCTTAACCCCAAAGGAAAAGCAACCCTTTCCCACCCCGAAACAGCCTCTTCCTGCACATGCCCCTCCCCACCCCCTGAAATAGACGATAAGCAACCCCCATGCACCCTGCCCCCAGCACCAGAAGAGTCCTAAGATGGTCCCAGGCCAGCTCCTCAGTCTCCCTCTTCAGAGCGAGTAGGAGCTCCTTGCAGAAGACAGACCCCCACCTGACTTCCATCTGCAGCAATATGCCAGCACCCTGGGGAAAGCAGGTTCATGTATGAACCCTGCTAGAGTCCTTCAGATCTTTAGTCATCTTTTGTCAGGGACCATTTGGCTTCCTTGGGAAAGGGAAGGAGGAACGAAAGCTGCTGTGGTCTACCTTTCCTAACTCCCCCGGGCCTGAGCAAAAACGAACTGTAATGAATGAACGCACTCACTAGGTGAGCTGTCCACCGTGGTCTGGGGGTATGATATGGGCACTGAGAGGATGAGACGACAGGAAGAGGTGATGTGGGAATAGCACACATTGGAGAAGGTGAGGAACCAGGGACCCCATGGAAGGAAGGTCACATGAACATGCAAAACCCCAGAGCCTGCAGCAGGAGACGGGTGGGGAATAGCTGCCAGGGCGGGCATGCTAGACCACCTCTCAGAGCTCCTGGAAATGAGGTCCTGGGACATGGAGTCAGCACACGTTAGCAAGCACAAGAGGACTCTTCCCCTGTACAGGCAGCATTCGGTTAGGTGACTGCACCTGCCTTGGTTCACCTTGCCTACGCCCATGTTTCCTCCAAAAACCAACCTCAGGATAACCATTGTCCCCCTTCCATGGAAGACACAGAACCCCCTGCCCTGCTTGCATCCCAGAAGTGTGAGTAAGAGAGTATGAACTTGATGGCGGGACAGGACCATAGATGGACAGAAACACCCCAACTCTCAACCTTCTCACTCCAAAATAATAAGTTCTGGGGCCTGGGGGTGAGGGCAAAGTTTGTGCCCAGGGCCAGGAGAGGACAACAGTGCTCCCTTCCAGCAGAGGATGCAAGTGGTAGGACTCCTGACAGAGTGTGGGTAGGACACAGGCCTGGGAGCCGGAGCCTTGGAAGGGCGTGAGGAAAGAAGGAGATAGGGCAGTGAGCCTCTTAGGCCTCTCTCTCCTACCCGAACTCTGCCTGTGCCAAGGGCTGGGGAGGGGCTACCTGGGCAGTGGCAGGGCCAAGTGCTCTCCAACCCCACAGCACCGCTGCTTTGCTCCGCCCATCCTCTGCCTGTGCTCTCACGGTAGTGCTGGGGCGCATATGCTGCTCAGTCCCCACCAGCATGGATGCCAAGTGTGGGAGGGCAAGCTTGTGCCTCACCATACACCATCCTGGAAGGAAGAATCCGCTGATTTTCCTCTCTTCCTCTGGTAGGAGGCCTGGGGAGGCAGGGAGGACAGCTGTGAGGCTGTTTGGGAGTCCTGGGAGGAGCTGAAGAAGGGGCAGAAAGTGCCGAGTGCCCACCCTGGCCCTCAGCTGCAACCCTGCCTGGCTGAGGGAGTGACAGCACCGGACTCCTCCCTCCACTCCACTCAACCCTGAGTGCCCAAGAAGTTATAAAAATGTAGAAAAGGCAAAGAGAAAAGTGTAAACAGCTTCAGAGGACAGGGGTGAATAAGGGGAGACAGCCCTCATGCTCCCCCTGCTGTTGGCGACACCTGCATCCTGCGTTGGTGTATCCAAGATGGGTGTCCCCACACCCTCCTCAGGCTCCCGGAGCAGGGATGGAAGAAAGCTGAAAGGGAAGCAAGAGCTGGAGCAGCCAGCCCTGGCTGGGTCTTTTCCCAGATCCTTAGGATCTTCCTTTTAGCCATGGGATATTAAAGATCCCAGAGCAAGGGGCTGTGTTTGTTCTTAGTCTCCTCAGTGACTCTCTTGTCTCCGGGCAGGCCTTGATAGAAAGAACCACATCCGTGCCCCCTGTAGATCTCAGCTGCCACATCCACCTCCTCCTCGACTCCTGATCTCAGAAGCCAAATGACCTGCTGAGGCAGCCTCTCCACCCTCCCCATGGACGTGCCCTTCAGGCAGCCTCCCCTGCGCCTGTCCAGCCATGTCCAACAGCCCCTGAGGTCTGTTCTCTCAGTAGGGATGAGCTGGGGCCACAGCCAGAGAAAACAGAGTTGGGAAAAGCAAGAGTGAAATGGAGAAAGGAGGCATTCAGACAGCAGAGTTACAGCTCCTGGAAGACGAAATCGGGGCGTGAAGAACTGAGATCCAGTCTTGAGCACAGCTGCGCTGCCCCCGTCCTCAGGGTGCACACACTGGAGGCTTTGTCGGCACAGACCCAGAAGCCCACAGCCCAGGTCCTTCTCCACAGCCACACCAAGCTCACGGCCATCTAGTTGCCCAGGTCTCAGTTCCCAGGCCTGTGGGTTTCTAGAGTGTAAGCCTGGATAAAATCCCATCCTGGTCCTCCATTTCCAGGAGAGGACTGGAAGCTCCTGGGTTCCCCAATGTTGTCTGCCCAGTTTCAGCTGTACTGCTGGGGGGAGGGAGGGTATGGGTCACAGCCATGGCCCTCAGGTGGGAGTGGAAGGCAGGGCATTGGGGGAGGAAACTAGTTGTTGGCCTCGCCTTCCTCCTCATCAAAGGACTGCACACCTGAGGATGTGACGTCAGACACCTTCCGGCTGAGAGCGGTAGACATCTCAGGGTCTTCTCGTGGGGAAAGTGACTCCAGGTCCCGGCATCCCGCATCCTCTTCCTCCTCAGGTGCCAATGGCCTCTTCTCCTCCTCAGCAGGGCCCCTTGCCAGGTCCACTGCGCCTACCCCCGGAGCCCAGTCAGTGTCTCCCCCCAGCAAAGGTGGAGGCTCCAGAGCAGAGTATCCTGAAGCTGGTTGGGAAGGTCCCATTTCATGCAAGCTGGGTTGTGAGTCATCAAATGCAGGCCCAAGATAGGATCCTGTGGCCGGAGAGGCAATGAGGGACTGATCGCTGGCTTCCCAGGCATCTGACGACCCCAGACAGTACATACCCTGGGACACGTAAGAGTGAGGCCATCCATCCATGGGTGCTTGAGCCAGGGCATCTGGAAAAAGAATCATGGAGGTCAGTGGGGCCACAGAATGTCAAGGGCAGGAATGACAGCACAGACAGCACAAGAGACAGCTAAGAGACAGCACAGAGAACTGGCAGTAAGACACAGAGTGCACAGTGAGTAGGGAGGACAATGGGAAAGCTGAGATGGACAAGGAAGTCTTAAAAGAACGGAGCTGAGTGGAGGCAGCTGAGATAGTTGGGGAGGCCTCATAGGCTCCAGAGTTTGGATTCTGGAACATCTCTCACCCTGACTGTCCATCAGTTCCTGGTAGTTGTCACTGTAGTTGCAGCCCAATGGCTCCTGGGTGGAGTTCACACTCATGTCCTCACCATCCATGGAAGACCAGGCCATGAGTGTGGCCTCAGAGATAGCAAACTGCTCCATGACGCCTGGGGGAAGAAATGCAACAACCACAAAATACCTCAGGGAATCCTTAGACATGTGCGTGGGGTAGGAAAACATCTTAGTGCAGCACTGTTCAGTAGAAATATAATGCAAGCCACTTATATCATTTTAAATTTTCCAGTAGCCACATTTAAAATTAAAAAGAAACAGGTTAAATCAATTGAAATAATAGATCTTATTTAATTCGATATATAAAAAGATTTTCATCTCAACATATAATCAAAATAAAAGTTATTAATGAGATATTTTACATTCTTTTATTTATATGAAGCCTTTGAGATCCAGCTGGTATTTTATACTTATAAGCACATCTCCATTCAGAAGAGCCACATTTCAAGTTCTCAATAACCACATGAGGCCAGTGGCTAATGTATTGGACAGCACAGCCTTTGTGTATGTCCCCAGAGAAGGGAGAATTGTAGGGGACTTCCTAAAAAATCAGATTTAGGATTCCTAGGGGAAAGAGTTAGGGGTCTTCTGATGAGATATCCTAAGAGATTCAAATTCGAGATTTCCAGATATTTATCTTTGGAGGTTTTTAGGAATTGCAGTCTAGAGAGTAGATTTCAAGATCAACAGAGAACCCCCAAGAGAGCATCGTGGGCTTGTGGGTCCACCATAATATAAAACTGAAATTCAAGGGATTGGAAGGAAAAGGGGATGGGTAGACCTGGGGATCCCTATTCTAGTCAAATCCATGAGCGTGTTGAAGCTGGTACTGCTCCTGCCCCCCACCCTACATGTTTGTCACCCTGTTCACTGATATTTCTCCTCCCACCCATACCACCAACTCAATACTTCCTTTCTCTTCCAGACCTATCCCTTTCTAGGCATCTTATTTAGACCTGCACTACAGCTTGGCCACTCTTGTAGGCACACTGCATGCCTGTTATCAGACCTACACTACTTTCCTGGAACTAAACCTCTTCTGTAGGCCTCCCGTCTCTCACACAGTTCCCTTAATCTTCTAGTGGTTGTCACAAGTAATGAGTCTAGTAGGCAAATTCATGACTCGAAATGCTAAAGGGCAAAGGCTAAAAGAGATCCCCAAGGCCTTTCTTTCTTTCAAAGACCAAGGTCTCCCCATTTTTTTCCCTGCACTTGAGGGAGTTCAGGTTTGGATAGTCCCGTGATGAGGAGAGAAGGCATCTGGGATGGGTGGACCCACAAATCCCATCTAATTACACGCATTTTCTGAGATGATTATAAAAATATGTTTGAGGGCACTTATTTGAATTACCACATCAAAATACTTAGAGCTGTTTGGGAAATGTGAATCTACGGTCAAAGTATGGATGGAGCTAATCCTGCCACAGGGGATCAGGTTGGAGGGTCGGTCCCTGGCCATCCTGCAAATGTGTCTCTTGAGGCTTTAGGGTACCTGTACCTGCTAGAAAACGTGCCTCCTTCTCGCCATCGCTGAGGTCGGAGTAGGCATCCGTATCCCTGCGCACGGACTCATGGCTGTGTTGTGGCTGAACAGCTGGTGTCTTCCCCCAGCCCTGCCACTCAATCATGTGGGCCACCCGGCCTTGCCCCATGGCTGTGGGCTTTGTCACATGGTCCTTCATGCTCCGTGAGATCCCTATGGGGCCAGACATTTCCCACATCCTCCAGAATATCACACAATACCCATAACCAGACCCTCCCAGTTCCTCCCACCCCAGCCCCATGAGGCTCCATCCCACTGGGCCAGGCTCCCCTAAGGACTCCATAGATGGGGTAGTGGAGGGAATGGCCTGGAGGATGGGAGGCTTGACAGAAGGGTGAATAGGTCAGGGGGTGGGGATGAGGGTCTTCATCAACCTCGAAGGAGCAGGGAGACTGAGCCAAGGAGTCTGTCAGCATTATTTTGTCTGAAGGCATTCTTACATCAGGAGTCTCACCTGAGAATGATGACTTGGCCAGGGCCCCAATGCCATAGGCGTTAGAGTTTCGCTTAAGCTTCGGAAGAATGGAAGTGGTGTCCTCCATGGAGAGCTGGGATGGGAATGTGGGAGGAAGGGCAGAGGAATAAGAAGGTACGGGCGTGCTTTATACATGGAGGAGGTTCATGGTTTCCAGGAAAAAGCATTCGAGCTAGGGCAGATGATAAGAAAAGCTACTATACCCAAGAGTCCCAAGGAGGGATATATCCCCAGTGCTCTGGAAAACTGGGGCACAGGTTGAGAACGTGAGTGCTCACAGTGCCTATTGGAGCCAGGGAATACCGTGCTGGTTGGAAGGTGCAAGGGAGAAGATGAGGAGGAGGAGTTCGGGAGGATGGGGAGGTCTGGGGGCAGCTGCACTCACGTTGATGCCGTCCCAGGAGAAATCAGTTCGAGTTTGCTGTGAGGAGAGAGGAAAGGGAATGGGCATCCCAGTCACTCGCAGGAATGCAAGGAAGCCCCCTTCCTCAGAGGGCCTTCCAGGAGTGCGGGATGTGGGGAGGGCTTTCCTGAGGTTGATGCCGCTAACTGGGTTCTCCATGTGGACTGCTTGGCATGTGTTGTGAGAAATGTTCTGTAGAAGTGTCAGTCTGAAGGAGTGTTTGGGTTGTTGCCTTGGAATTGAGGAAGTGCAGGCAGCCAGAGACTTGGGGTGGCTGAGTGAGGTCTCACCTCAGTCGATGGCCGATGGAGGCTGCTCCCGTGCAGTGAGCTGGTGCTGTCCATGTTGATTTGATCGACATCCTTCAGGCCCTTCCAATCCACTGCAATCACCTCATTCCCTGAGGGGGCCAGAAGGTTAGCCGCCGGCCCTCACCTCCCTGTGCAGCCGAGGCGACACCCTGGGGCCAGCCCTTCACACCCCTTCCTTACCCCAGCTGCCCATTTCCTCTTATATCCCTGCACTCTCCAAATTCTAGGGGAGACAAGTAGTAATGCTGAGCCCAAATATTCAGTTTTAGCTCAACCCAGAATAGTGCACTCAGAAAAAGTGATGTATGGCCTTATTTGTTGTTGTTTATGTGGAGGGGTCAGAGGTTGGGTTTTATCAGAAAACCAATTATTCCGTCCTGAGGACTCTTGGAGGGTTTCTGTATGGGAGCTGGGCTTTTTCTCTATTACAAGTCTACAGATAAGGGCAGAGCTGCTCTATGAGGAACTTTTCTCTATGCTTAGGGTGGAAGGGATGTGTCTCCCCCGGTGGGCCCTTCCTAAGAGTCCATGAGTCTGACTGACTGGAAGAGGACTTCCTGGGAATCGAGGCAGGAGTTGGATAGCAAGGAGTTGGGTGTGTCCTCCCAAAAACAGTGAGCAGAGAAACCAAGGGTGAGCTGGAGGCATTTCACCTGACTGTGGGGAGAGAAGTGATGGATTAAAGTGGAGGGAAGCTGGTGAGCAGGAGGAGAAAAGAGAACTTTTTAAAATAGGAATTAAGAAAATAGGAATTCAAGTCAGAGAGAAGACAGAAGATGGTGGGAGGGGTGGACAGGGTCTGAGGGCTGAGTGGGAAACTGCAGGACTCAGGGGAAGGAGGGTCCTTGTTACAGCCGGGCCAGAGCTCCTGGTGGAGGGAGACTCCTGGACTGAGGGCAGGATGGTGCCGCGGAGAGTCTTGCGGAAGAACTGCTTGGGTCTTCATAAAGGGACTATTCAAGCAGCAGATGGCTGCCTGAACCATCTGACCGTACAGGCCCTTTATACTCATGAGGTTTTACAATTGTGAGTTTAGGGGTCGGCTCCATTTTTGGGAAGGGGAGCATTGAATGGGGCTGGGCACGAGGAGGCATTCAGCACATCAGCAGGGCTGGGGGAAAGGAAGGGGCTTGTGGTGAACCGGACTGAGGAGGGAGGACCCTCCAAAGTTGGCCTGCTGTCCCCTGGGGCTCCGCGGGGTGGTGACTGGGGGAAAAGAGGAAAGATGGCCCTCCGGACACAGCAGGAATGGGGCAGGTGGAGAAGAGCCTGAGGAGAAGGGAGACAGGGGAGGGCGGGGTGCGGGGGGAGAGGGGAGCGGGAGGTGGCCTTTGTGAGAGACGGAGAGCTGAGTCAGAGCTGTGGGGGGCAGCGGGGAGGGAGAGAGCCGCGGAGAAGGGGTGAAAGCAGAGGAGGAGGGGGTATCCATGGAAATAAACCGGGTCTCAGGGAAATCAGGCTTCTGGAGAGTGAGTTTGTTTGTAATAATAATACGAATTATTCTCTCAGCCTGAGGTCACCGGGAGGTGTAGGCGGGAGAAATTGGGAGTTGGAAAGGGGAAGAATGGGGGAGGGGGTGGGAGAGGGCCGGATGAATTCGCTGAGCGGCGAGAGTGGAGTGGGTGCCTGGGTGGGGGTCAGGGGCGGTAGCCAGGCAGAAGCTGGAGGGAGAAGATGGATTAGGAGGCGCCTCTCTTCCCTCCCCGCGTCAAAGGTAAATAAAGAGCCGGCCCCGCCCCGCCGGCCCCCGCTGACAGGTGCAGGCGGGTCCCCGGCCGCCGAGGCAGGGCCGGCCCCACCCTCCCGGGCCGCGGGCTCCCGACCCCTCCCAGCGCCTCGAAGCCCCCATCTCCTCCCCGCGTCCCCCAGCCCCTTCCCTCCACCCGGCCCTGGCCCTGTCCCTCCGGGCGTGGAACCCGGGCTCATCCCGCCCCCGCCCCAGAGGGAAAACGCACGTGAACAAAGCGAATCGGAGGAGGCAGGAACGACAGTAAAAGGCAACGGAGAGGGAGAGAGAGATGGGGCAAAGCACCCGAGCCAGATGGAGGCGGCGGCGGGGGGTGGCGTGGGGGGCGTGCGAAAGAAACTCGGGGCTGGCGCGGAGGCCGAGGGTCCTTCGCGGGGGGCTGCTCCGGAGTGGGGGATGCGAGGAGGCGCTGGGGACGGCGGAGCAGAGGCGGATGGCCTGGAGGGGCAGGGATGAGGGGACCGAGCGTCGGGCCGAGAGGCAGAGGAGAGGAGGGCGATGGAGAGGATGGAGAGGACCGCGCCTGCGGGAGGGCGACGGGGAGAAGGAAGCGAGCCGAGCGGGATGGCAGCCCCGGAGGCGCAAGACGAGAGCGGGCAGGAAGGAGGGACAGAGGGACCGCGGGCGGACGGAAGGAAAGTGAAGGAGCTAGCAGGGCAAGGCGGGTGCGGAGCGGGGCGCCCGGAGGCGCGAGGAGAGGGATGGGGGAGGGGGTCGGAGGGCGGCCCGGGGGGCCCAGCCCTGCCCCCGCCCGGCCGCGGTACCCACCCACAGTCCGGGAGCCGATGCAGCCCATGGCTCCGGGGGCCGCAGAGCCGGGCCCTCACCGACTCGGGGCGCGCGCCGGGGGGAGCACCGGGAGCCGCGCCGCCGCCCCAGCCGCTCTGCAGCGCCGCGGCTGTCTCCGCTCGGCTCCGCTCCCCCCTCCCCTCTCCATCCCTCCCCACGGCAGCTCCGTCGCCGCCGCCGCCGCCGCCGCCGCCGCCGCCTGGCTCCCCCGCCCCGGCTCGGCTCGCCGCGGCCGGGGAGGGGGCGGCCCGGGGATTGGCTGCGCCCCGCGCCTCCCCGCCCCTGCTCCGGCCGTGCCGGGGCGCTCCCTCGGGGATCTGGGGCCGCCGTCGCCGCCCCCCTCCTCCCGCCCGTGCCAAGCCCCGCTCCCGGGGCTCTCTCCTGGAGAACCCCGGCTTGGGTTTCAGGAGCCGAGGCACGAACCCAGGGCCTACCCCGAGGTTCTGGTTGATGGATTTTGCGGGCCGGGGTCAGGGGATGCCCTGAGAGAAAGTGGGGTGGTGGTGAGAATAAAGCCAGGCCCAAGGGCCTTTGGCCACCAAATTCCGCAAACACTTGTTTTCCTCCTGGGGCCGCATCTGGGACACACACAGGAACGTGATTGGACACAGCTTTGGGCTCTGTTGTTTCGAGTGCGCTATTTTGTCCATCCAAACAGAAGGTGAAGTCTTTGCAAGTGAATCGTGTAGTCCACTTCTCTGTGCTCGCTGGACATTCAGGGGTGGGTGTGGGGATGTGCAGATAGTTGACCTCCAGGCCTGGTTGGGGATTGGAGAATATGAGGAGGACAGTTCATTCGCAGTAGACTAACAACAATGTCAGGACCCGAGGCTGGCTAGGAGACATCGTCTTGAATCCAGTTTAACTTTTCTGAGACGTGATCTTCTCGGACAAATGAAAGCAAGGCGGTCCCGAAGCAGCAAAGAGAGAGAAAGATTGGCCTCTGGCTAGTGGGACTGGGCCAGGTAGATACCTCAAGCCCCATGGGGAGGAGATGAAGGTCTAAGTTGCAAGGGTTAAATGAGCACTGTGGTTACAGCAGGTAAGAAGTGGAGTCCAGAAAAGATGCATGAGAAAGGGCAAGGAGACCCTTTTGTCTAAGGTGTACCCAGAAAGCCCAAAGTGTGAGAGAGTGGGCAGGTGGGCATTCACAGAAGCAAGTGCCCATCCAGGCTCTGACTGCACCTCGCCCACTTTTAGGTCTCTCCGAGGTTGCAGAGAGAGAAGGCAATGGGCCAGGGGTCCCTGGTGTGGGCTCCTAACAGGGAGGCTAAGTCTTATGGATGCAACTTTCTAACCTTTAGATTATGAATGGAGAGCTACATCCCATGGGGTGGCAGATGAAGATGTGCAAGAAGAAGACACTAACAACTGAATTGCAGATTGAGGAGATGAGATTATGGTGACAGAATCCATCTTCGGTGTATGTGCATGAAGAAATAAGCCAAATCTACATCTATAAAACCGCGGGAAGGAATGAGATAATAATCAGTTGCAGGTCTGCTTAGATTTTAATCGTTTAGTGTAGTTCGTGGCAGGGTCTGATACCCTATTTCAATAGTGGAGAGAATTAGAAAGCATTTTCTTTTTTCATATCTACTATTATTGGTTATATAAAAGAAGTATCAAATAGTTTCTGCTTTCATGGAATATACTGTCCAGTCGCAAAGGAAAGAAGATGGAGAGATGATTAAAAAAAAAAAAAAGAACAAACAGCTTCCATTATTCTAGCAATGCCCACACACCCCTATTGTTTGAGCAGAGAAAACGCTGACAGGGGACTGGCCAGGTAAGGAGGAACAGACCACGTGGCCATTATGCTCTTGCCTTCCCACCTGAAACTTCTGTCTCCTTATGGCTCTCCCTGAGTAATACATATATTTATATATGACTACGTATCTCTTACTGTGGTTCCAACTTGGATGCAAACCTCTCCCCTTGGTCTCCTTAACACAACTATATAAGGCTGCATTTATCCAAATGATTTAACATGAGGGATTCCAGGTCTTGGAGACTCAGTCCCATCTTGCATTCTGTCTTGAAGGTATTTCCAGTCCCTCCCCACTACCCACACAAAAAAAGTAAAATATTCTAGGCATATTCCTGGCCAGCTTCCTTCCTGCTCCCTATAGGTCTTCTTATACAAGGATTCTGCTACTTCTCACTAGTTAAGGCCATTGTCCCAGTCTCCTTGCCAAAGAGGTCCAGGGCACAAAAAAAGTTTAAGAACTTCTGGACTTTAAATACATACTTGGCGGGGGGGTTCTCTAATTCTGCAGGGGCTTAACCCCCAAATAAAATGATCAGGCAAGACACTTATCCCATTTTGAAGCTGGGGTCCCCAGGAATAATTGTAGGTACTTCGGTGGTACCTGCAGGATTGAAAGAAGGTACCAAAGCTTCACACTGATCCCCACAAATGGAGAGATGGCTCCAAAACACAACTTAATCAAGTGTTCCTTTTATTTTATTGGGATATATTAGATCAAAGTTAAAGGTCTATGAAAAGATTCAATTGAGAAAGGGAAGCTCAAAGTACAAGAGAGGGGAAGATTAATTAATATTGAATGTAAATTCCTAAAACCACCTGGAGGGATGGGAGCAGAGCTCAGGGAGGGGGATGAGACTGTACAGGAGGAGCCCAGCTCTTCTTCCAGCAGCAGGGAAGACGGGGCAGATGCCAGTGGGCTGCATGTTTGGTGTCAGGAGAATGAGGGATTCCCATCTGACGGCATCTACTTTCTCTGACAAGAAGGAGGCAAGATCATTTATTGAGAGTCAGAATGAGAGAGATAGAGAAAAAAATAAAACTCACTTTAAAGTGCAAATATCAATATACAATTGATTTAAAGAATAGAGTTTTCAGTCTATTCTTCCAAACCTCTAAGAAAGATATTCTTCTTGCATTGCAGTTGAGAGAACTGGGGCTGATAATTCAATTAACTTCCTTTTCCCTAAGATTTCCCAGTTGGAAAGAGAAAAAGCTAGCACTTTTTTGTTTGGCATTTTGTTTTGTTTTGTTTTTGAGACAGGGTCTCACGCTTACCCAGCCGGAGAGCAATGGCATGATCAAAGCTCACTGCAGCCTCGAGCTCCTGGGCTCAAGTGATCCTCCTGCCTCTGCCTCCCAAGCAGATGGAACTACAGACATGTGCCCCAACCCTCGGCTAATTTTTTGTATGTGCCTATTTTAGTAGAGGTGGGATTTCACCATGTTGTCCAGGCTGGTCTAGAACTCCTGGCCTCAAGAGATCCACCCGCCTTGGTCTCCCAAAAGGTTAGGATTACAGGCGTGAGCCACCACGCCTGGCTTACTAATTTTTTAATTTTTATTTTTGTAGATGGGGGTCTCACTATATTGCCCAGGCTGATCTTGAACTCCTGGCCTCAAGCAATCTTCCTGCCACAGGATCCCAAAGTCCTTGAATTACAGGTGTGAGCCATCGCACCTGGCCAAAAAAGCCAGCATTTAAACTCAGCTCCTCAGAGGGAAAATCTATTCTGGATGTTGTAGAAAGTGCTTTATTTGTTCACTTAAAAAAACTAAAGTTACTCAACTCAGGACATTTGAATGGATACACGTTCTTTCACGCTTGTCTTTTTTTAATTAAGGTGGGACCATAAACTGAAGAGAGGAATACATCTATCTACATTTCTAAATTTTGAAATGGGAAAGCAATGATCTTTCTTCAGAGTGATTTGTAGCAATAAGTCTTTGGTGCTTTCATAAAATACTGATGATAAGTGTCTTAGTCCCTACTTATCAATGTCCTTGTATGGTGTTAGAGTATCTATCTTCAGGCAGCCCTGAAGATCAGTCAGCTTTGGGGCACTCCTAGTGGTTCTCAAATACCCTATTTGCTAAAGGCCAGAAGTGAGAGTGCTGATGCTGGAAAACATTGGTAAGAATAGTCTTGGGGACTAGGTGGAAATCACGAGGGTCAGTAACAAAGGTCTGTATTCTTTTTTTTTTTTTTTTGAGACAGAGTCTCACTCTATCACCCAGGCTGGAGTGCAGTGGTGAGATCTCGGCTCACTACAACCTCCACCTCCCAAGTTCAAGCAATTCTACTGCCTTAGTCTCTAGAGTAGCTGGGACTACAGGCACCCGCCACCATGACTGGCTAATTTTTGTATTTTTAGTACAGATGGGGTTTCACCATGTTGACCAGGCTGGTGTCGAACTCCTGACCTCAGGCGATCTGCCCGCCTTGGCCTCCCAAAGTACTGGGATTACAGGTGTGAGCCAATGCACCTAGCCTGAGGTCTGTTTTCTTTAAAATGAGAATGATTTCCTAAATATTCAGTCAACAGGAGGACCAAGAGTGGGGTTTAGGGGCATTAGGTTGCTGACAAGGGACCCCATTCATACACAGGGGCAGACTCAGAGGCAAGTCATGGATGAGTGCAGATGTTTGTAGTGTGTAAGTTGTATTCCCACATAGTAGGAAGTGGCCATAGAATCTGTCCTAGTGGTCGATATAGTTCTCCCCCGACCCCTACCTGCCATCCCCAGCTGGTTTCCCAGAGTAATCAACAGATGAGGGTCCTGGCCATTGTGCTGGGGCACAGCAAGTTTGCTGAGGAAGGATGGCTCAGCCAGTTAGTTATAGAGGATGAGAGGGTCCATGGCAGAAGTTCTGTGGTTTCAGCGTTGGTGGTGGGGACAAAAAGCCCTCACATTACCAATCTCTGATCTGTTGGACACTATGAAAGAGACCAGCACAGGACATGCTCATTTGACTTTTAGACAAGGTTTGAAATCTTGTAAAATATTGGGGATCTAAGGTGAGCTCACTCCCACTTTTAGTTAGAAAAGAAAGCTTATCTCTGGGCACGGTGGCCCACACCTGTAATTTCAGTACTCTGGGAGACCAAGGCGGGCAGATCATGAGGTCAGGAGTTTGAGACCAGCCTGACCAATATGGTGAAACTCCGTCTCTACTAAAAATACAAAAATTATCCGAGCATGGTGGTGTACACCTGTAATCCCAGCTACTCAGGAGGCTGAGGCAGGAGAATCGCTTGAACCCGGGAGGTGGAGGTTGCAGTGAGCCAATATCACGCCACTATACTCTAGCCTGGGTAACAGAGCAAGACTCCATCTCAAAAAGAAAGAAAGAAAGAAAGCTTATCGGCATGGGCAAACGTGGCAGGCACATTCTCCTTAGTGTAGTCCCCAGGCGCACACCTCCATGAGCCAAAGCCCTCCTGCATGGGCAGGTCAACGTCCCCAAATCACGTTCTGTAGGATTCAGCAGAAGAGAATGCCCAGACAACTGCTTCTTTGGTGACTGTCATAGAGCCTATGCTTCAGATGACCAAGGGGATGCATTTGCCCTGTGTTTTCTTTGGGAAGCACATTTGTGGGAAAGCCTGCAACCCCTACTGCAGATTTAGGGGTTCCATCCAAACATTCTGATAAGAAAGGCCAAGCCAGCAGATCGCGCCTGCATATCTGCCAGAGAGCCTGGAAGAATGTCAGCGCTTTCCTGCTGCTTCCTGGTCAGGTCCCAAGCACACACAGCACCTCAGGGTGTCCTCACCATGACCAGGCCACAAGCAGCAGCGACCAGGCAGGATGCCAGGACCAAGGAGGCAGGGCATAGAGTCTGGGCAACCATGAGTCAGAGGCCAGGTGGGTAGTAAAAAATGGAGTTCATAAATCCCAGAGAGAAGAACCAGATGGGATTTTTAAAGGTCAAGCCAATCCCAGAGCACTGACAAAGAGAGGGAAAGATCAAATAAAGAATACAAGGCAGTTGTTTGTTCCAGCCTCAGTAGGCCTATCTGCCAGTTTTATATTCCTTCCTCCATGGAGAACCAATGAGAACCAGGAACTGGAAGGCTTGTCCTGATTGTCTCCGATGCCTGCCTGTCTAGTATTTATGAACTCAGGGGAGAGGGGCAACAGATGTCATATCACACCTCTGAAGCCTCCCTGTCTCCCCTGCTGGGACCCTTTAGCCCTCACCTGTATGCACATTCCTCTAGGAGAGAGCTCCTGCCTTGTGCTTACAAGCCATCCTCCCCAGCTTCTGCCTCTGAACCACAGCCTGATGGTTGAGGCTCTATTACTACCTGTCAGACTTCTCTATCACCAGGCACAGCTGACAGCCTACCTCTCAGATTCCTGGATATATTTTCCTTCTGAGTTCCCCAGTTCTTTTCCTTTGCTAGCTTTTGGGATATCCTGCAACTTCAGCTTGGATTCCTCTTACAAACACTTGTTTGGACGGAGATCTGTTTCACCTACAAAGTCTAACTACCTGAAACCTTTTATCCTTTCCTGCAACTGATCCTGTTCCTAAATAATGTGTTTAATACATAGTGGGTAGATGTAGCTCCAGTTGGCTATGTCTTTATTTAAGTGAGCCAATCAAGTCCAGAGAAAAAACAGTGAAGGCATTTTCCCGACAGTGAAAGAGTGGTGGATATATAGGGCATTAGTTACAGATGACTGAGTGTTAAAACTGGTTGAATACTTAGAAATCAAGTTCCTTGCTGTACTTCCACAGACAAGGAAAATTCACCTCTCAGATTTTTACAGTCACACACTTAGTAAGTGGCTGAGTTAGTAAGTGGCTGAACTGTAACCAAAATTCAGGTCCTCTAATTCTTAGTCTAACATTCTTTTCCCTATCCTAAGATGCACCCCTAAAGCTATGTTACATTATTTTTCTATGACTTTTATTATAACATTAAGCCCTGTTGAAATAAGCTCAGGCCTCATAATCTTTTTGCTTATGGAGACTGTTCAACTTCTTGCAGATAAAACAGGTTAAAAAAATGTTTTGGCCGGGCGCGGTGGCTCACGCCTGTAATCCCAGCACTTTGGGAGGCCGAGGAGGGTGAATCACCTGAGGTCAGGAGTTCGAGACCTGCCTGGCCAACACGGTGAAACCCCGTCTCTACTAAAAATACAAAAATTACCCGGACATGGTGGTGGGCACCTGTAGTCCTAGCTACTCGGGAGGCTGAGGCAGGAGAATTGCTTGAACCCAGGAGGTGGAGGTTGCAGTGAGCTGAGATCGCACCACTGCACTACAGCCTGGGCGACAGAGCGAGAATCCGTCTCAAAAAAAAAAAAAAAGTTTTAAGCGAGTAGATCTCCTCATAAGCATTCTTACCAACCACAATAAAATTAAAAGAAAAAAAAAGACCATTGTTCTTTCTAACTTAGGAGTTCAGAGCTCATTTAAGAATGGGTACTTAATCCTAGTGTATAGGTTCAGACCACCGTTTGGTTAAGGTTTTGTGATGGTGATAAGCTAATAGGGACAAGGCATTGCTCTCCTGGGTGGGGGTCCACTTGAAAGCTGTTCACTCACTGAATCAATCAATCACAATTATCCTGCCAGGGCACCCACACAGGCAGGAAGGTCCAAAGGACACTGGAAATTTTGAACGCCAGGTGCTGGGTGTTTCTCTCTTTAACTTAAAGAAGAATTTCCTTTCCAACCTCTTTGTTCATGTATATGCATGAGGTGGCTAGTGGTAGTCAAGCCTGAATTTTATTACTGATGGTGGAAAACTGTGTTGGGGGCAGGGCCAAGGAATGCAAGCAATGTCTTCCTTCTAAGGTGGGAGCTGGAATTTGCCCCTTGATCTTTCTCTTCCTGGAGCTCTAGTTTCTCTCACAGCCAAAATTTTTGAAAGAGCTGCCGGCACTCATCTTCTCCATTTCCTTACTTCTCTGCACTCCTCAACTTACCCAATCTGGCATCTTCACTCTACTGAAGCAGCTCACACGGGGGGCTCCCCTGTCAGAGGCAATTGAACCAGAGCAACTCCATCTTGAATAGGAGCTGGGTAAAACAAGGCTAAGACCTGCTGGGCTGTGTTCCCAGACGGTTATGGCATTCTAAGTCACAGGATGAGATAAAAAGTTAGCACAAGACATAGGTCATAAAGATCTTGCTGATAAAACAGGTTGCAGTAAAGAAGCTGACTAAAACCCGCCAAAACCGAAATGGCGACGAGAGTAACCTCTGGTCTTCACTGCTACCCTCCCACCAGCGCCAACAAATGCCATGGCGACCTCAGGAAGTTACCTTATGGTCTAAAATGGGGAGGTATGAATAACCTACCCCTTGTTTAGCATATAATTTAAAAAAATACACACACATGAAAATGGGCAACCAGCAGCCCTCAGGGCTGCTCTGTGTGTGTAGTAGCCATTCTTTATTCCTTTATTTTCCTAATAAACTTGCTTTTACTTTCCTCTATGGACTCGCCCTGAGTTCCTTCTTGTGCGAGATCCAAGAACCCTCTCTTGGGGTCTGGATTGGGACTTCTTTCCAGTAACACCCTTAGCCTCCATGTTAACAGATTTTGTTCATTTCTAACCTTAAGTGGCACATCAGGGGCATTTCATACCCTCGTGAGGGACTCATGGTTACTCCCTCATTCCCAAACACTCTTTCTTGGTTCTCCTCTTGACTTTCCGGCTGCTCCTTCTTTGTCTTTTTTTGTTAGTTTTTTCCATTATTCATTCATTCATTCCATATTACAGGTATTTAAGGAGCACCTACCTACTCTATGTCAGTACCTCTCTAGGTTCTACGATCCAAAACTCCTGCTGTCACGGAGCTTATAGTCTAGTGAGAAGTGGTGGGGCAGAAACAGCAATACAACAATTAAGAGACTGAATTGTTTGGTGGGGGAGTGCCAAAACCCAGGATGGAATGATATATTTAAGGTGATAATTACTATGAAGAAAAATTAAGGAAGGGCCAGGCGTGGTGGCTCATGCCTGTAATCCCAGCACTTTGGGAGGCTGATGTGAGAGGATTGCTTGAGCTCAGGTGTTCAAGACCAGCCTGGGCAACATATGGAGACCTTGTCTTTACAAAAAGAAAAAGAAAATTAGCCAGGCCTGGTGGCACATGCCTGTGGTCCCAGCTACTTGAGAAGCTGAGATGAGAGGATTGCTTGGGCCTGGGAGGTAGAGGCTGCAGTGGGCCATGATTATGCCATTGCACTCCAGCCTGGGCAACACCGCAAGACCCTGTCTCAAAAAAAAAAAAAAAAAAAAAAAGAAAAGAAAAAAAGAAAGGAGAGGTGGATAATAATGAAAGGGCTGGTATATGTCATTCTAAACTGGATGGTCATGGGAGGCCTCACTGAGAGGTCAGCATGTGAGGAAGGCTATGATGGAGATAATGGGGTGATCCATACAGATGTCTGTGGAAGAACCTTCCCAGCAGAGAAACTAGCAAATGCAAGGCCCTGAGATGGGAATGTGCCTTACACATTGGAGGAACAGTAACAAGGCCATTGTGGCTGAGGCAAAATGATTGCTGGGAGATGAGGCCAGAGAGCATGTGGGATTAGTTTGATTTGATGTAGGTAGAGCCTAGGAAAGGTTTTTTTTCAATTTGTTTAATTTTCTCCTTGCAACAGGAAGCAAGGCATCAGCTATGCATGAGGATGTGGAAGGAGATGTGGAGAGAGAGGAGAAGGTCTAGAAGCCTTCTGAGAGAGTCAGAGTGGGAGAGTGGATGGAAAAACGAGACTGGTATGTTTATCAGGACGTAGAAAGGTCAGATGGCATCTGCAGCTCACAGCCATGGAGTTTACAATGAGATCTGTCAGAAGGGCTGTATGTTTTTCTGTAGTGCCACCCAGCTGTGTGGGTGCAGGCATGGAGTTGGTAGAATTGGACTCAGCCCAGGCTGGGGTTTTGCCAAGTGAGCACCACAGGGTGAGAAAGAGGCACAGGAAGTTGAGACAGATGTAAGGGAGTGACTGTAATGATTGTCCAGGAAATGTGAGCTGGTATGGACGTGAATGGCAAGTTCCAGTGGGCCAAGGGATTGTCGAAGCACAAAAAGAGAATGACTAGAAAAATAGAAGGAGCTGGTTGGAGAAAGTGTGGCTTAAAATTAGGATTGTACAGAGATGGCTCAGGGTCTATTTAGAACTTGCTATGCAATGTGGGAGCCACCAGCAATGTGTAACCTTTGAGCACCTGCAATGGGACTAGCGTGAATTGAGACATGCTGTAAGTGTAAAATACACACCAAATTCCCATGACTTAGTGCCAAAAAAGTAAAATACCTCATTAATAATTTTTAAGGCCTGGCACAGTGGCTCATGCCTGTAATCCCAGCACTTTGGGAGGCTGAGACAGGCGGATCATCTGAGATCAGTAGTTCGAGACCAGCCTCGCCGACATGGTGAAACCTCGTCTCTACTAAAAATACAAAAATTAACCAGGTGTCGTGGTGGGCACCTGTAATCCCACCTACTTGGGAGGCTGAGGCAGGAGAATCGCTTGAACCCGGGAGGCGGAGGTTGCAGTTGAGCCGACATTGTGCCACTGCACTCCAGCCTGGGCAACAAGAGTAAAACTCCATGTCAAAAACATTAAAAAATAATAATAATAAATAAATAAATAAATAATTTTAAAAATAGTGGTTACACCATTAGTGGTTACATGTTTGGGTATATAGGCTTACTCATTTATTTTTTTTCTTTTTATTCATTTATTTTTACTCTTGGCCAGGCACCGTGGCTCACGTCTGTAATGTCAGCACTTTGGGAAGCTGAGGCAGGTGGATCACTTGAGGTCAGGAGTGCCAGACCAGCCTGACCAACATGGTGAAACCCCATCTCTACTAAAAATACAAAAATTAGTCAGGTGTGGTGGTGCGCACCTGTAATCCCAGCTACTCAGGAGGCTGAGGCAGGAGAATCGCTTGAACTGGAAGGCAGAGGTTGTAGTGAGCTGAGATCACACCACTGCACTCCAGCCTGGGTGACAGAGCAAGAGAAAGAAATGAGGGTGTGTGACCCAGGGCAACAGATGACTATATAGGATGTGCAGTAGTTGTGTAGTTTAATCACGTGACATTCAAAACTGGGGGATTTTAGGAAGGAGGGAGGGAGAATTGTCTGGATATAGCAATGAGAGTTCAAAGAGATATCTGTTCCACATTCAGGGCTATGGGGAAAACATTGTCTGCCACCTGGTGGGGGGCGCTGAGGCGGTGTGTCCTCAGGGATGATCCAGGTTAGAATAAGAAGGAGAGAGGATGCTCAAAAAAGAGGAATGCTTGCTGAAAAGGGCCTACATGCTCTGAAGGCACCCTGGACTGGTTTTCAGGAGTTGAGCCAGGGACCAAGGTGTAGCAGGAGCTAGGAATTTAGGGCTTCTTTCCATAAGTGACATTCTGGGGTTAATAAAAGGGACTTAATACAGGACTTAATAAAATTAGCTCTGGTGGTCTCCAGGCGAGCAACTGTGGGCAAGGCACTCCTGCGCTCACAGTGTAGGCAAAGTGGGAGGAGTAAGCATCCTTTCTTTACTGCTGGCAGAGACACAGAGGCCTGGGGAAGAGCAGATGTGCCTTGCATCTGAGTGAGGGTGACTTTTACTCAGAAAGTGCATACCTCCCTCTTCCACCTAACCATAAAATGCTAGAATCCAGCAAAGCCCATATCCTAGCCCTCTCGACTGTTCATGCAATATTTGATAGGTGATTTTTTTTTTCAGCCAATAATGGCTTCAAATTGCTATTTGGAGGTAGATGACTTATAAATGTGGATCTTCAGTATAATTTTCTTTTCTCTGCCTTGGACCTGGATATCCTACTGCCCACTGTGCGCCTACTCATTCTCAGTACGTCCAGAATGAAACACACAATCTCACTCCCAGACCTGTACTTTTCAGTGGAGAGTGCCACGCTCCACATAGGTACCAACCAGAAGCTGGGATGGGCCTGTGATGTCTCTTTCTCCCTTTGTCCCATTCTTTCTGTGGACGAGTTCATGTCCTAAAAAGCTCTCTACTCTATCCACTTTTGTCCATTTCCACAAATCTCCTCCCTTTCACCTCGAGCTCTACCAGAACCTTTTAATTGTCCTTCACACATCTGCATTGGCCTCTCCTGTGACTCTCCACACTGCCCCTAAGGCGACACTTTCAAAATTCCCAAGTCTCTTCACGCCCCTCTTTTCAATCGAAAACTCTGCGGTAGTTCCCCATTGCTCTCAGGATCAAGTTGAAACCCTTTCACATGCTCTGCAACCTCTCTGCACCCACCTGTCCAGCCTTTCCTCACCCTGTACCTCCAGTGAGGAATCTCTGTCTTGACACTCCAGCCACACCTACCTGCCTTGGGGTCTCTAGTGCGCCCACAGCTGTCACAGGGCTTTGCAAACACTTCTCCTTTTGCATGGAATATTCCTCTCCTTCCACTTTGCATACTTAACTTCTGCTTACCGTTCAGATCTCTGCTTGGGCTTCCCTCTCCTGAGCTCCCCAACCAGGTCACATCTCCCATGTACAGGCTCTACCGGATGCATCCTATTCCTTTCTCTTGAGGTTCCTGTAACAGTTGCAGTTTTGCATTTGTCTGTCATTATTTAATTAGTGTTTATCTCCCATAGGAGACCCTCCAAAGGCCTGAACTCACCAAGGGCTGAGATCATGCCTGTCTTTGCTCATTATTATGTCCCCAGCACCTAACAAACTGTCCTGCACATAGTAGGTGCCCAGTAAATGTTTGCTGAATAAATGAATGAATAATTCGTGATGCAATGAAAGTCCTTAAGCTTTACCAAATACAGGGCCTGCCTTGATCTAGAGTGAGCTTTCAATGGTTCTGGAACTCAGTTTCAGTCAGCAAATGTACACAGCAAATGCACTGTGCTGGGCCTGCCCTACTCCACTATTCTTAGGCACACTGGAACAACTTTGCTGGAACCAGGGAGCTAGCTGAATGGCACGACTGTCTTCTGGTAGCATCTCACGCTTGGGTACAAAGGCCTGTCTACTGGCTTGCTCAGGCATGTTGAGAGTCTGAGTCTGCTGTTGGTAGACCTGAATAGGTCCACCTGTTCCCTTTTTCTGAGACAGTGTCCATTGGCTACATGGGTCACATCTCTGGGGGTGGCATAAATAACTACAGACAGGGTGGCAGGAAGGGCAGCCTAAGGAAGCTTGAGCAAGCTCTGAGGGTGACTCAGAAGCACCCACTTCCTGTGTCAGTTCAGCCTAGTGGGTTTCTTTATATGAAGCCCACCTTATTAAAGGAAGTGGAGGTGGGGGAGCAACTAGAGACAACTAGTACTTGTCACCTCAAGCAAGATGGGTTATCTACCTACATTCAACCTCCACTCTCTGCAATGTTTACTCCTGCCAGTGACTTAGTCGGCTATTTTCAGTGACAAACACTCCAGCTTCTAGGCCAGGCTCTCTGATTTTGGCTTCCTCTGGGTGCACAGAGAATGAAGGCAGCTGATGCTCCACTAGCGGCTGCCTCGGTGCCAGCAACCTGGCTGTGCTGCTGTTGGTGCCTTGGGTCTCTTTTCCTGTCTGCCCTTCTCAGCTCCCTTGGTTGCTGACTCCTCGCCATCTGACCATCTGCCTCGCTCTGCCCCTTCCACCCACCACACATTTCTGGCTGCTGATGCTTGCAGTGCCTTTGGGTGCCCATCTGGCCCAGCCCTTGGGATGAGGGGACTCCTGCCTTCTCCTGCTTCTCTGACCTCTGCTCCCTGGATGCCTTATGTAGATTCTGGTTCCCTGGTCCTGGAATCCTCACTGCTGCTTCTGATCCGGTGGGATAATAATGAGGTTACATGGTGAGAAGGCCACCCAGGTATTGTAATTAGTAGCCACACCAAGCCAGCTCTATTGGGTGGGTGATTAGAAAATTTTTTTTTCTAATCTTAACACTTATTATACTAAAACTATCTACTTAAGTATTTTCCCCCCAGATGGAGAGTTTCTTGAGGGCAAGAACTGAGTTTATTTTTCTTTATATCCAGAGTGCCTAGAATATAGAAATTAACTGGTAAATGTTGGCTGAACTGAGGTTGGGAATGGGAGGGAAAGTGTATAGGGGATGATGCTCTGATGTCAGCTTCCTGGGCTGACCCTGAAGAAAGAAGGAAACGTGGGCATTTGTGGTTGTCAGTCCCACCCCTCTCTTGGGGGAGTGGCCCTTGGACAGGGCAGGAGGCTGCTCAACCTTGGCCTTGACTGCAAAGGTCTCTGGGTCTTGCTGTGTGCTTCACCCAGACCTCATCCTGATGCGCGCCCAACCCATCCATGGTTCATCATCCACCGTGTCTGCAGTTCCCTCAGGGAGAGATTCTTTTGTACTGGCATGCAGGCCAGTGGGATGAGAGGGGCAGTAAATCTGGGAGCAAGTGGGAAGCTGCAGGCCGAGTGCACACAGTACTCAGCGCAAGGGAGGTGCTCCAATATCAGGAAAAAGATACAACGGCTCTTTCATTTCTCTCCTTTCTTTTTTCAGATTATAAAGTAATACATGTTCACAGGGACAAAATACAAAAGTATAAAAGCCTTCTGTCCTCCTCAATCTACTCCCTAACATTAACTACTGTTAACAATTCTTTTTTATTTGTTTATTTTTTTGACACACAGTCGCATTCCTCGCCCAGGATGGAGTGCAGTGGCACGATCTCGATCTCGGCTCACTGCAACCTCCACCTCCTGGTTCAAGCAATTCTCGTAGCTGGGATTACAGGCGCACACCACCAACCCGGCTTATGTTTGTATTTTTTCTAGAGACGGGGTTTCTCCATGTTGGCCATGCCTAGTCTTGAACTCCCGGCCTCAAGTGATCCTCCCACCTCAGCCTCCCAAGGTGGTGAGATTACAGGCATGAGCCACTGCGCCTGGCTGTGCTGTTAACAATTCTTGACATCTTCTGGAAATGTGCTATTTTACAAAAGCACGTATACATATAGCTTGCATATACAAAATGTGTGTATGTGTTCACATGCAGATAGATATATAAACAGACAGAATTTGATGGTGTCATGAGACAGAAAGAGAAAATGGTAGCCCACAGGTATAAAGTAGGGGTGTTGGGGTGAAGGCAGACTTGAAAGGGGCTGTTGATGGACCAGGTAGGAGGGCCTGAGGAGAAGTGATGGAATACAAGGATGGAAGCAAGGATGGGGCAGGAGAGTCTTAATATTTGTGTTGCAAAAAAATTTTGCAGTTTAGGAGGTGAGAAATCCAACATCCAGTTAGCCTCAGTTTCCTTAACTAAAAAATGGGATAATGATGTATATTCCTCACAGGTTTATAGTGATGATTAGAAGGGGCGAATATATATATAAACAAACATACATATATGTTTGTTTGTTTTTTGGACAGAGTCTCGATCTGTCACCCAGGCTGGTATGCAGTGGTGCGATTTTGGCTCACTGCAACCTCCGCCTCCCAGGTTCAAGTGATTCTCCCATCTTAGCCTCCTGAGTAGCTGAGACTACAGGCACGTGCCACCACGCCCAGCTAATTTTTGTATTTTTAGTAGAGATGGGGTTTCACTATATCTTGGCCAGGTTGGTCTTGAACTCCTGACCTCAGGTGATCCACCCACCTTGGCCTCCCAAAGTGCTGGGATTACAGGCGTGAGCCACTGTGCCTGGCCAGGGCTAATATATTTAAAGTGCTTAGCATTGCACCTCAAACAATATTCTAAGCATTCTCTCAGCGTGTGCTGCTATTATAGTTGTTGATGTTATTAGGGTGCTGCTATTGTTGCTGTTTTCAGAATGCTTCACGTGGTCCCTGGCCCGTGAGTGAACCTCTATCCATCTGCAGTTGGCATATGGAAAGAACCTCCTGGTCACATTTCTCTTTCCATTTTAGAAATCATTCTTTTGTTGTGACACTGTCTTTTCATTTTCCTTCCCTGACTGCTCTTAACTTCCTACTTTATGCTGTGCACTCTTGAAGAAAACTTTCTGGTACCTGATGGTTATAAATCCTTGGAGGCGCGTGAAGATGTTTTAGGTAGTAAAGGGCAGTGGCCATTTTCTCACTTTGTCTCCCTGGCCTGGTCTTAAGCTGTTGGGCATTCTTTAGTCAGGAACATCTTCTTATTTGCTGTACTTCACACATACTGCCTAAGGATATCAATTAGAATTGCTTACTTAAGAAAAATGCCCAGCAATCGTTAAGGCCACTCTTGTTCATTTCCTGCATTTTTTTTTTTTTTTTTTTTGAGATGGAGTCTCACTCTGTTGCCCAGGCTGGAGTGCAGTGGCGTGATCTTGGCTCACTGCAACTTCCGCCTCCTGGGTTCAAGCGATTCTTCTCCTGCTTCAGCCTCCCCAGTAGCTGGGACTACACGCTCCCGCCACCTCACCAGGCTAATTTTTGTATTTTTAGTAGAGACTGGGTTTCACCACGTTGGTCAGGCTTGTCTCAAACTTCCGACCTCAAGTGATCTGCCTGCCTTGGCCTCCAAAGTGCTGGGATTACAGGCGTGAGCCACTGCGCCCAGCCCATTGTCTTCATTTTAAGAGCACTGACTCTGCTGCTCCTCTTGAGACATCTTGGGCAGTGATTCTGTTCTTCTGGGATACTCTGGGTGTTTCTACTTGTATTTAGAATGGCTGGCTTAAAAGTCTTTGTTTGAATATTCCGCATTCTGAATGCTCTTAGTTGTCAGTAAAACTATGCCTGCCTACGCACTCTTCTATTTCTGATTTAAAAATAGGTTCAGCTGCCTAACAATTACACATACTCTATTTTGCACGCGCACATTACTTAAGGAGACATTTAGAGGGTAGATAGCTTTTATTCCTATGAGTTATCTTGAAATCATCTTCTTAACTATCTTTTTTTCCCCAAAGGGGCCATATTTTGAAGGATTTGTGATGAGACTTTTGGTCTGTGAAGCCCAAGACACAATCTCCAACATGCACAGGAAATCCAGTATCAAATTTCTAACATGTCTTCAGAGACAGGCCCAGGGCTGGCTTGAGCGTGTCAGAGAGGTGTGCACTGCGTACTACCCATCATACATGGCCACACATGCCTGTGGCTGTGAGAAATACTGGTGGTGACAAAGACAATGAGATGCCAGAGAAAAAGATCAGTGGGGTTTGCAAAAGTGATTAAGATGTCGTCCTAGGTATAATTAAAGACTTAATAAGGTTGAAGGAAAGAGAGGACATTGCACATACCGAGGCCCCTGAGAGATCTGCCTGGCAACCCAGAAAGGGACATATGGGGGAAAACGCCTTAGTGTAACCAGGTCAGAATTTTCATTCTGGGCAGAACTGGAATTTGAATAATAATACTGAGTCATATAGCGCATACAGCTATGACATTTCATTTATTTCTCTATATAATGCAATAAAGTAGATGGATTAACCGTGACGTTTACAGATGGAGCAGGGGAGAATGAAGAGGCGTCAGTTTGGGCATCAGGCTGGATCTTCACACTCTGACCTCACTCTGCTCTATCCTGCCCAGTGTTGCTTCACCTGATATCAGGGGTGCAAGGCAACCAGATCTGACACCAGTTTCAGTTTAGATCCTGCCTTTACCTGGGTGTGACCCGGGTCCATCTCTTCAGCTCGGCCTCTGCTTTCTCTTCATAAACTTTTGGGGTTAGTCCTCGGATGATCTCTAAAACATGGCCCAGGTGCTCCTTGCCAGTAGAGTGTAGCCGGATTTGGAGGGACTGGACACTCAGTGTGAACAAGACGAAGGCCTCAGGAGGCAGTAAAAGCTGACAAGAGGAGAGAAAATGAAGCGCCTACGGGTGCATACTGGACTAGCGGGCGAAAGGCCATGACTCCTTAGTTTGGAGAAAGAACTGGGGCCGAGATTGGGGAAGTTTCCCAGTGCAATTAAAAAAAAAAAAAAAAAGAACTAGAAGAATTACCCAGGTCTGGCTTCTTTCGTGTAGCCTGGGGCTGAGTCGCAGGCTGAGAAATCCAGTCTGGCCAGTAGGGGGCTCCACCAAGCGCAGTCTCAGAATGCCCAAGAGCTCCACCGTCGCCCGGGGTCTCCACCAAGCGCAGTCTCAGAATGCCCAAGAGCCCCACCGTCGCCCGGGGTCTCCAAGAGGAGTGGGTCGTGGTGGGCGTTGAAGGGCCGTAAAAGACGAGCAGCCCGCGTCCGCGTCCGTCCTCCCGGGTCTCCAGTCCGCAGGCGGCCGCCGCCTCGGCCCCGCCCTCCCACCTCCATTCCCGGCCCCGCGGACCCGAACGGTCCCTCTCGCAACCGATCTGCTGGCTGGGGCGCTGGGGATGCGAATTCCTAGAAGCCTTAAGAGGCTGCCCAGCGTTGGAAGTTCGTATCCCCAAGAATGCTGGAGGTTCCGGCTCACACACCCCCTCCGGGCACAGAGTCAGCTGGGGGGTGCTGGGAGGGAGAACGCCCCGCTCCTCACCCCCCATCCCCGTGCACCCTGGAGCCCAGCTCCATACGTTCGGCCACCCCAGGCGGACTCGGGGTGGCCGGGTAGCGGGTGGTGGCAGGAGGGGACCGGGTAACGGCAGGCCCGAGAGGAGGTCGCTGGGCCGGGCCGGAGGCGCACAGGGGCTGCGTGGCTACCTCGGCGGCACCCGCCCCACCTCCGCCGGCTAAGCCCGGAGGGGGACGGTGAGTCAGATCTCGGGCACCCGCGGGTCGGGCGGGGAGGGGGAGGCAGGTCAGGAAATGACATCAGAGGCCTGTGCTCAGGGAGTGGGGGTCTGAGCCGGGCTGGGGCGGCGGGGGCGGCAGTGAGTGGGGTGGGGGCGAGCGGACCTCGGCGGAGCCTCCGGCCTGAGGCAGGATCAGGGCCCCTTCCTGGGGGAGTTTCCTGCCTGGTCCGCCCTTCCCCGCTCTCCCCGCCCCCTCTCCGGGCCGCTCCTTGTATGGTCTGGGCGCCGCTCTCTCCCCGCCCCCTCTCTTCTCCCTCCCTCCTCCTTCCGTGTGTCCCTCCCCGCCCGGCTGGAGGCTGCTCCGGACCGGGACGCAGAGTCTGCGGACCCGGCGCCGAGGCGGCCACCCGAGACGCGGCGCGCACGCTCCGGCCTGCGGTGAGGCGCGGGGAGCGGCAGGGCGGCCCCACGGGGAGGGGGCGCGGGGCGCCGGGAGGGGGCGAGTGGGGGTCACCAAGGGGAGCTGGGACCGCCTGGGGCTCCTGAGCCCGGCTCCGCGCTGCGTAACCCGGCGACCCACCCCAGCAGCCCGGCCCGGCCATGGCGGCCCCCCGCCCGTCTCCCGCGATCTCCGTTTCGGTCTCGGCTCCGGCTTTTTACGCCCCGCAGAAGAAGTTCGGCCCTGTGGTGGCCCCAAAGCCCAAAGTGAATCCCTTCCGGCCCGGGGACAGCGAGCCTCCCCCGGCACCCGGGGCCCAGCGCGCACAGATGGGCCGGGTGGGCGAGATTCCCCCGCCGCCCCCGGAAGGTATGCGGCGGGGCTTGGGGAATGTACCCCGGCAGGAGCCGGGGTGGGGGGCAGTCGTTTCGGGAATTTGGGGATGTCTGGAAAGGTTGTTGCCGAGGGGGCTGGGCGCAGCCACCCTGTCCCGAGCAGATGTTCTTACCTCATCGTGGAGCTCGTGGCTGGGAGCCAGGGCTCCTGGGACCGTTCCAAGTCCCCCGCCTGGGAGTGGGAGTCGGGAATGTGGGGCACGAATCTTCCCCTCCGGGTCCGTTTTCCGAAGTGTAACGGGAGCTGCACCACTCCTCGGCAGTGCGCCCGGCCTTTCCTGACCTGGTACTCCCAGGGCGCCCTGCGCCCCTCCTTTGCTTCCCCACACGCTCTGGGACCCCTGAGAGAGTTCTTGGGTTAGGGGTTAGAGCGGTTAACTGAGGGGAGCTTGGGTGAGGGGTAGAGGGACCCCGGCCGACGTCTTTCTCCTTCCTACCCCAGACTTTCCCCTGCCTCCACCTCCCCTTGCTGGGGATGGCGACGATGCAGAGGGTGCTCTGGGAGGTGCCTTCCCGCCGCCCCCTCCCCCGATCGAGGAATCATTTCCCCCTGCGCCTCTGGAGGAGGAGATCTTCCCTTCCCCGCCGCCTCCTCCGGAGGAGGAGGGAGGGCCTGAGGCCCCCATACCGCCCCCACCACAGGTACGGAGGCCTGGGAGGGGCGGCTGCACTGGACACCCCCAAGGAGAGGAGAAGAGGGCCCTTTCTTCTTACCTCCCCTGCACCTCTGCCTTGGGGGTGGGGGGATAGAGGCATGGAATAGGTGCTCTGACCTCTGACCCTCTAGCCCAGGGAGAAGGTGAGCAGTATTGATTTGGAGATCGACTCTCTGTCCTCACTGCTGGATGACATGACCAAGAATGATCCTTTCAAAGCCCGGGTAAGGGACCGGAGAGTAGGAAAAGCAGGGCTCAGGGCCAGAGAGACTGGGCATAGAACTAAGGAGGATGGTGTCCTCCTGACTGCATCTCTCTTCCCTCTCCCACCCCTTGCAGGTGTCATCTGGATATGTGCCCCCACCAGTGGCCACTCCATTCAGTTCCAAGTCCAGTACCAAGCCTGCAGCCGGGGGCACAGCACCCCTGCCTCCTTGGAAGTCCCCTTCCAGCTCCCAGCCTCTGCCCCAGGTTCCGGCTCCGGCTCAGAGCCAGACACAGTTCCATGTTCAGCCCCAGCCCCAGCCCAAGCCTCAGGTCCAACTCCATGTCCAGTCCCAGACCCAGCCTGTGTCTTTGGCTAACACCCAGCCCCGAGGGCCCCCAGCCTCATCTCCGGCTCCAGCCCCTAAGTTTTCTCCAGTGACTCCTAAGTTTACTCCTGTGGCTTCCAAGTTCAGTCCTGGAGCCCCAGGTGGATCTGGGTCACAACCAAATCAAAAATTGGGGCACCCCGAAGCTCTTTCTGCTGGCACAGGCTCCCCTCAACCTCCCAGCTTCACCTATGCCCAGCAGAGGGAGAAGCCCCGAGTGCAGGAGAAGCAGCACCCCGTGCCCCCACCGGCTCAGAACCAAAACCAGGTGAGGGATGGTGATAGGACAAGGCTTGGTACCAGGGCACTGGGGCGGGGCTGGGTCAGGAGCCAGAGCATAAGCATAAGGTGATTGGAGAGTCAGGGTGGACACGGGGGTTGCGGGGTGGCGGGATAGGAATTTTCATCCTCTGGGGTTAGCCTGGTGGAACAATGGTAGGAAAATGCTCCTCTGGAGGAGAGGCCTGGCTGGGTGTGGGGCTGGGTGGGGCCTGGCTGGGACGGCGCAGAGAGCATGGGCTCTGAATTAGGAGGATCTGGTGGACCTTTCCTTGTGCCTTTACCCCAGAAAGTTAAAGGGAGGGATGAGATCACCAGTTCCACCTTGGTTTTTCCCATTCTTGGGTCTTGAGTTAATCTCCCTGCTCCTCTGAGCACTCTTTCTGCCTGAGGGCTTGGAGGTAAGAGACAGCCCCAGTAAACACTGGTTGAGCCAGCATCCACCACGTGCCAGGCACTGTGCTCTGTGCCCAGGAGGGTAGGACATGGGAGGGAAGAGATCTCTGCAAGAAGCTCAGCCTTCAGGTGTCAGATGGACCTGGAATGGAATTCTTGGCTCAGCTTCTCCCAAGTCCTTAGACTGGGCAAGTTAGGTGAACCCTGAGCCTCAGTTTCTCAATCTTTAACATTCTCTACTCCATACAGTGGTTGTGAAGATTGGGTGAGCTAATACCTAGAGAGTGTTGGGTTCTGTATCTAGTACAGGAATGCTCAAAATAGAAAAGCTGTAATTACAAAATGGTTCTTGCCTTCTAGTTCAGGAAATAAGATCGTCCAATTTCTGGTGACGAAGATGACCCTGATGGTCATCTAGTCCAAGCATCCAGAGTCCACTGATAGTGTTGATGTCTACCTACACTCGGACACAGCATAGGAAGAAATGCCAAGGGCCAGTGAGCTTTGCAGAATCCTGTGAGTCACAGGCACTCAGACCAGGGAGTCAACTCGGGGAGTCAAATTAGGAAAGGCTTCGAAGGATGGGCAGGACGTAAGAATCCAGAGAGGAGAGGGATGTTTGGAGAACAGAAAGTGGAAGGTTCCTGTAGGAAAATGATAGAGCTATACTTGGAGAGGCAAGCGGGGCTGGAGGGTGTAGGAGGTGAAGTGGCTCACCCAAGGAGCTCTTGAGCACTGGAGAGGCATTCATGATTTTTGAGTAGGTGTGGGGTGGGTCAGGAGGGCTGGTGAAAGCAGTGTTTTTGGAAGCTTTCTGGAAAGTTTCACCAGCAGAGATGTGTATTCGAGGGAGGTCAGTGATGGGTGTGAATTCACTCTTGGGCAATAGTAATGTTAGCTGCAATGAAAATTAAACCGTGCATGTGAGAGCTGTGTGCTAGAGCTGTTGGGAAGGCACAGCCTCCAGGACTTAGCAAGGGATGAGCAATTGGAAGACAAGGGTGAGGGGAAGAGGGAAAAAAAAGTCTCCAGCACGATTTGGAGATGGGGTGTGGGCGGATGGCAGGATTGCTGACAAAATAGAGAAGTCCAGAAGGGGAAATGGTTTGGACGGGAAGAGGAGGGGTCCAGCTGTCAACGTTTTGAGCAACAGGTCCCAGGAGGACTTTCAGCTGGGGCCGTCATTCAGCTAGAAATCCAGGGCTAGGTTTCAGGAGAGGGCCAGAGATGTCTAGCATGGTAGTGGGGCACAGTGACACTGTGACGCTGGAGGGTCAGGGTCGGAGCGGAGGAGCTTCCCAGGGAGTGCAGACAGCGGGGACCAGGAGGTGCGGGAAGAAGAGTCAGGAGGAGAGTCAGGGTGCACTTGGAGAAGAGAGCTGAGCTCCTCAGTGGGGTATTTGAGGGAGTGAGGACTCAAGGCTAGAGATTAGACTGTTGGGAAATCATCAGCGGTCTTGGGATGGCCTGTTTGTGCCCTGTGGTGGGAACACAATGTGAGGAGTTGAGGAGAGAGTGGGTGGTGAGAAGTGGGGCTGCTGGTGTAGCCTGGTCTTAAAGGACTAAGGGAAGGACTGTGTGTCAGTGGTGTGTGTGTGTGTATATATACACATATGTGAATATATGAGTGGCGTGTGTGTGTGTGTTAGTGTGTGGGTGTGGGTATGGTGTATGTGAGTGTATGTGCATGTGTGAGCATGAATGTATGAGTGGCGTGTGATGTGTGTAGTGTGATTGTGTGAAAGTATGTGTATATGAGTACATGTGTGCATGTGTGAGTGAAGGTGTGTGCATGTGTGAGTGTGGCTGTGATGTGTATGGTGTGTGATTGCACAAGTGAAGGTGCACATACATACTTTCTTACAAATACACACAAGTGGCGTATGTGTATATATGTGAGTGGTGTGTGTGAGCGTGTGGTGTGGTATATCTTTTTTTTTTTTTTTTTTTTTTTTTTGGAGACGGAGTGCAGGCTGTCGCCCATGCTTACTACAACCTCCGCCCCCCTGGCTCAAACGATTCTCCTGTCTCAGCCTCCCAAGTAGCTGGGATTACAGGCACGTTCCACCACACCTGGCTAATTTTTGTATTTTTTAGTAGAGATGGGGTTTCACCATGTTGGCTAGGCTGGTCTCGAACTCCTGACCTCAAGTGATCTGCCTGCCTCAGCCTCCCAAAGTGTTGGGATTACAGGTGTGAGCCACCGCGCCTGGCCTGGTGTGGTATTATCTGAATGTGAGTGGTGTGTGTGTGTGTGGTATGGTATATGTGTGAGTGTGTGTGTGTGGTGTGGTATATGTGTGAGTGTATGTGAGTGGTGTATGTGTGTGGTCTGGTATGTGTGTGTGCATGTGAGTGGTATGTGGGTATGTGTGAGGGTGTGTGTGTTTGAGTCTGTGGTGTAGCATATGTGGTTTTTGCAAGTTAGGGGAGAAGGGCTCAGGTACGTGTGTAACCCGGGGAAGCAGGTGATGGAGGGTGAGTGTTGTGGGAGAGCAGGGGCAGGCTGCTTCGGTCCCTGGAGGAGATCTTGGTGATGTCTCCTCCCCCAGAGGCATACCAGACAGCAAGGACAGAGTGGTTGCAGCGTGGATAGGAAGGACGATGAGGGAGCTTAAGCTGGCTGGCTTCCATGTCCTCAACCATGTGGGAGGTGAGGTCACGGTGCGAGCAAAGGGACGAAGCAGGTGGGGGCTCAGGAGATGGAGAGGTCTGGAACGGCTGCTGTGGGGAAGGCTGGGCTGGAGGTCGCGCGGGTGCTGCAGTGTTGTGAGCTCACGCTGCAGTGTTCAGTGATCTCTCCACTGCTTTCTGCAGCTTGGAAGCAGAAACAGGAAGAGGGTGGTGGTGTGACTTGGGGTTGGAGACTGGGCCGGATAGCTGCGGGTGGCTGCAGGTGCCCGGAGGGACAGTGAACCCTGTAGGAGTTAGATGGTCATGGGACCAGGCTGGGGCATGGTGGACAAAGTCCAGGGGTGGGTTGCGGGTGGGGGCAACTAAGGCTTTTCTGGGTTCATGTAGTAGGTGTGGATGGGGAAGAGGAGAGGCAGATAATGGCTGGCAAGAGACTTGGAGGTAAATCTGAGGTCAAGGATGTCCCATGATGGATGATGACTGAGATGGACGGAAGTTTGGTTTGAAGCGGTGGCATTGGTGCAGGCTGGCAGAGGGGGCAGTTCTGGATAGAGTGTCCTGATGAATGGGGATACCCATGGGAGGTGATGCAGATGAGGATTCTGTGCTTCTGAAGGAGGAGCCAGGCATTTAGAATGGCACTGGAGAGCAAGGACTGACTGAGCCCCTTCACTGTGTCCCCAAGAGGCCAGGAAGGGAAGATTGGAGGAGACAAAGTTGAAGTGAGTGTTCCAGGGAACGAGTCAGTTAAGAGATGGTAGGATCTTAAGGGAAGATGGCTAAGATCTTAAGGGAAAATGGCTAAGATCTGGAGAGTTGGACTTATATGGACGCATGCTTCACTGGGCAGAAAGGACGCAACTCTGGGTACAGATGGGGGTCGGGGTGAGGGGCAGTGAAGCCAGGGCTGAGGGGAGAGGGGCTATGGGAGGAGGTAGCAGGGGGGCTTTGGAGGTTCCAGGTGTTATGGGAATGAAGGCATCTGCAGGTAGCACACTCAGTGATGGGGCCACAGTCCTGGGTAGGCTTTTCCAGACATAGAAAAGACCCACCCAGTGCACTTGCTCCTGTGGGCGTGTCTCCCGGCAGTGCTGATGCAGGTCAGACAGCCCTTCCCGGAGTTCTCAGGGTTACCTCTCAGGGTTACTGGCAGCGCTGTCCTTAACATCCACCCCCCACTCCAGTCCCCGGGATCCCCTAAATGGGAAGGTTGGGCTGGCCTAGGGGGTGGCCTTTGGACCTTCTCTGAGGCTGCTGGGGAGGGACCTGAGTGAGGTAGTTCAGAGGCCCCTCACTCGAGGGACAGGGTCTCTGTGTGGGGGTGGGGCTGGGTTCTTGCAGACAGCTCAGTGGGTTTAACCTGCAATTCCTGCCTGTGTTGTATCCTCACGCTGACAGGGGCTGCTCAGCAGCAGGCAGGCCGGGTAGGTGTGTGTGCGCGTGTGTGCACGCCATTGCGTGCCCCTGTCCCATGGGGGCGATGTCCGAGCATGCTCTGTGGAGTTGATGCGTGGCCCTGGAGTGTCCGGTGCTTCAGTGACCCGAGCTGCTGTGTGCGTGGCCTCCGTCCGCCCAGTCATTCTGGCCTGTCTGTGACTGCTCAGGGGGTTTGGGCAGAGTGGGTGGAAATGTCTTGCTGTACGAGATCCAGGCTTAGGTCCCTTCCCCTGTTATTTGTGTGGTGCTGGGGATGGCGGGGGTAGGGGGACGAGGGAGAAGCTTTAAGGGTCAAGCCTGAGCATCTGGGACACGAGCTGGGAGCTAAGCCTCATCGGAAGAAGCCGGGTAGGCTGGCCTGGGAAGGTTCTTGGAGGCAGCAGCCCTCTAGAGTGTGAGGAAAATGTTGGGATTGCAGGTGCGCTCCCCTGGGGCCCCAGGGCCCCTGACTCTGAAGGAGGTGGAGGAGCTGGAGCAGCTGACCCAGCAGCTAATGCAGGACATGGAGCATCCTCAGAGGCAGAATGTGGCTGTCAACGGTGAGCCCACCCCACCGGGACACCCCCACCCTGCCCCCACATCACGGTGGGGGCCAGGGCTGTGGCTCCACTCCCTATCTGAGCTGGCTGATCCCTCGCAGCTCTACATACTTCCTTCTATTTACTGCTGTCTTCTCTGGCCTTCCCAGAACTCTGCGGCCGATGCCATCAACCCCTGGCCCGGGCGCAGCCAGCCGTCCGCGCTCTAGGGCAGCTGTTCCACATCGCCTGCTTCACCTGCCACCAGTGTGCGCAGCAGCTCCAGGGCCAGCAGTTCTACAGTCTGGAGGGGGCGCCGTACTGCGAGGGCTGTTACACTGTGAGTCGGGCTGTGCTGGGCTGTGCTGGGCTGTGCTGGGCAGTCGGGCCCTGGAAGCTTGCTGTGGGGTGCCGGTTCCCTGCCAACCTCCTCCTGCTGCCTCCTCAGGACACCCTGGAGAAGTGTAACACCTGCGGGGAGCCCATCACTGACCGCATGCTGAGGGCCACGGGCAAGGCCTATCACCCGCACTGCTTCACCTGTGTGGTCTGCGCCCGCCCCCTGGAGGGCACCTCCTTCATCGTGGACCAGGCCAACCGGCCCCACTGTGTCCCCGACTACCACAAGTGAGGACCTGCCACCTGCCTTCTGGGTTCCCGGCGTGCTTGGTCTGGTAGCCCGGCTGCTTGCTACCCTAGCCTCAGGACAGCCCCAAACCCCTGGTGGTGTTTTCTGGTCCCATGTCCTGTCTGTAAACAGCAGGGACCAAGTCATCGGGATGTAGCTGTCCAGGGGCCTTAGGCCTGGGCATCGAGTCCTGCTGCTGTCTGGTCCCTCCCTCGCCCTTGATCACTGAAGCTTATTGTGGGTGTATGTCAGCATTTCGTGAAGTGTGCTGGAGTGACTTCATCTCACACACAGGCTGGGTTCTAAAAGTTCTTTTGGAGATCAGCTGTTTGGATTTCTGGTTTCTCCCCAGAAATAGTGTTTAGAAGGTGGCTACTTTTTCAGGCTGACCCGCAGAACCTCAGTGCAGCTGTGGGAACAGTGCAGAATCTGACCCCCACCTCTGACAGAGTGTTTGGGTAAACACTTTCAGGATTCCATCTGGGGTGGCCACAACTTCACATCCCTCCACAGTGCCAGACAGTCAGGGCAGAGGCAACGTGCATGGGGGTGGGAGGATTGGGGGAAGGTGAGGGTCAGGGACCCAGGATGGGATGGGAGGGGTACCTCAGGGCTGGCTTTCTGCAGGAGCTGCAGTGTGAATGGGACAGTAAGGGTCGAGTGGGAGAGAACACCGTGGCAGGTGTGTGGGAGGCTCCCTTGCTTTGGGAGAGTGACTGGTGAGGCAGGAAATTCCCTTTGATGAGGGCCAGTCATGGTGTCTCACTCTTAGGCCCTTCTGGTGAGCTTCCTTCACCTGGAGATGCAGGGCAGAGAAGTCTGCTTCCTTGCTGCCCAACCTGGCTTATGCGTGCGCACACCGGGGATGAAAGCCCTGGCTAACTCGGCTGGCCCTTTCTGCCCCTTCCAGGCAGTACGCCCCGAGGTGCTCCGTCTGCTCTGAGCCCATCATGCCTGAGCCTGGCCGAGATGAGACTGTGCGAGTGGTCGCCCTGGACAAGAACTTCCACATGAAGTGTTACAAGTGTGAGGTCAGCCATCCCTCTGGACTCCTTGGGCAGGTTCTGACCAGGAGGTGGCGGGAGATGCTGCTTACTAACTGGGAGGTGGAAAGCACCAGCATTCAGGAAACAGGGCTGTGATTTTGAGGGTGGCTCATGGTGGCACCCCATCTGTCCTGCCAGAATGCTTCCTGCCACTGCAGGAAATGGGGCTGTGGGGCTTCTGAGGTCACTTTGAGTCATGGATAAGCCAAGAAATGGGACAAGCCAATAGGAGAGAAGAAGGGCATGGTGTTTTACCGTGGTAGGGGATGGGGAAACAGGAGCTGAGAGAAGAGGTCTTCGAATGGAGGTGAGCCAACCTCTATTTTATTAGGGTGGTGGTGGGCAGGGGAGCAAGCACCTTGGGAGCAGCTCTACCCACTGCTTGCCCTCTTGCAGGAAGGTCCTAGTGGGTGACTGGAAGTAGGATAGGGATGGGGAGTTGGGTGTGGCTGGAAAAAGCGATGACACCAGCTCTGAGCCATGAAGCATCTTTCTAATTCCAAGATGGAGCTGGATGGGGTGGGGTAGGGTGGAGCAGAGCAGGGGCCTTCCGGTCCAGTGCCCCTCACCCTTCCTTCTTCCCAGGACTGCGGGAAGCCCCTGTCGATTGAGGCAGATGACAATGGCTGCTTCCCCCTGGACGGTCACGTGCTCTGTCGGAAGTGCCACACTGCTAGAGCCCAGACCTGAGTGAGGACAGGCCCTCTTCAGACCGCAGTCCATGCCCCATTGTGGACCACCCACACTGAGACCACCTGCCCCCACCTCAGTTATTGTTTTGATGTCTAGCCCCTCCCATTTCCAACCCCTCCCTAGCATCCCAGGTGCCCTGACCCAGGACCCAACATGGTCTAGGGATGCAGGATCCCCGCCCTGGGGTCTGGTCCTCGCCCATCCTGCAGGGATTGCCCACCGTCTTCCAGACACCCCACCTGAGGGGGGCACCAGGTTTAGTGCTGCTGCTTTCACTGCTGCACCCGCGCCCTCGGCCGGCCCCCCGAGCAGCCTTTGTACTCTGCTTGCGGAGGGCTGGGAGACCCTCCAGGACATTCCCACCCTCCCCCATGCTGCCAAGTTGTAGCTATAGCTACAAATAAAAAAAAACCTTGTTTTCCAGAATTCTCAGTAGTCAGCTCTTTTGTAGTGCCTGCAGCCCTCATGGGTGGGATGGAGGCAGAAAATCAGTTCCTGTTTATTTACAAAAATATATATATGTGTATGTATGTATATATATTAACCCCTCAGCTCCCTCCCATGATCATCCTTTTACTTCTACCCCCACCTCCCTTTTAAAACAAAGAGGTTTTCTGGGGTGCAGAGCAGGGTTCTCCTGAAAGTGGGCAGAAGCAGCACCGATAGCCTAGTCTGGCAGGTTGTGGGAAGGGGCGCAGGGAGTGACCATGAGCGACCTTGGCCCCGTCCTTGCTCCTTGCACCCTGATTGGGCATGGGGTGAGAGGAGGGATCAGTCCTTGAATCCCTGAATACTGCAAAGAATGCGCTTCTGGTGCCCGGGCAGTGTGATTCCCATCTGCGTCAGGTCCCTGTGGGCAAGGAAGGGTGGGGGCATGAGTCCGGAGGCTCCACCCCCGCAGCCCTCCCCTGCCCAGACAGCTCCAGCTCCTTACTCAGCGGTCAGCTCCAGCACACACTCCATGGTGTCCAGCCCAGCCGAGTGGAAGTGCAGGATGTAGCGTTTCATGCGTATGGACTCGAGCCACTCAGAGACGGTTCGATATGGGATCCCATCTGAGCCACTCAGGCTGGGCAGGCGAAGAGTCATCCTGTGGGACATGGGCATGTCAGTCACAGCGGGTACATGGGCTGATCTGGTTGGCCTTGGCCTCTGAGCATCAGCAGCCAGCACTGAAGTTCGGTGTCTGGGCACAGAGATCATCTAGACTGTGGATTGACCCCACCATTATCTCTGAGCCCACTTCCTGGCCTGTTTCCTGGTGTGCTCACAACAGTGGACTGGCTGACAGTCCTGCTATGTCGACAGGCCTATAGGAAGGGACTGTCCTGGGAAGCCCCAACAGAAGGGGATCACCAGCCGGTCTCCTGCTGGAGTGGCCGGTTCTGGGCACCTGACTGAGGGCTGGTTAAGACATGGAAGTCTCCTGTCTGAGAGGAAGCTGAAAGTAGGAGAACAGAGGCCTGGCACCTGGGCGTGGTCCTGCCTTTTTCCATAGTGGCTGCTTGAGTTCCGGGAGCAGTCCTTCCTCACCACCTTCAGCTTCGGCTGTTATTCTTGCACTCTGACACCCACAATACAATGAGTGTTCCTGTACTAAAGCTCGCCAGAGCCAAAAACCATTAGCAAAGTAAATCTGCTGGGGGAAAAAATATCCAGCATTCCAGAAAGATTAGCACACGCAGTCTCCAGTGTATGAGGGAGTTGCGCTCCAAAAGATAGTTTCAAAAGTTGGAACTTAGAGCATGTTTTCTCCCAGAAACAAGGTTATATATGGTGGTTGGATACAGAGGCCAGTTGGCCAGGCTGGCTACCCAATAAAGCACTTGAAGAACAGCCTTGCCTGCTTCCCCAACCTGAGCGCTCCCCCACCCCCCCATCAGTTCATTCTCTACACTCAGGCCATATTTTTGGTAAAATGCAGCTCTGACCATGTCCCCCCATCCTGTGGACAGCTTTTAAGAATTGGTTCTCCAGGCCAGGCGAGGTGGCCCACGCCTGTAATCCCAGCACTTTGGGAGGCCGAGGTGGGCGGATCATGAGGTCAGGAGTTCGAGACCAGCTTGGCCAACATGGTGAAACCCCGTTTCTACTAAAAATACAAAAATTAGCCGGGCATGGTGGTATGTGCCTGTAATCCCAGCTACTCAGGAGGCCGAGACAGGAGAATCACTTGAACCCTGGAGGTGGAGGCTGCAGTGAGCTGAGATTGCGCTGCGTTACTCCAGCCTGGGCGACAGAGCAAGACTCCGTCTCGGGGTGGAAAAAAAAACAACAACTCTGCACTCATGGTAAAATCCAAACTTCTCAACAGGGCTGGTCCTCTTTGTGTTGACTGGTTGTCTCTCCAGCCTCATGGCTGCTATTCCTAAACACAATGCCGCAGCCATCCTGCACTATCTGCAACCTACCAGCCCTCAGCTCCCCACAGACTAGCCATGTGATCCAGAAGCCTTCCCAAACCCTGCAAGGCTGCTGCTACCTACCCCACCCCAGCCTGGCTGCCCAAGCTCCCTGGAGCTTGGGTAATAAGTGCAGCTGTATCTCCAATGTCCAGCAAACAGCTTGCACCAGTAGGTCCTCCAAAACTTCATGAATGGATGACCCTTTCCTTCACATGCAGAAATATTTCTATGGGGAAGGGGATGCATCCCAAGAATGGGCCACAGTACAACACAGTGGGATTGGCAAGGATGGCTCCGGGAGTGTCTTAGGTGAGGCTGCCTGAGAAGAGAAAAGATGGGCCCCCCACCCCCAAGCCCAGGTGAAGTGAGGGAACTGGGGCCCAGCCATAACTGATTTTCTGCAAATATGCATAATCTAAAGCTGACCTCTTGGACTCTCCCCAAGGGCACGTCTTGCCTCATACACTGGACTTGGTCCAGAGCTCCCCAGGCCCAGCGCTCAAAGAAGATTGGCTGAATGCCCATTTCCACTCTCCTAGCGCTGCCTCTGGGTTCCCTAGTCCTTCCCCTGCATGGTTACCTGGGGTCAAAGTTGGCAATGGTCCGCAGGGAGTGGGGGTTGGCAAGCAGTTGCTCCAGATGTGCCTGAAGCTTCTGGAAGTGTGGCCGGCGGGCACGGTCATATGCCCAGCAGTTCTTCATGAGCTCATACAGAGGGGCAGGGCAGTCCACAGGAGGGGGCAACCGGTACCCATCCTCAATGCTCTTCATAACCTGCACGGCGGGACAGGAGGATGCTCTAGAGTAGCAAGCTAACCTGGAGGCCCATGAGAAACCGACGGTCACACAAGATAATTGCAGTGGAGATCCTAGGATGGGAGGAGGTGGGAGGACCAGGGTGGGACGATCACAGTGGGAGGATCAGGGTGGGAGGAGTAAAGAGAGCAGGGCATGAGGTGAAGAACCAGAGGAGCCAGGAGTACAGAAAAACTGAAGGTCATGAATAAATAAAGATATTTGCAGGAAAAGGCCATGGGAGGACCTTGGGAGGAAATAAGAGGTGTGAATTGGAGACAAGATGAGGAAGAATATTCTGGGCTCACCTCCTGATTGCTCATCTCCCCATAAGGCTTGTCCCCAAAGCTCAGCACCTCCCACATCACAATCCCAAAGCTCCACACATCGCTGGCTGTGGTGAAGATCCGATGGGCAATGGCTTCAGGGGCTGTCCAACGGATAGGGATCTTTCCTCCCTAAGAAGGCACATGGGTCAGGGACGGAAAGTTATGGTGTCCACCTGAGCACGAGTCTTTCTGCTTCTTTTATTGTATTTTTATTTTATTTTTTTTGAGACAAAGTCTCGCTCTGTTGCTAGGCTGCAGTGCAGTGGCGCAATCTCGGCTCACTGCAACCTCCACCTCCCAGGTTCAAGCGATTCTCCTGCCTCAGCCTCCTGAGTAGCTGGGACTACAGGCGCCTGCCACCATGCCCAGCTAATTTTTTGTATTTTTAGTAGAGACGGGGTTTCACCATGTTCGCCAGGCTGGTCTCGATCTCCTGACCTTGTGATCCACCTGCCTCGGCCTCCCAAAGTGCTGGGATTACAGGTGTGAGCCACCGTGCCTGGCCAAGTCTTTGTGCCTATATACATGTGACTGTATGAATGGCATGTTACGGGGCAATGTGAATGTGCACTGGGTTTGTACCGGCCTCTAACCTGGGTTTCGTATGTGCCATCAAAGTCATCCAGGAGGCGAGTCAGGCCAAAGTCAGACACCTTGCAGCACAGGTTTTGATTCACCAAGATGTTTCTGGCAGCCAGGTCCCGGTGGACATAATTGTGATTACTGAGGTAGTTCATGCCAGATGCTATGCCCTGCAGCATGGCCACTAGCTGCCCAGGGACCAGCTGGTCCTCCCGCTCCTGCAGCAGGGTGAGTGGGTGAGTCAGGGGATGGGCCAGGTCTCCTCCCAGTGCCCAGGGTACCATGGTGCATCCCCCTCCCCAGCTAGTCCTCTGCCCTCCTCACCCTCAGGAAGGCATCCAGGGCTCCATTCTCCATAAATTCTGTGATGATCATGATCGGCTTTCCTGAGACACAGACACACATATCACACTCAGAACCGGGCTTCCTGCCCTTGGCCACACATCCTCCCTCCACTTCCAGTGGTTTCACCCCTCTTTCCTGCATTTCCCGCCCCCAGCTGAGGGAGACCACTCATCGTACGCTTTGTGACGACGCCTTCCAGATGCAGAATATGCGGGTGGCTAAACTGGCCCATGATAGTTGCCTCTCGAAGGAAGTTCCACCACTGGCCACCTGGGGATGTGTCTTTTAAGGTCTTAATGGCCACAGTCTTGCAGTCCTGGCTGGGGAGCCTCAGGGTCCCTCGATACACTTCCCCAAACTCTCCTGGGTAGAAAGAAAACAGGCTGTGGCCCGATGCACTGCAGGGCTCCTCCAGGGGACAGGCAGCAACCCCTCCAGTCCTCCGGCCCTTTTCTTTTCTGGAGAATCAGAAGCGTGGAGTGCCCTTCCTGGGACAGGGCGTGGGCTGTCCTTCCTGGGGAAGGTCAGAGTCTGGAGCTGGAGTGCAATGCCGTGACCTATTCACCACTGTCTCCCAGTGTTTGCACAGTTCTTGGCTCACAATAGGCGCTCGGCAACTGCAGGGTGAATGAACCCTGTGGAGCGGGACTGGGCCGTGCTCATGAAGAGCAAGCTAGTGCGGCACTAGTACCCAAGTGGCAGGGACGCTGGCTATGGCCGCCTCTCTTCTGTGAGCTCCTCTGGTCCCAGCTTGCCTGGCTCAGCTGCACAATTGGCAAGGACACCACCAAGCTTTGTTCTCCACTGAGATCCATTTCCTCTGGTGACCCAAGGGAACAGGGCAGCCCAAGGACACTGGGCCTCTGATGGGGTGGAATGCCAGGCTAGGGAGGGAATGAGTCCTACATTTGGGCATCATCACAGAACATCTGGACCCTCAGCACAGCAGCACCTCTGTGGATGAAAACAGTGTATTTAATGCCCTTTATCAGAAACTCCAAAACCACAGAAGCAAGTGTGTAGGAGACAGGGGTTGCTCCAGGGCACCTGATGAGGGGTTTTTAACAAGAACGCAATGGTTCAAAGAGGATACAGAGCAGAGCAGAGTGAGTACCTCTGGAAACTCTTGGACCAGAGAAGCCAGCTGGGCTGCCCAGGGAAGCGCTGGAAGGAAGGGGCCTGCTGGTGGCTCTGTGCTGCCCCACATGGCGGGGGGCCTGCTGCGGTGCACAGCAGGACTCACCTTCTCCTATGACAGTGTCCACCATCAGCCACGCTGGATCAAGCTCCCGGGTAAAGTCCAGGGCTCCCTGTGCAGGGTCCTCGTATGCCTGGAGGTCCACATAAGGCTTCAGCCACAGCTTGTCCTCTATGGGCAGAACATGAGGTTGGGGAGTACCAACATCAGGGCTCAGGAGTATGGGGGTCAGGAGAAGGGCCAGCAGCGGACCACACACTTCTCCACACCTCCCTGTTTCCCAAGGTGACTCCTGTTTGGGCTGAGGTGGGAGAAAGTCTCCATTTAGCAACTAGGCCTTTCTTCTCCCTGTCTATGCTCCAAGCTCCGCTGTCCTCACTCCACAAGGTCCGGGGCGGTGGCCAGGATCCACACCCGCAGAGCATATTTGCTGCCTGAGTTGCCCAATCTTCTCAGCGGCCAGTCCCCACACTGCTCTGGTCAGTCACACCTCGTTCACATTCCCAGACAGAGCCGCGCATGGCTCCCACCCCAGCTGCCCGGATGGACCCCTCACTCTCCCCTTTGTGGGTCACCTAATGAGGTGACAAGCAAGAAGCTCATAAGCCTCGGAGGACGTCAATCCTCCTCCCGCCTGGCCTCGGCCCACAGCCCTGGCCTCCAGGATGGGGAGGGCTGTCCAGAGCCCAGGGTGACAAGACAGCGGCACCAGCAGTGAACGGACACTAACAGATAATTGCATCAGAGCCACTGGGGGGCTACCAGTACATAGTTAATTAACCAAAGTTAATTAGGTAGCAAAACACAAGAGCCCTGGGGACAACAAACCCCACATGTGCCCCCAGAGTTGGCCTAGCAAATGTGTCCCTTGATCCCTTCCCAGTGGCATCTCCCAACACACACACACACGCACACACAGGTGTGCACACGCATGTGGGGACACACGCAGGTGCACCCGACTCACCTCGATCCACATCGGTGGCGCGGTCACGCTGCCTCTGCTGCCTCTGCCGCTGGGCTCTCCTGTGGGGGTTGGGGACCAGCTCCTTCAGGGCCCCAGGACCACCTCAGGGGTCCGAGGGACTCTGGCTGAATCTTCCCCAGAAACGGGCTGGGAGTGCAGGATGGGTTTTGATACTAGGGGATGGGAGGGTCGTTGGGGCTGCAGTCAGGGGCTTCTGACCCAGGGCTGGTGGTTGGGGAGGGGGCAGGAGCTGGCACCTGGACCGGAAAACGAGAATCCCAAGCAGCAAGGCTGCACCAAGCAGCAGCCCAAAGATGACGGCTACAATCTCTCCTCCAGTCAGGCCCCTGGACACTGTAGGCACAAAGGGATGAGGAAGTGTTGGGACTCACAGTCCGTAGGAATGAGGGGGGTTAAAGGGCAGGGCCCTGGGTACACCTAGGGTCAGACCTTTCAGTGTGCATCAGGTCGGTGTCTGTCCCCTACCCCCGGAAGAAGGGAGTGTGTGTGCATGTGTGTAGAGGAAGAGGAAAAGTCACTACGTGGAACAGGAGCTGAGTTGCCTCAGTGAGGCAACAGGTGTATGTGTGTTGGGGCAGAGCACAAGATACCCCACCTGGTGGGCTGGTCCGAAACTCATGATCAGGGGAGAAAGGGCCAGGACCCAGTGGGGTCAGCATTCGGACTCTGACGATGTATGTGGTGTCAGGCTGCAGCTCTGTCAGCAAGACCCTGGGTTCTAGAACCATCTGGTACCGTTCTTCATCCTGTGGGTTGGAGTTGCATTAAGTGGGCAGTGCTGAGCCAGACCCGGGTGGATGTGATGGACAGCATCAGAGCACATGGGGAGGGGCTGGAGAGCAGAATGGTTAGGACAGGGTTCTTCATAGACTTTTGTCCTGAGAAAGCCACACAGTGGACTTCGGGTGGATTCCTCCCAACCCACACCCCAGGCTAGGAATGTTGGGGTGTGCCCGGGCATGGACACTGAAGACCATCTCTCAGTAGCATCCTGACCTGGTTCAGCACGTGCAGCTCATAGGTCAGGTTCGCCCCAGGGCTTCGGGGCCGGGACCCCGCCCAGGTCAGCTCTAGTTGCCTCGGTTCTTTCTTCACCAGTCTCAGAGACAGGCCTGACAGTGACTCTGGGGGTCCAGAGGGATAAGGTTGGATATGTAAGGAAAAAGGAAATAACCTTAGTAACTTTTCTATGGCTTCCTGCCCATCAGTTTGTTCTGTGGTCTTAAGCCCTTCTGTCTCCACCAGGTCCCTGTCCCAGCCCCTCTCAGCCTCTCACCTGCATGCCCCATGCTGATGCTGACTGAGGTGCTGGCATGGCCAGAGCTGCCCAGCCCTGACACTCCATTTTGGGCTTCCACATTAAAGGTGTAGTTGGCATAAGGTTCAAGGCCATTGACATGCACTGCAGGTGTGGTGAGCCCCCGGGCCCCCGGCGAGAAGTGCACGCCCACCCCACAGGGCTGGCAGGGCCCCCCGTCCTGTGCTGTGCCCTGACACTGGGAACACCTCACACTGTATCTGACATCCTGGCGTCCCCCCGTATCTGCTGGGGGTTCCCAACGCAGGGAGAGCTGAGTCCCTGAGGCAGAGAAGCTCAGGTTTCGGGGGGCCGAGGGGGGACCTGTGGGAGAAGAGGAGCCATCAGTAGAAGCCGACCTCGCTGTCACCCGAGCTGCTGATCCCCGGCCTCCACCACCACCCAATTCTCGATGTCCTCTGAAGTCCTCTTGGGGAGATTTGATTTCTACTGGGTTTGACTACATCTCTGCATTCTTCTAGGGAGAGCAGGGTGCCAGGGCAGGGGCTAAAAGTGCCTGACACCCTGGACCATCTCCAATATCTGACAAGCTCTGGAAAAATCCAACCCTGACAAAGTCTCAGCAAAGATCCAGCCCCTCCCTCCAGATGGCCACGCCCCACCCCCTGGACTCACCTGTGCATGCCACCTGGGGGCCCTCCCCGGGAGCTCTGTAATGGCCGCTCTCACAGGTACAGATGGTGGCCCCCTCAGACTCAGCAGTGCTCTGCTGGGGGCACGTGAGACAATGGGGTGTGTCCATGTCCATCCGGTAGGAGCCGCTAGGGCAGGCTGGAGAGAGAACGCAGCAGAGCAGTGGTTCTGTAAATGTTTTTACAGGCAGAACCACCACCACCCCTTCCTGCCCCAATCCCTTCTACTGGAAACATCTCTGCATGTGTGTGTCCGCTGCTCTGGGACACTCAGGTTAAAAACCCACTGAGGCGGAGCACTGGCCTCCTTCTCTGCCGGGGTACTCCTGCAATCCTCCCGAGTGGTTCCTCAGGTTCTCACCGCCTCCGTTCTTACCAACACATGCTTCGCCACTGCCACCTTCCTCATAGCCAGGCTCACAGTGGCACCGTCCTACAGGCACCAGCCACTCGCCATCAGGGCTGCAGTGCATGCGGGGTGCACCTGAGGGCCTGGGGCTGGCCCGCGCGTGGGGCAAGCAGGTCCCCGCCACTTCCACCAACCCAGCGGGGCCAGGCAGAGTGTCTGGGAATTGGGCCAAGCCATTCAGGGTCTCAGGACAGCGCTGGTAGAAGACCCGGACAGACACCAGGGCCACACAGGCACCCGGGTTGTGGAAAGCGAGGTAGAGGCCACGGCGGGTCAGGCGGCCCAGAGAGCAGCGCTCCACATTCAGCTTCACGGAGCCAGACACAAGGTCTCGAATGGTGAAGCTCTGGTCTGCAGCCACCGTGGTTACCTGGGTAGAAGGTGGGGAAGAAAGGGGAGCAATGGCAAAGTCCTGCTTCTTTCCCACATAACAGAAACAATCGTTTGCTTAATACTTTCCACAACCATGAACACTGAGCCTTGTATGTGTGAGGTGCCAGGCTAAGCATTTTATGTGCATTATGCTATTTAGCTCATGCAATCCTCTTATGAGGTAGGATGGCTTATTGTCTCTATTTAATAGATGAGGAAACCAAGGCTAATAGAAGATAAAGACCTTGTATAAGATCACACAGCTACCACATCATGGGGCTAGGACTGGAATCCAGGCATTGGGACTCTACAGTCCATACAATTTCTGCTATTCAGAGGCATTCCCAAACTCAGTGCCAATAACATGATGAGTTATAGAGCATATCGTTATCAATTTATTACTAGTAACAAATTTTACAACATTTTCTCTTTGGAAAGAAACAAGAGCATATCCTATCATAAAATGCTCCTTACTCTTCTGCATCCCAGGATGTTTTTTTGAGTAGGAAAGAAAGGGATGTGCTGGAGAGTACTAGCCTGCAGGGAATTGTCTTGCTACATGACTCCAGTGATACTATGGGAGTGGGTTGCTTATGAACATCGTGGGTATCAATAGGAAAAGTCTAAATAACTCTGTGCTACACTTCCCTCCTCCCCATGGTATCCTGTGATCTCAGTGGATGCTTATAAAAGCCTATAAAATAGATATAGCTGGCCCTATTGTTGTCACTATTTTATGACTAGGCAACAAAAGCTGGAGAGGTTAAATGACACCCCCAAAGTCACGGCACAGCAGAAAAGATACTCAAATCCAGCCCTTCTGATTTCCAATGCCACACTGTTCTTTTTTTCTTTAGAGACAGGATCTTGCTCTGTTGCCCAGGCTGGTGTACAGTGGCACAATCATAGATCACTGCAGCCTCAAACTCCTGGGCTCAAGTGATCCTCCTGCCTCAGCCTCCTGAGTCGCTGGGACTACAGGTATGGGCCACCATGCCCAGGTGATTTTTAATTTTTTGCAGAGATGAAGTTTTGCTATGTTGCCCAGGCTGGTCTCAAGCTCCTGGCCTCAAGTGATCTTCCCACATCGGTTTCCCAAAGCACTGGAATTACAGGCACAAGCCACCATGCCCAGCCTTCAAGCGCCAAATTCTTTTCAAGATTCTACCTCTGCACCCTCTTCCTGTCTCTGCAACCTTCTCTGGCACCCAATAAGGAGCCACCAGGGATCTGCACCAGGACCCAGATGGCATGGAGGGAAGCAGCACCTTCTGGAACAAGGGCCGTCGGAGCTGAATGCCCACATCCTGGTCACTCTCCATGTACAGAAGGTTGAAGGTCTCCTTGCAGCCCAGAGGCCCGGCTCCCCCAGGGAAACTCTTGCAGTCCCGCACGGTGAACTGCAGCTCCACGTGGACGCGGGAAGCCTCCTCCCCGCGGTAGATCCAATTGGAGCGAAGCCAGTGGTCAGTGTCTCTGCGTCCTTGCATTGGGCAGTCCTGGTACATGTACAGGGGTGTCCCATTCAGTATCTGTTGCTGTTCACTCCACTGCAAGGAGGAAATCAGAGTCAGGGACCAGATCATCCCCTGCTCCCCAAACCCTTGGTTTTTAGAGCTGATGGAGAAGCAGCTGTGTCAGAGCCCCTCAGGTTTATGCTACTTGTTCTGCCTCTCCCCACCCCTCAGCTCCAGGACAGTAGACTGAGTGTTTAGGGTTGGGGATTTGTTTGGATATAAGATGGGCAAGACAATAGTCCCTTAACATCCCTAGTTGATCCTGGTCCCTTCAGTTAGTCTAGTCCACTTATTTCATCAGCAGAACAGCCAGGTACCCCCAAGGCAAAGCTCATTTACAAAACCCTTCTGTTTCTTCAAGAGGATATTGGTGAATTTTTTGTTTTTCAGAGACAGGGTCTCGTTCTGTCTGCAGCGCAGTGGTATAATCAAAGCTCACTATAGCCTCAAACTCCTGGGCTCAGTCTCCCAAGTAGCTGGGACTACAGGTGCCTGCCAACACACTGGGCTATTTTTTCTTTCTTTTTTTTTTTTTTGGTAGAGATGAGTTCTTGCTATGCTGTCCAGGCTGATCTCAAACACCTGGACTCAGATGATCCTCTTGCTTGGCCTCCCAAAGCCTGTGAGCCACCACACCCAGCCCAAGATTTATTTTTAATTATTAAAACCCTTTAGATTTGGAGGGTAAGAACAAGCACAGAACTGTACAGAGGATTCTCATCCTCTCCAATATTTCAATTATAGCCATCATCGAAATCAACAATTGACAGATTTGGCTGGACTTCTTGATACTATCTAGTCTACTCCCCTTAACTTTTTGTTTGTTTGTTTGAGGCAAAGGTCTCACTCTGTCACCCAGGCTGGAGCTGGAGTGCAGTGGCACAATCTTGGCTCACTATAACCTCCGCCACCTAGGTTCAAGCGATTCTCCCACTTCAGCCTCCTGAGTAGTTGGGATTACAGGCATGCACCACCATGCCTGGCTAATTTTTTGTATTTTTAGTAGAGACAAGGTTTTGCCACGTTGGCCAGGCTGTTAGCTTCTTTTATCTGAAAAGAACTTTTAAACTTAGTAATATTAATGGCTAGCACTAACATAGTGCTTACTGTGGCCCAGTCACCGGTTTAAGCACTTTCCACGAGGAAACTGAGGCACAGGGAGGTCGAGTGACTTGCCAAGGTACTCAGCTATGAGAGGCAGAGCTGGGAAATGAGCCAGACACTCCAGGTTCCAGAATTCATGCCTTTAATCATTATACCTCTGTGTGCTTATTGTGAAAAGTCAAAAAGTAAAGACTTACACAGAATAAAGTTTAATTCCCTCACCCTCATCCTTCCACTCTCATTCTCAGAGGCAGCCACTCTCAGCAATTGTTAGCAAAACTTTCCAGACCATTTTTCAATGCCTCCAGAGAACTGCTTGAATGTTTCTGAGTTTTGCTTTCAACACGGGATCATACAAGTGTTATTTTGTAAGCTACTTTCTGTTTTCACAAATAATAAGTATTTGAGGGCCGGGAGTGGTGGCTCACGCCTGTAATCCTAGCACTTTGGGAGGCCCAGGAAGGCAGATTCCCTGAGGTCAGGAGTTCGAGACCAGCTTGGCCAACAAGGCAAAACCTCCCATCTCTACTAAAAATACAAAAAAATTAGCTGGGTGTGGTGGCACATGCCTGTAATCCCGGCTACTTGGGAGGCTGAGGCAGGAGAATGGCTTGAACCCAGGAGGCGGAGGTTGCAGTGAGCCAAGATCTCGCCACTGCACTCCAGCATGGGCGACAAAGCAAGATTCCCTCTCAAAAAAGTCTTTGAAAGATAGCCACAAAAGTGTATATAGAGCTTTCTTACTTTTTTTTTTTAAAGCAATCCATAAGTAATACTCCATTGTAGAGAAGGCCATAATTTATTTAGTCCCATTCACCTATTGTTGGACATTTAGACAGCTTCTAGTTTTTTTTTCTTTTTAAAGAAATCATGTACAGATTGATGTAAGATTTCCATGGAACTGCCATATCAAAGGGTAGACATACTACAGGTTTTATAAGATACTGTCAAATTGTCTTCCAAAAAAGGTTTATCAATTTACACTTCCACCAGCAACACAAGAGGGCTCATTTTCTCAAAACTTCATCAACACAGAATACTAATAACCTTTTTGCCTTTTGCCAATCCTAGGGTCAAAACACAGCTTCTTAGCATTTTAATTTGCATTTCTTAGAGGAGGAAGTTGTATATTTCTCTTTTGTTCATTGACTATTTGTATGTTTATGCAATTATCTGTCTATAACCTTTGCATGACATTCTATTATCTTTTGATTACTCAGTTGGATGAGTTTCTTTTTTAAACTTATTATAGACACGAATCATTTCCTTCAAATGTATGTTTCAAATATTTTCTCCCTGTCTGCCATACCACTTAGCTTTGCTAATGATGTTTTGATGTGGACTTACATTGTAAATTTCTTACATAATAACATCTACAGTATTTCCCTTCATGATTTCTGGGTTGTATATTTGACTTGGGAAGTTTTCCTATCTCAAGATTATAATGATCTATATTTTCTCCTAAAATTTGTGTAGGTTGGCTTTTAGGTTGAGATTTTAGTTTTCTTAGAATGAATTTTGTGTATAATGGAGAGATATATCTTTTTTTTTTTTTTATGAGACAGAGTCTTGCTCTATTGCCCAGGCTAGAGTGCAGTGGTGCGATCTTGGCTCACTGCAAGCTCTGCCTCCAGGGTTCACGCCATTCTCCTGCTTCAGCCTCCCAAGTAGCTGGGACTACAGGCGCTCGCCACCATGCCTGGCTAATTTTTTTGTATTTTTAGCAGAGATGGGGTTTCACTGTGTTAGCCAGGATGGTCTCGATCTCCTGACCTCAGGATCCGCCCGCCTCGGCCTCCCAAAGTACTGGGATTACAGGTGTGAGCCACCGCGCGTGGCTATGGAGAGATATATCTTTATATATTTATTTAAAAATTATGAATATCTAACCGTCAGTTTATTAACTAGGTATTACTTTCCATATTGATTTGCAATTCCGATGCTATCACATACTACAACCTCATATGTGTAGGCTCGTTTTTGGACTTTCTATCCTGTCCCATTAACCTGAGTGATCTTGTGCAAGACATATGTTTTAGTTATAGCTGATGGTTCTGATATCTGCTTGTCAGACAAGTCTCCCATTTCATTCTTCAAAAACTCTTCTCAACCATTCTTATTTCCTCTGTCAGATGAATTTTCAAAAGCTCTCAAATTCTATAAAGTATTCTATTGATATTTTTGTTGCAACCCCATAATTTAATGCAGAATAGACTGAGGCCCTTAGAAAGTTCACTTTCCTGAGGTTTCTACTCCATTATAATGCAGGGGCCCTCATCCCTACCCTCAGCTCTGGGAAAAGGCAAAAAAAAAAATCATTAATCAAAAATTTGGGGTGAGGTGGGGCAGAAATAGAAGCTGCTATGAGGCACATATTTCTGCATTATGTTAGGGAGTTCAAAGATTGGGCAAGGGGTGTCTAAAAGGCAAGGAAGCTGGAATGAAAAAGGCACCAGGAGGCTTCTCCTAAGGAAGGCTGTGCTGGGGAAGCCCAAGTGGAAGGCACTGGCGGGGGTCAGGTGGGCAGGGTGGTGAGTGGTTAACGTGCAGCTCATTAGCCAGATTGCCGTGGCTGAAGCTGGAGCCAGGAGAAGCAGATGTTCCCAGCTGTGCCTTGCCTCTCCCAGTTCCAGCAGTGACAGATGGGCGAGAGCCAGCTGTCCAGGATCAGCAGTAAGGATCCTTTTGCTTATCACTCAGGCGCTGCTGGCTGCCACATGGGTGCATTCTGGACCTGAATGCCTGCGTGTGCATGTGTGCGTGTGTGTGTGTGTGTGTGTGTGTGTTTTGAAAAGATGGGGAGAAGGAGGGGGACAAGGTAGATAGTGGGAGTGTATGACTGCTGGCTGTCTCCTTGCCCTCCTAGCATGCAGGACTGTTTTGCCTGTGCTGAGAAAGTGGCCTTGCTGCCATTCCAGTCAAATTAGGGAAGAGTTATTTGGGTGGAGGTGTCAAGGGCCCAAGGAAGGCCCATGGGAGCCAGAAGTCTGACCTGCAGCTATCACTGTGGGTGATTAGCTGATTTATGAGATAAGTCAACTATTAGGGCTGGATCTTCCAAACGGCCCCTCCTGGAGGATCCACTATGGTTTAGTCTATTAGCTCTAATTACAGGCTACTCTGTAGGAGAACAGAGAACGGAGCCAGGACTGTAGGACCCAGAGGGAAAGAAAGCAAGTAACCCTGACCCCAGAAACAGGGGCTGGATTGAAGTCTCAAGTACTGGGGTAAGGAAGGAAACCCTGAGAGAAGGGGTTCCAGAGCCAGAGTTGTAGATGCTCCAGTAACTTAGGCAGCCCCCTAAGTGGTTCTGTGACCAGCTGTGCTGCTGGCAGAAAGGGTGCTGTGAATTGTAAAATATATATTTGGTCTTTGTCCACATTTCCTGGCAAACAACCCCTAAAGCCCTCAAAATCCCTGAAGTGACAAATGTCTTTTTATATGCTAGTGAGCTGACTGCCGGGGATGGGAACTAGACTGGGGTGGGGGAGGCCTGGGTGGCAGAAGGCAACCTTGTGATTGGAGTTGGGACTTTCGGCCCCACCCCCAACTTCCAGGGAAGGTAGAGAGGTTGAAGGTTGAGCTGATAACCAGTGGGCAATGATCTAATTAATCACGCCTATGTAATGAAGTCTCCATAAAAGCCCAGAAGGATGGGGTTGGGAGGGCTTCTGGATGGCCATACATGATTAGGTCCCTGCAGGGTGGCTCGCCTCCTTCACATATACCTTGCCCCATGCAGCTATTCCATCTGGTGTTCATGGTACCATTTGTAATAACCGTTATAGTAAGCCAGTAAATCCAAGTCAATGTTTCCCTGAGTTCTGTGAGCCATCCTAGCAAACTAATTGAACCCGAGGAGGAGGGTCAGGTAAACCTGATTACAGCCGATGGAACAGAAGTATAGGTGACAACATGTTACTTGTGATTGTTGTCTAGAGGAGGGCAGTCTTGTGGGGCTGAGCCCTCAACCTGAGGCTATCTCCAGGTAGATAGTGTAAGAACTGAATAAGATTAGAGGACACTCAGCTACTGTCCACTGAAGAATCTGCCAGAGAGAACTGACTGCAGGCGGGAGGAATCCCTACACGCATTTTGGTGAC